>NC_000004.12:44386136-44695561 GCF_000001405.40 Homo sapiens | reverse complement strand
ATTTTTCTAGGCCAGTTGCATAATCAGTGTAAAGGTGATCTCTTAAGGAGGTTCAAATGGAACTTACTTATAAATCTCTCTTACTCTCTGAATCATGAACAACTTCTCTGATTTAAAAAAGTAATGTATGATTACAGAATATTTAGAAATACAACATTAGACAATAGAAACTGTTCTTGATTCTCTTTCCTTACCCGCTGAAAACGGTTAAACATTTTGGAATGATTATTTTAAACAGTTATCTTTCTAATCACTTTTTTGCATTTTTTTGTATGATCAGTGTTTACGATATATTCTACCCTCTTTATATTTAACAGACATTTTTATGTCACTAAATATTACTCCACAAGTTTTAATGGCTGAAAATAACAATATGGGTGCTTTGTAATTCATTTTAACCAATCTGCTGTTTCTTGAACACGTGGGGGTTTTCCTTTTTATAATTTTTTTACAAATATAAAAGGGCGCGGTGGCTTACGCCTGTAAATCCAGCACTTTGGGAGGCCGAGGCGGGCAGATCAGAGGTCAAGAGATCGAGACCATCCTGGCCAATATGGTGAAACCCCATCTCTACTAAAAATACAAAAATTAGCCGGGCATGGTAGCATGCGCTTGTAGTCCCAGCTACTCAGGAGGCTGAGGCAGGAGAATTGCTTGAACCCGGGAGGCGGAGGTTGCAGTGAGCAGAAATTGCGCCACTGCACTCCAGCCTGGCAACAGAATGAGACTCCCATCTAAAAAAAAAACAAAACAAAACAAAAAAACTTGTTCCCAATTCTAAATCCATCATTATAAAATGTTTAAAACTTTTTTTAATATGGTGAAGGGAAACATTTCTATGACACTGTTCTTTTTGACTATTATAGCTCTGTTCTATTTTTAGCAGTCTAGAGAGAAGTGTGGAAAAAAAAGAGAAAGCAAAGTTAGTAGGGTGAACTCTATTTTAATTACCTTAGAAGTTTTTTAAATGCAGCTGCTCAAACAAAAATAAATGAAAAACATATCAAAAGTATTTTCACATTCCATGATTAGTTTCTATTGAACTTACTTGTGTACAACAGTTACTAGCTCCTCTACAGTATTTCCATTCAGTAGAATATCCATTTTTACAAGTTCTGCAGTCTGGTAGCCTGCATCTTCGTAATCAAAACTAAAAGGAAAAAAGTCCAAGTGATAAATATTACACTTCCTGAGAGATTACCTTTATTACTCTTTACTCTTTACTAAATGTCTACTTTCTACCGCATTACACTCCCCAAAGAGATATGTTTCCATCAAAATATTACATATACAGTTTCTTGTGAATGGATCTAAATGTTATCTTTTTATGTTTATTAAATCAAGGGCAAAAGCAAGGGGAATATGTTTATAGGGGAAAGGAAAATAAGCTGGTGAACCTGACAAAGAAAATGGTTTATTGAAGACAAATATCATGCCTTCCCAATGTTCCCAGCAGCTGGGAGGCTTCGGACAATACTATATATTATTAATGGATCATTTTCAGATTCATGAGTTGGGTTTCTGTTTAACTTTCTATTACCAATGACAACTCTATGTTTAAATAAATGCTATGACACTCATAAAATGCCATTAATAAATGAGACCTTTGGATTTCCTATTTGGCTCTTCAGCTTGCATCTCCCTTCACAGGGCTTTTGTGAGGATTAAATGAGTTAATACATGTAAACCAATTAGAGCAATGCCTAGTACATAATAAGTGTTTAAACAGAGCCTAGCTTAGCACACACAAGCACTTAGTTTCAGCTATTACTTTTAACAATGTGGTCAAAGCTTGTAATGTTAGTCAAAACAGACATTTAAATGTTTCACTTATAAAACTGAAGTCTAAAGAAAATTTCAATTAGGCTTACAAGTTGTCCCAATCACAGACAAGAATATGTATACTCCTATTGTCTTAATTTTAAAACAATTGGTGCCTGGACTTGCAAAATTATATTTGGTTTCTAAAGATTTTCAGCAGGAAGGTCATAAAGTGACAATAATACACTCTATTAACAGATTATTTTCAGAAGTACTGTTAAAATCCTTTCTTTCTTCAGGAAGCATCACTTATACATTTACTGTATGAAAGATACCATGTTAAGTATCATACAGAATACAAAGCAAATAGAGAATAAAACAGACATGGTCCTTAACTTTGAAGTTGTTACAGCTCCAGCTATGTTGTGGTCCAAAATATTAAAAATCTTAAAAATTTCTTAACTCATTTTTTCAAAAGAAATCATTATAAAAATTGTGTTTTTGTTTCCAAGCAGTCCAATTGATACCTAACCTCTATTGAAAACATAGGTATTCTAGTGTTTCCTTAGAATGCAGGAAACACATTTGTAATTCCAAAAAGCTACTAGTTGCTGTTGATTCTTGCCTCCTGGTATGAAATAAGTTTTTTCCTGATCTTAATTCATAGTCTATGATGACTTTCTGTTAAGTGTGGAATTGACTGCCTATGTAAAACATCCATCTTGAACATAATTACCTTAATGCTGGAAGCTGGAATATTTTATTTTTATGTAGTTCAAAAATAAATCATGTTCTCTCATTAAATTCAAAATGTATTTAAGTTTCCAAACGACAAGGCTTTTTAAGACCACTTATAATTCAGAAAGTAGTACCCAAATGCAAACTAAAATTGACAGACTTCTGTTAAAAATATTTATAAACATTAAACCTACTAATCTTCCTTTCAACTCTAGTAATTTTAATATGCCCCTCAATTCATTTTACTTTAAATTCCATTGCCACTTACTTGCTCAAGGTCTTGTCTGAAAGAAGACATAGAAGAAGAAAAAACTGGGTGACAAAGTAGAAGAAAATTCTCAATACAAAGGAACATGAAGATTCCTTGGTAAGAAGAATTATATATGCTAACTCTCTTCACTGACAAGATGATTAAATAAAGTTAAACTTCCAAGTCACTGTAGCATGTTTGTTAAACACTGGAATTTGTCTCTGCATGTTAACATTAACATTCATGCACTGTGTGGGAGTTTTATAGATGTCAATGTTCATTTTTCCCCTCCTGCTTCCCCATGTTTCACATCTGTTTTCTATATATACTATCCCGTAACATAAGATTTTAGGGCATAGTGAGGGTATCTAGAGTTATATGCCCCAACAACAACAACAACAACAAAAAACAGCCTCTCAGAATGCTATGCCCTGAGTTTCTTATTTGTTATTTAATAGTAACTCTCCTTTCACTTTTATCTGGCTTTTCTCCATGTACTCCTATGAGATACACAAAGGTTTTCGTGATGAGGACAACCTGTTCCTCAAAAGACTAAGTTATTAAAGTGTTCACTAATGGAGCGGCACATCTAACATTTTTTACAGACTGAATATGCACTTTTATTTTTCAAATGTAAATAGATGCTCTTGAGATTGCATAACATAAATATACATTTTAAAAGTGCCACTGAGGTTATGGTAAATTTTTGAAATTAGGTCTAATTCTTAACAGACAAGGAATACAGCTCTTCATGAAAAGGGGACTAACTTTTTTTGTTAAAAGAGAAATAAAAGTTAGATAATAAATCAAAGGAAACTTTTCTCCTATAAGCAAATCACAAGTAGTCTGTAACACCTATAAAGTTGTTCCAAGTCATTCTAACCTTAGAGTATGATTCTCAACTATCTTCAAGAAAGCTGAAATTACTAAATAAATGAAGAATTAGTATACCCTTGCTCATCAATATTTCAAAAAAGTTGGTCAGGCATCTTAGGTTCTCATTATTTTTTTACCTAGCATATCCAGAAGATAGGGATTTCAAAGAGTCATAAAAATCTACCACAATTTCATTCAAAGGAAAGAGATATTTAAGCATAACTCTATTTTGATCAATAAATATCATATTCTTCTGAACTGCTCTTCGAGCCTAAAAAGGGAAGGAAGAAAATGGGTTTAATGATAACCTACTCAAATACTGAGGAATGATGTATTTCTCTAAAGGTCTAGTAAAAACTTATAGGCAGTATTTATAATCCAGAGAGAAACATTTTATATTTCAATTGCATTAGGCTTGCTACCAAAGCTTTTAATCTTTATCTAACAATTTTATCTTTTAAAATGAACACTATTTCATTTAACAGTAAATCAAATGTAACTACATATAAAGTCAAAAGTCCTAATTTCTTGTTTTACAAATAATTAGGTCCAGAGAAATTAAAAGTTAAGACCAAGATTACAATCTAGTTTTTAACCTAATCAAAGCTCAGTCACCATTTGACACACTTTCCAATATGTATCAGAGTATTTCACATAGGTATTTTTAAGGAATATAATTACATACCATTTGTGGATTAAATCATTTATTACAATGTGGTGAGAACTAAAGCAAAATGGGAGTACCTTCAAATTTATGGTCCCTGAAGTACTATAATTATCTTTCAAACTACTCAAAAAGGCGAAATTATACATTTAGCTAATTATCAAATTTCTTTCCTTTGGGCTAACATATCAAATCAGTAAATTACACAAATTATCAGAAATATTTTTATTTAAAATCAAAATAATTTAAAAAGTATACATATCTATGTGTATAGATATAGACAGATATATATATGAAAATCTCATTAAATTCAGTATGCTCAGCAGAAAGAAATCTTTTAAAACCTGAGTTGGAAATCACTATTTCAGAGGACTAAAACCTAATTTTGTATTAAATTGTATTATAGTTATACCTCGCAAAGCATCATTATTTTTCCAGTGTATTCATCTGGTGTGATAATAGTGCCCAAAACAACTGGCTCCAAATATTCTGTTACTTTTGATTTATCGGGGAATTGTGCAGGATTGATAATTGTAATTTCTTTTTCTCTATGTTCCTAAAAATTAGAAAAATCAGCAATACTTAAAATCTTAATATAATGATTATCATTTTTCTTGTTTGCCTTATATTTTAAAATCCCTCCAGCTGTAATCATTTAATATTAATAACAAGTATTAGTAAACAATATATTCCAATTATTGATATTTACTAAACATATTTCATGGACCATTTAGAAGAAGTATGACAAAAGAATACACTTTAACCTGACACTTATAAAACATTATAGTCTAATAAGTTAATTTTGTTGGAAAATATTTAGATTGCCAAAATTAGTATTTGTTTAAAATGAACAGATTGCCACTTACATGGAATACAATACTGTCTTCATCACTGATTTGAAATTTAAAATTTCCCAGTCACCAGAATGAATGCTTCACTTTTTACGAGATAAATTACTTATGACCAAAATTACATTTTTCATCTTTGTGCTAGAATCAGAACATTATTTTCACTACTAATTTTACCTTTTACTATCAGCAATAGACTAGTTTTGATAATCTGGAGATTACATCAGGTTAAGAAAAATATTGCATAAATTAGTTTTCAAAAAAGTTCTTCATCATTAGCCATAGGGTAATTCAATGTTTATTACTACTAATCAATAAATATTTTGTTTAATACTTAATCAGCTATTGGTATAGTAAAAAGCTTCTCCTGCATTGTATATACACACATTTATTTTTTCCAAGAGACTAATGCAAAACAGTACTAAATACCAGTACTAAATACCAAGTACCTTTATCAATTTTGATGATGACAGTACAGCTTTATATGGAACAGTAGGGGTTGTTAAAATAACAGAAGCATTATATTCTTGCTCCAGTCGCTGGTTGAAAACTTCCATGTGCAAAAGTCCAAGAAATCCTAGCCTGGGGGAGGAAAAGACAAACTCCAAAATGTTTATGTCCCATGGGCTTCATTTTTTTTTTTTTTAATGAACATATTGTTACTTTAAGGGAGGGATGGAATTAAGTCATTCAAACAATTCACAATATAATTAAATGCTAGCATAATTTTATTAAATAAGATTAAAATCTTCCATTGGGAATCTATTTTAAATCACTATAAAACTTACCCATAAAATGTCAATCCGCAACGTGAAACAGGCAGATAAAAATTGTTTTCGTTCACTTTACACTAATATAAACTTATTTTCAGTAAATGTTCCAGAACAATGCACCATTTTATACCTCCCTTACTTATAAAGATATTTTTTAAAAACCTCCCTTTCCTATAAAAATATTTTTAAAATACACCATTTACACCTCCCTTTCCTATAAAACACATGTGAATGAATCTTACCTCCAGCCAGCACCCAGAGCAAGGCTACTATCCCGATGAACGGTCACACTGGAATCATTTAAAGTCAGTTTTTCTATAGCACTCTTCAGATTGTTATATTCAGATTGGTCTAGAGGATACATTCCTGGGGATACAATGATTTCTAATTATCACGTGATAAGCTGCCTACAGACCTATCAAACCACATGTGTAGTGCTGCCAAGTTCCAAATTAGTCATTTACCTTTTAAATTACTTTCTTGTATTTTATTGACCAAAATATTGGTTTGCTAAAAATGAATGATTATTTGGTTTCAAAGTATCTTACAAGTCATTAGTCTGAAAGAATATACAACTAGATTTGCACTCCAAATAATGTTTTTAATGTTTTTGAAAAAATACAGGGAAAAGAAAAAAAAAAACATGGGAATTAGGCCTATTAAGAAAACACAGTGTAATTTCAAAAACAAAAGCACAAGACATTCCACAACCCAAATGAAACTTTATTATTGGATAAAAATAGAAGTAGACATGAAAACTATACTGCACTCTCAATTCTCTAAGGCAGATTATCTACTTAAAACCATAGTTAAATTTTGCTTTTTGGTATTTACTGACAAAAACTATGGGAATCACTACTGATTCTCTTTCATCTGACACCTCTGAAGTCCTCTAAAATCCACATGACTGACTTTGCCTAAAGGTAGGGGTAAACAAAGTTCCTAATTCCCAGTGAGAGAGACTGTAGGGCAAAAATTAAGGGCTAGATACTCAGCACAGAGTAACCTGATGACCTTCAATCAGGTCTTCCTTTTTCCAAAGTAAATGAAGTAAAAGATTCTGAAATTATACGTACTTGAGGCAACACCATTCTGTCATATCTACATTAGTACAGTACAATATTAAAGAAAGTCTATCGAAGATGAAGGCACTCAGTCAGTGTCTACTGATAATTACTAATAAGAACATCCTAATTAGAAAAATGTTTCAAATATAATAATGAACTCCCTAGAAAAATAAGAAAGAAATTTATATTACTGTATCCTATATATCACAGCTTCTTCCTCAAGAACTTATTTCTTAACACATCCTAAATGATCTCCCACATATAATTTCATCACACATATGTAATTATAAACTGATAAACAGCACAAAGTGAAACAATATGCTGGAATTAGTGGTTATTTAAAATAACCAGAATGTGTATTTTTTCCTTAACCACTGAGACAGACTTTTAGTTTAAAAATATCATGGCCCTCAACCTTTGAATTTGTGAACTCCTCACCTGCAAATACCATTGGTTTCGCTGATTTAAACCCAGGCAAGGGCTCCACTGGTTGCTTATGTAAACATAATGTATCTCCTATTTGCGCTTCAGTGACATCTTTCATCCCAGCAATCAGATAGCCCACCTGTCCTGCATATCTAAATAAAATTATTATATGCAAATATTTACTGCTTTAATGTTTCAAGCACATAACTCACAATTAGTTCTACCTTCCCAGGAAACTATCATACACTTTCCAAACTTTCCATACACTTTGAAAATAAGTGCTACATATCAATTATCAAACTCTGAAGCTTGTCAGCAAATGAACACACCAGGTCTTACAATCCATTAGACCTCTCTACTTATAAACCTAATGCCTTTTTCATGATTCTGCCAACCTTTGCAATTTAAACAGCAGTTTCTAAAATATATGTAAATACAGTGAAACTAGTAAGTACAAAAGCATTATAATAAGTACACTTGTGATGTCTTTTATTAATGAATTGTGTTGAAAATGTTCTTTAACAAAGGAAAAAAAGGTAAATTTTTATCCAAGAAAAATGTGAACTCTCAACAAACTGGACACTTGATATTCCTCCTGTAGCAAAAGAGCAAATCCTATGAGTTCAGTTTAAGCTTAGTTAAAAAAAAAAATCCCTACAAAACTAAAATGATTTACACTTAGAATGAGCTTTAAGAACCTTAAATGAAGATGTGATAATGTTTGGTATATATGGCAGAATATAAATAGATGTTAAAATATTTCAGTAAAATAAAAATAGACTTTCTGACTCAATATAGTGCTGTTTTTAGACATATAACACTAAACACTCAAATGTGATCTGACAGTCATCTGGTTCAATAATTTCTACAGACAAGGAACAGGACCTTACAAAGCTCAAATTATGTACCCAAGGTCATGCCTCATCAGTACCTGATACGGAGTAGGCACTCAATAAATAGTTCTTTTACAAGTCAATTCAGATGTTTTTCTAATGCACACTACCCTTGCTAATCCTACTCCCCAAGAATTTTAATCAAGGTTTTACCATGAATTCCACACTAAAGATTTATTAAGGTTTCTATTATACCACCTTTACATTGGAAAATCTAGTTATGAAGAAATGTCAAAAATGATACCTAATATGGATATGGGTGGAGGGAACTAACTCTTTCATTGTCTCATCAAATACATCGATATAGGATCCAATCTACCCTTGATCATAAATCTAGTTATAACTAGTCATTTAGAATAAAAAAAGTATCAACTGACGTTTCTATTGTCCTTCCCATGAGATTCCTTGACAGAGCATTTACTGTATAGTTGCATTAAATAGTTTTTTTTAAGTTACCAAATGAGGATCATTCTAAGCATACCAAGTTGAGAAAAATGCAGAAATAGAACCACATACAAATGCATTTTAATTTTACTAATGCAGATTACTTACAATTTATGAGTTGGCTGCTCATTAGGATTCAAGACTCCTACTTCATTAACTTCGTATGTCTTTTGAGTATGTGCAGATACAATTTTATCTCCTTTGGAAACCACTCCGTCAAATAATGCTACATTGGCTATCACACCTCTATACTGGTCAAAGGTGGAGTCAAATACCAAAGCTCTCAGAGGATTTTTGCGATGCACTTTAGGACTAGTAAATATAAGTAAAAAGTAAATATATATACACTAAATTAAAATCTTAATAAAATTCTTATTTTCAACTTAGATATTGTACTTGAGTTCTTGAGAAAGTTTGATACACAACAGCCTAAATAAAAAGACCTTTTTATAAAATATATTAGATTTAATAACCTCTAGTTTTAACAAATTATTTATGAATATATTTGTTCAGCTTAAAGCAAAGGAAAATAACTGCCAATGTACTGAGGTATATTTTATAATGATTGTCATGAAAAGACCTCTATCAATCATCTTTACTTTTTCTTTTACTTTACTGTACTTGCCTTCTATGTATTACTAAAAGCAAATAAATTTATTCTCGCTGCCTGCAAGAATATTTGCCACATCCATTAAGCTAAAATAACAGTTCAAGCTGACAGTCTTTGAACTATTAAACATGGACAGTTTTTGAACTATTAAATAGAGACAACTAGTACAAAAATCACCAAATACTCACGGGGGGATTCTTTCAATAATTGCCTGAAGAACACTCTCAACATTTGTTCCAAGTTTAGCAGAAATCTAAAAAGATACATGTGAAAAATATAAGCATTTAAAGTTAAGACTATACTTTTCTATCTTGATGACCTGTGACTTATGATCAGAAGGAAAAAAAAATTCCAATAGTTATCAATTTGAGAAATACACCAAAAGGAAAAGAACAAAGCAAACAGTATATTGACAAATACTTTTTCTATTATAGTTACGTAGTTCTACAGTTCTAGAATGGAATTACAAGAGAGTCCTAATTATGGTATTGAAAGAGGAATAGTTCGAAATCTGGGTAACAATCATGTCTTTGCATTGAATCCATGTATTTCACCAGTATCTATCTCTTTGAGCATAAATTTCATCATCTAAAAAATGAAGTGATTATTCATATTCTGCCTAAATCTCAAGGTTGTTGTGTGGATAAACAATGTATGTGGATGGCATAAAACCATAAGGCATCTTACTACTACTTTAGTGTTCTCACACCAGAAAAGCAAGCCAACACTCAAGCCACATGGTATGACTGACCTTTATCACTGGTAATAAATGGACTATCTCTGAAATCCTGACTTCAAACTTCTTACTCTTCACATTCACTCTAGACTAGGATTTCTCAGTTTCAGCCCTACTGACATTTTGGGCCAGATAATTCTTTGTTTTGGGAGGCTGTCCTGTGCATTACAGGATGTTCAGCAGCAACCAGGGCACCTCATTTACCCACAAGATGCTGGTAGCATCCCTCCCAAGATGTGAAAACCAAAAATATCTCCAAATATTTGCCCAGGGGCAAAACCACCCACCACTGACAACTACTGCTCTAGACTGTAGTACTTTCTTTACAATAGTCCTTAACTTGTAACTATTGAATATACTACTTGATGCTGTCCATCAGCTTCACCCTCCACTCTGTTTCTATCTTTTCCCAGATGGGACTCCAAGATCCATCATTTACATTCACTCTGGTTCAACCACTTTCTGTTCTCTTCTTATTAGAGGCAGCTGACAAAACCTCAACCTTGACTGCATCCAATTATGTGTTTTTTCTATGCCCATATACAGAACAGCTTAACATTACTGGAAAAAAGAAATCAAATAAATGGTCTGGTTCGTTTCTTGTATCTGACAACAAGCTATCTTGCCTATGGGCAGCTGTGCTTCTTATATACTTATCTCCAAATCAAGAAACATCATTTAATGCAATGCAGATTTTAAAATTAAGGTTCTTTATTAATTTTAAAGTATGAAATGGAGGTTTGTAGACAGTGCTCAGTTTAGCAATGAACTGTTATGTTTTATGTATATTGTTTCCTCCTGGATCATAATCTCCTTTTCATATGGATAGTTAATACTGAGCCATAGTAATTTCACATCTGGGCTACCATTAATAGCTGGATTCCCTGTATCTCTTCTTATACCTCTTTGATCCATTCTCTGTAAGGCTACCTGAATGACTGGTTAATTTGTTTCTCTTGCTTTAAAATCCTTCCATTGTCTTAGAATAATTTTCAAGCTCTTCAGCACAGCACGAGTCCCAGCATGACTTGATTCCTGCATACCCCTACAAAGCCTTCTCATCCAATCAACCTTTCTGATCAGTAAACATGCCAAATCTTTTCCTAATTTAAGTCCTTTACACATGCTCTTTTCTCTTCCTGGAATGTTTTTCTGAAAATTATTCATTCCTCCACGTTTCAGTTTATCAGAGACGCTTTTGCTAAGTTATTCCATGTCATAACGTCTCTCTAAGAAAAAAGACTTTTCACTGTTAATGATGGTATTTCACCTAGAATAATAACAATTTGTCGAATGAATTTCCTTGACAATCTCTATCCTAGTCAATAATTCCTATGCTTACTTCTTTGTTTACTTATTTATTGACTGTCTGCAGAAAGGAAGGGGTCTTGTCTGTCTTATTCACTGCCATACTCTTAGCTGGCATATACCAAATAAGAATCTGAATGAATTTTATTAAGATTAAAATCAGAATAGTTAATTGTATTTTAATATAACATAATCCAAAATATAAAACCATATATAACTTGCTCTTTTGAAAATTAAATTAGCTTGAAAGAAAAACATTACATTGCTGTGCTGACATACTTTACACTACCATGTAGTATAGCAGTTTGGCTGTGGCTGTTTAACAAGCAGATCATCATTTCAAAGGTAAATAAAAATTCAAATTTAAAATGGTAGCAACTTTGGTATAAATAAAATCTATTGTTTCCTAGCACTACAACTAGCTTTTTATAAAATAGGTTTTTGTCAGTTCCAAGAATGATACATACAAAAGCCCTGAAATTAGTTTGAACCTGCTCTTCAAAGACAGTATTTCCACTGGGCAAACTGACACACAAGAAATACTGCAGGGAGTTTCAGAAGGCCTGTGTTTTAGTCCTGGCACATTGGCTAACTAAACCTGTGATCTTAGGAAAGTGATAAAACCTTTGAGCCTCAGTTCCTTTAACTACAGCATCGCAATAATTTCTGTATGTCCTAACAATATAAAAAGGGCTTTTGATAAGGATCAAAGGAAATAATAGTAAAAGAAGTTTGTAAAACTATAAAAAACAGCATATAATGCCAGGTTATCAAATACCATGAAATTTCACTTAGCCCAATTACTTGAGACTTTTTTCAAAGTATAATCTTTTTAGGAACGTATTTTACCTTAATACATTCATCACTTGGAATATCAAACACTTTCTCAATTTGGTTTTCAACCCTTTCAGGATCAGCATTCTTCAGATCTATCTTTAAAAAAAAAAATCCATTATGTGAAGTATAATAAAGATAAGATGTATTATGTATTAACAGTATTCGGAGGTAATTAAAAGCTTACCCACTTTAACCTAACTGACCCCTCTACAATATTTTTTCAAAAGCAGTAAAATAATCTATATATTAGCAGTATAATTTAATAACCATGATTGAAAAAGAGAAGTTAAGTAGCAGAGCTTGCAAAAAAAACTTAAGCAGTTAGCTACCCAGGGCAGCAGAAGAGATCAGTAGTAATTTATCAATTAAGCAGCATGTGAACTGATTTTAAAGGTTAAGTTAAATACAACATTAAGTCTGACAACAAGCTGTCTTACCTATGGCCTTCTTTTAAACTTAACTCCATTATCAAGAAATATAATTAAAGCAATGCAGATTTTAAAATTAAGATTCTAAATTAATTTTAAAATATGAAATGGAAGTTTATAGACAGAGCTCAGTTTAGCACTAAATTGTCATGCTTCATGTGTTGTATTGTTTCTTCCTAGATTATAAACTTCTCTTCTTTTCCTATGTATGGTTTAATCTGACAAACATGTTTCATCTGCCCTGCTTCCCTTCCCTACAGAAATGGCCCTCAGCTACCACAAGTTAATTCAGGAGAACTACCTTCTCAATTCTGTGCAAGGGTGAGTTTCAGTTGCACTTCTGTTATATACAATTCAAAGAGATAAATCCCACCAATATATTTAATAAATAGCTGGTGATCCCTCATATAATGAATAGTACAACTGACATTTAAACATTAATTGTACTTTTAGAAAGTGAAATAGCAACACTGTTGTCTCATTGTAATTACCTTATTTATAACTGGAATTACCGATAGCTGTGCTTCGAAGGCAAGAAAGAAGTTTGCTACAGTTTGGGCTTGAATTCCCTGAAAATATCAAGATACAAGATACTGAGATGACCATTCTATTATATATCACAAAACTTGTAATTTAAGACCATTCTATACATCTTCATCAAGAGATTTTGCGTTATGCTAATAATAAAATTAAACAAAATGCCATGTAGCTACCCTTCATGCTTTTCTCTCCAACTTATGTCTTTGGGGTCAATATGAAAATCGCTGATGGTAAAGCAATAATCACATCAAGTAGAGTGAGCCAACAGACAGTCTACTAAGCTTGAGATAGGAAGCCTTTAAGGAAAGGTACACGGCAGCTCAACTATGATACCTATTTTTCCATGCATCTGAATCATCCTCTGTAATAATTCCTTTCAGTTCAGAAAGCATTTATTGGAGGGCCTTTTCTGTGCCAGAAACTACATCAGGCATTGGAGAAACAAAAGATGTAACATGGACTCTCAAGGACCTCAAAGCTTATTAGAGAACACAGTCATCAAGGTAGTTTATAAAGGCCAGTACTGCCTACATAAGGTAGAGATTGACTTTCCTTGATGGGATCAGGAAAGGCTTAACGGCTTAACACAACACGGTCACCACCACCACTAAAAAAAAGTTGGGTTTTGAATGAAGAGTTTGTGAGAAACATGTAACAAAAGTTTATATTCACAGCTCTTACATGGTCATCTGCTGAGTGTCTTTACGGCTTACACAACAAAAGAGCTTAGTAATGTTACTGATTTTTTAAAAACCTAATACTTCCAAATTATTGCCTTAAAATCACCTAAAATGATCTGAAAACTAATGATTTATTCTTAAGATCTGCTAAAAATGGATATAGAAACCTCAGATTAAGAACTGCTAAAGTTGGTGGGGTTTTTTTGGTAAGATGCATTGACAATATGATGTCACACTTCAAAAAAATACAACAATCTTTTGAACAATTCCAATTTAAAAACTAGTCAATTCCAGAGAATGCTTTATTGTAATAATATTTCAGATTAACAGGATGAAACCATATGATTTTCAGTAAGTAACAGATTAAATCTATTTTTCAAACACAAAAATTCTATTTCCAAAACACATTTTAAAGAAAAACTCTTGAAACAACCAAATAGTCATGTCATATCACATCATACAAAATGAAAAATACCTACCTCATTTGCATCAACCACAAGTAAAACACCCTGGCAAGCAGAAAGTGACCTGGATACTTCATAACTAAAATCAACATGGCCCTGAGAAACAAAAATATTGATACCTGTAAATGTGAGTTAATTTTTTAGGAAAGAGCATTATGGCAAATTTATTGACTTTACTTGATAAAAGCTGTTAAATATTCGTTTCTTTTTTGTAGCCTGCACTTTTGAAACAACTGACACTAACATAAGAACACTGAGAAAACAAAAAGCAAAGGCAGATGTTTAATACTCAGTTCAAAAATTAAACAAGGATCTGTTTGCACTACTGACACAATGTTGACTTTAACAATACATGCAAAATTAATATTAAACTTACCGGTGTATCAATGAGATTTAAAAGGTACTGCTTTCCTTCACAATTGTAAAAGAGAGATGCTGTCTGTGCTTTAACAGTGATTCCTCTTTCTCGTTCCACTTGCAATTTATCAAGAACCTGCTTATTATTCTTTGTTTTATCAATTGTCCCTATAAACAGAAACACTTATTGATATTTCTCTGGGCTTTAAAAAAAAAAGAGAATATTACTTATAAAATTAAAATTTAAGAGTAAAAGTAATTCCCAATAACTCGCAGCCATCAGTTAAGTATGTAACATAAATGAAATACCTGTAAGTTCTAGGAGCCTGTCAGCTAAAGTACTTTTGCCATGATCCACGTGTGCAACAATACTGAAATTTCTAATATTTTCAACAGGAAACCTAGACATGTCAAGTTTTTCCTAGAAAGGGGAAATACCACATTTAGGAGTATAAATTTGGCATACTATCAAACAAGTATACCAATTCAAAGAATATTCTTTTAATCGTTGAACAATATCATTTCTAGCATTTATATTGTTTATATTATTATTCTAAGAAAAAGACATGTATGGCTAAGTTCATATTACAAGGAACATCAGTTTAATAGCCAAAGGTAACTATACAGCTAAATCATAATCCCTTAACATTTCTACACAATTTTTAGGGCCAATCAGGAACTGAATTTATTATCGTGAATGGAGAACATGAGACACCTAGAACTTCTAAAGGCCTGAGAATACCTTGTCTAGTAAAACTTTTGAGGCAATGGAGCTACAGAAAAGCTGAAAGAAGATAAATTTTCTGCTCCTATCACACATTTAATCAGGAATCAGATTTATTTAAAAATCTGTGTCTCTAATGGAGCCTCAAAATTTTATTTTAAATACAATTTTGCTACTTTGCAGCTTCTCTGGTGAGAAAGAAAAAAAGATGACATCCAACAAAAGACTTATCACTTAAAACTTAAAAATATTTTAAAATGGAACTCCTGGTTTTTCGTGTACACATCTTCTTTAACGTTTTACTGAAACACATCACAAATTGCTAGAAATTGTTATCAAGCAAAATATACCAGTTTTTTGTACTCTATTTTTTTCCAATCAACTGCATATTTCACAATCAGCAAAACCATGAAATTACAATGAAATATAAAATTCACGTGAGCTTTGTTTTTTAATAGCCCCATAAAGACAGATAATAAAAGCACAATTATAGCTGAAAGTCTGCCGAAAAAAAACTAATTCTGATGTTTGCCCTGTAGATTTTCTTTCCCTTCAGTTCAAAAGGTATAGAGAATTGCACCATCTTTATACTTCGAATTGCAATATAAATCCATTTTTAAAAACACAGGCATATTAGGGCCAAAGTTGATTAATTTAAGGTTTTGTCTTTCTGCCTACTTATAGCTTGCCTTCAGTCACTTCACTTTTCTGACTAAAATGTATCCATTCACAATTATCAGAGTTGTTGAACCTCCCACCCTCTCCCACCAGAGTCAAAATTACACAGGTTTGCTCTGGCTGAGGTAGAATGAAATAAAACTACAAAGACAGACCGAGAACTTCCTGCATTCTAGGTATTAGTCTAAAAAAGTCCACTTCTCACATCACACAAATCTCACAAATTAGCCACTGGATGTTTGATCAGTTCTGCATTCAACAAATGAAGTAGGAGAGTGACAATGTAGTAACTTGCCCAGGCCACATAGCTACTTAATTTGCAGGAAAATGGACGTTATATTAATATTTACTAGCAACTTGCTTAGTAGGCTTTTTAGAATTAAATAGATGAATAAACGCAAAGCACTTCGACCAGTGGCTCGCGTAAACAAATCAACATTTGACATTGAAAATGAGAAAACCTACAAAGTTAGTGACTTGCCCAAGGTCACACTAGTGAGGAGTGGAGGGTCGGGAACCTGAGCAGTGCTCACACTCTCCGCTCTGCCTCCCTGTACCAAGTTGCAAGCAGGGTTCAGAGCTAGTCCCAGAAAGCCCTATACATGTCCAAGATCGCATGGGGCACTCCAACGTTTGAAAACTTGGCTAAATCAGATTCCAGGGGGCAGTCACCTTGAATTCTGCGGAGCTGTAGAGCCTGTCGGTAGCCCAGGACTCTGGAGCAGCCCCAAGGGTCGGCGCGGACCGGGGCCCCGGGGCCACCAGAAGCGCGGCCCCAGTGGCTCGTGGCGCGAGAGCGCGTGCGCACCCCCAGCCCCGACCCACGAGGGTCCACATGACCCGGGCGGCGGAGGCGTCAGGAGAGGGTACCCACACGCAACAGCAGCATAGCCCGTTTTTTTTCGAAGGTACCCCCCGTAGGATCCGGTGGACAGGACTCAAACAGATCCTGTGAAGCGAAGACAATGAACCCCGGGGAGCTCTGCCCAAGTACCAGATCCGGAAGCAACCCGAAGCGGCGGCGCAGCTTGCCGACGTCTGCACGCCGCACGCTGTCGTGACATCAGCGCGTCTTGGCGCCGGGTAGTGGAGTGGTCACGTGAGTGGAGGCTTTCGATTGACTCCCTAAAACGCAGGGTGTAGACAGAGTACATATTAGCTTATATTGTCTGCTGAGTGCTGTGCCAATTCCTTTGC
Organism: Homo sapiens; assembly: GCF_000001405.40. Classification (NCBI taxonomy): domain Eukaryota; kingdom Metazoa; phylum Chordata; class Mammalia; order Primates; family Hominidae; genus Homo; species Homo sapiens. Next base: position 44,678,262 of record NC_000004.12, on the reverse strand, counting down.
ATTGTCTCTTTCTTACTACTGCCCTGTGGTGTGTGTACTGTCAGTTCCCCCAAACTACCTCTGGAAATCCGGACCGAGTGACTTGCCCAGGAGCTCACAGGTGGGGAGCTGTGGAGCCTGGAGTGCCGCCCAGGCAGTCTGATTCCCGAACCAGGAGCCGAGGTCTTAGTCCAGGGACTTAAAGATGCTATTATTAGCACAACGTTGAGACTTAGCCTTCTACCTAATGGCAAAATAATAATGGCACTTTTAAAATCTGGAGGTCGAAATGTATTCCCCATGTTGTCAGTGACAGAGCTAATCTTGAAGTGCATCTGAAAGGAAACGGGCCATAACATTGATTGCAATACTGAATCCAGGAAGGTTTTGGCAAGAAGTAAAGGTGGGAAAAAGTTCCATGCTGGACCCCCAATGTTTCCATCGTCATCAAGTTACCACTTCATGGAATGAGCTCTGACGAAGTAAGAATGGGGGATAAAACAGGTGATAGGAGGATTGCATCCAGTGTTTGTCTCCCACTATTTCTCTTGCGCTTTTCTGGAATATCCAGAATTTGGTGCGAAGGAGGGAGATGACAGCTGTGTTCAGTTCATCATTGTGACTGAAGACAGAATCATTCGTATTGTTTCCAGAGCCTTTGAAAGTTTCTTCATTTGGAGGATTTCTTAGGATCAAGAATTCTGTACCAGACTCAGTTCTTTCTTGGATTTTTTTTTCCCCCCTGAGATGGTGTCTCGCTCTGTCGCCCAGGCTGGAGTACAGTAGCGCTATCTCGGCTCACTGCAACCTCCGCCTCCTGGGCTCAAGCGATTCTCCTGCCTCAGTCTCCTGAGTAGCTGGGATTACAGGCGCGCGCCAGCAATCATGGCTAATTTTTGTATTTTTAGTAGAGACGGGGTTTCACCATGTTGGTCACGCTGATCTCGAACTCCTGACCTCGTGATCTGCCCACCTCGGCCTCCCAAAGTGTTGCGATTACAGGCGTGAGCCACCGCGCCTGGCCCTTTCTTGGAACTTTTATGAATTAAAACAGTACTTGATAGACGACTAATTCTGTCACACTTGTAAGAGAATGAATTTAACAACTATCTTGAAGTAAACACAATAATTTATATTCAATGTTGCCCAGACTTCCATAATTTGCACAATTACCCTCATTAATTTTCACCATATCCTGTCAAAGATAAAGGCAGACACCAGTTAAAGTGGTGAAGACAGATTTTTATTATAGTGATATACTAATGCAATCGGGAATAAGATCCAGAATGAACTAAACTACAATTTGTCCAGAGGCGACTGTATTTTAAAAGGAGAATGCGGGAGTAGGGAAAGAGAACAACTGGGCTTGATCAAAGTCAGGGAAACGGAAATTTACAAAAAACAATGGCGGAAGAATGGTCCATTTGAAATCCATCTGGGTTGTAAACTGTTGCTTATGGAAATAAGGCTCCTACCCTTCCCGCAGACACTAGGAAATGAGTGCTACTTTCACATGTTGGCTGGAACAAATAAATTATTTTGTCAGTCTTGAGCTTTCTCAGACAGAAATTTAAGGGGGCTTCATCTTAGAGATGCAGCCTTGAGCTGTTATAAACTATATGAGTTTGTTCAAGTCTTTTAATGTGTGGGCAAACCGGTAGGGGAAGGATGTGGATGAAATCATTTGTGCTGAGGGTCTGTAGTTTTTATAGGCAAGTTTGAGGCTTTGCTGATAAGAGGGCTTAGAAGAGTCAGGCTAGAGTTTGGTCAAGAATCTTTGTCAATCCTCATACCGATATTATGTACTTTATATTTTTCTTTAACTTACCTTTATATGTAAATGAATTCTTTTTAAAAGAAAACGTAGATACCATTAATGGAGAAAGCATGATGAGCTGTCATAAGAGTAACAGTAAATATAACTGTAGTGAATAAAAAATGTGATTCAATTGTAGGTTTGGTCTGTCTGGATTACAAAAGGGAGATTAGCAGATATTAGAAAAGAATTTAAAAATATTAGCCTCAAACTGAGATTTTTCTCTTTGACCTAGCAAGAAGCATTTAAATAGGGTTGAAAGAAAAACTTTATCTGAATAACACAGTATCCTTGATACCATGTCTGTATCTATCTTGGTGCCTCCACAGGAATTTGTCCCACACTTTAGAAAACTGCAGTATCTTATAAGGCTGACATTATGTTTCCCAGCCTACAAATGGAAAAACATATTTGTTAGAAAAATACTGAGCTCCACTGTGTCAGGTTATATACTAGCTGTGGAAACTCAAACAAATTAAGCAAAATGTCTAAAATTACATGATAGATAAATTACATGATAGATAAATGCAAAAAAAAATTTGAATCCAAATTTTTGGAAACTAAAGCTCATCTCTTGCAATATCTTTGCACAAGTTTCTTTATTATTCAACTTGAGAAGAAGCAGGAGGTATAGTGACTGAACTTCAAAGAGGAGGTATCTTTCATGTGCTTCGAAGGATAGGCAGTTTTTTGTTTTTATCCAAGGAAATAAATGGAACTTAAGCAGAGGAATAATCAACAGCATAACACATTTTCTCAGTTCCCAGTACTATTCTACATACTTTGTATCAATTCATTCGATCTTCACAGAGCCCTCTATTGCTGGCACTCTTATTATCTCTGTTTCATAGATTTCCAAGAAAAATGTGGCCAACGTTTTTTAAATAACTGTCTAGAGTCACAGTTAGTGATGAACTAGGGCTGTGAGTCCACACAGTCCAGCTGTAGAGCCTGCACCCTTAACCACTCCAGTAAACTCGGCTCAGCTGAGCAAGGATACAAATGCGGAAAAACACACAATAAATTGGGTTAATAGTCAGTAGAGAACAGGGCCAACATTCAGGACAGTAGCATTTTATTTGAGGCGAGGACTTCTGAAGAGCTTAAATAATTTACAAACTCATAAATCAAGACTCAGTTTTTCTGTAAAAATAAATATATAATATGGAGATTGCACTCATATAGTACATTAATCCACAACTATTGTATGGTTTCTATATTTGTAAATATACCGAAAGGAATATGAGTTTGCTAGGGCTTTCATAACAAAATACCACAGACTGACTTGGTGGCTTAAACAATAGATATTTATTTTCTCACAATTCTGGAGGCTAAGAGTTTGAGATCAATGTATCAGCACAGCTGGTTTCTTCTGAGACCTCTCTGTTTGGCTTGCAGATCAGTACCTTCTGCGTTCTTACAGGGTCTTCTCTCTATACATGTCTGTGTCCTAATTTTCTTATCAAGACTCTAGTCATATTTGATTTGGGCCAATCCTAATAATTTTAAATTAATTATTTCATTAAAGACCCTATCTCTAAATACAGTCTCATTCTGAGATATTGGGGGTTTGAACATCAACATATAAACATGGAAGTGTTGACACAATTCAGCCCATAACAAAAGAGTAATAAAAACAATGTATAAATAACTATCACCTCTAAATTCTGTTTCAAAGTTATTGATATTGTGGAGCATTTCTAGCACTAAAAATACCATTAATAAATGATTAAAGTAGTATCACATTAGCCATTTAAAGCGCTTGCACAATTTTAGAGCATAATCACACAATATTAACAAAGGTTCTCTAGTATTGCTGCTAGGCTGCTAAAATGGTGCCACCATGTGTCTACAGTATAAAATACATCTTTCAATTCACTTTTGAGGCCCATTTTTAAATTATTCTAAGTTTTTTAGACTTTTATATTTTTTCAAATTTTGAGCATAAAAATTTGATCTTTAGAAATATTTTCATATCACAAAATAGAAAGTGTATAGGGTAGAGGAGGAATCATAGAAAGAAGAGTTTGTATCACTTTGTGAAGGGCTTTGAACAGGGACGTACTAGTTAGCATTTCACCATTAATCTATGCAGAAACCATCGTAAGGAAGGAAATAACAGAATTTTTTGCTCTAGGGGGCTTTCTCTAACGATGTGTAAAATGAAAAGAAATCAAATGAGGTGATGAGAATGAAAGGGAAAGAGAGTTTTTTATTTTAATAATCTAGGTAAGACAGGCCGGGCGCGGTGGCTCACGCCTGTAATCCCAGCACTTTGGAAGGCCGAGGCGGGTGGATCACGAGGTCAGGAGATCGAGACCATCGTGGCTAACACGGTGAAACCTCGTCTCTACTAAAAACACTAAAAATTAGCCAGGCATCGTGGCGGGCGCTGTAGTCCCAGCTACTCGGGAGGCTGAGGCAGGAGAATGACGTGAACTCAGGAGGCGGAGCTTGCAGTGAGCTGAGATTGCGCCACTGCACTCCAGCCTGGGCAACACAGCTAGACTCCGTCTCAAAAAGTAATAATAATAATAATAATCTAGGTAAGACACAGTAGAGTCCTGGGTAAATCAGTGGCAGAGAATGAAGAGATGATTAGTGGCATTTTGGAGACAAATTTAACAAAATTAATTTGATGTAGAGAGAGAGAGAAGGCCAGGATAACTCCAAATTTCATCTTAAGAATGCAACCTTGAGCTGTTAGAAACTATATTAGTGTTTGTTCAAGTCTTTTGATATGTGTGTATGGGTGGGAGGGGGGAGGATGTGGATGAAATCAGTTGTGCTGAGAGTCTGTAGTTTTTATAGCCCAAGGTGGAGACTTTGCCAGTAAATGGGCTCAGAGGAACCTGGCTATAGTTAGTCAGGAAAAGTATTTTGTCAATCTTCCTATTTCTCTTATATACTTAATATTTTTTAAATTAACTTACCTTTTATATGTAAATGAATTTTTAAATAGAAAACTTTATATGATTAATATAAATCGAAACAACATAATAACCTGTTAAAAACTAACAGTATCAGCATAATGAATAAAAAATGTGATTCATTTAGAGTTGGATTTCTTTTGATTAAAAAGGGAGATTAGTCAGCATTAGAGAAGAACTGTAAAATATTAGCACCAAAATAAGGTGTTGGCTGGAACAAACAGATTCTTTTGGCAACTTTGAGCTTTCCCAGACTGAAACTCAAGGAGGCTGGAGTCATCATCTGTTTTTCTGGAGAGCATTGACTAATATAGATGCTTAGAGATAATTTTTGAAAAATATAAGTACAAATCCATATAGGCTATTCTGTTTCCTCAAGGCATGTTTCACAAAAGGGTACCCTCAAGTGTATTGAGTTCTTCTCTCTTCTTTTCTCAACAACTTTATTTCCTACCCTCTGATTTCAAAAAGTTATCTAGTACCACAGTTTTTTAAAAAATTGTTTACAGATGGTTTCCAGAACTCTAGCCCTGAATTATTTTCCCTAAACTCGATTTATAACTACCTATGAGATACTGAATATTAAAAACATCCTAACAGCAATGTTATTCTCCAGTCTACCTAAGCTAGATATACTGGTTACAATGGCTTCTCACATTACTTATTCAAGGTGCGTCACACACTGTCTGACATGCTAGGTATATATACTGGCTATTCACACACACATACACACAAAATGTATATATATATCTATAATGTGTGTATATATAAATATTTACACACACACACATATATAGCCATGCATGGCATGTACATGCATATGGAGACAGAGAGAAAGAGATCACATTTGAGATTTTAAATAATTGACTCACACAACTGTGGAAGCTAGCAAGCAAGAAATTTGTAGACCAGGATGGCAGCCTAAAAATTCAGATAAATGTTGATGTTGCACTCTTGAGTCCAAAATCTGCAGGGAATTCAAAATCTACAGGAAAACTCAGGCAGGATTCCTTCTTTAGTTTATCTTTTACCTCTCTTGTTTTACTATAAACAACAAGGAGAAACCAGGCTGCACCTTCAATACTTTGCTTAAAATTCTCCTCAGTTAAATATCCAAGTTCATCATGAATAAGTTCTTTCCACTCTATAGAACACAATTCAACCAAATTCTCTGTCACCTTTTCTTCAGTTTCCATTAACATGGATCACCTATTCTCCAGTTTCCAATAAAATGATCCTCATTTTTGTCTGATACCCCACCACCTTTAACATTTATATTTCTAGCAACATTGTTCATGATGATGTATGATCTAAGATGATAGAAGCTTTCTCTCCAGGTTTACTCTTTATGAGCTCTCCACAGACTCTCCTTTAACATCCATATTTTTTACCAACAATCTCTTCAAGGCAATTTTGGCTTTTTCTGCCATTTTCCTCAAAACTCAGTCTTTGCGCATTTCTTAAGTTCAAAACAACTTATACTTTTTAAGATATTTCTTGCTGAAGCAGCCCACTTCCTTTTGCCATCTGTATTAGTTTTCTAGGGCTTCCGCAAACTGAGTGGCTTAAACAACGGAAATCATTATTTTATAGTTCTGGAGGCTAGAGTTCAATTGGCAAGGTTGGTTTTTACTGGGAACCAGGATAGAGAATCTGTTCCATTGCCCCCTACTAGCTTCTGCTTGTTTCCTGGCAGTCTATGGCATTTCTTGGCTTGTAGCTGCATCAATCCAGTCTCTGCCATATGGTGTTCTCCCTGTGTCTCTTAACATAGTCTTCTGTCTGTGCATGTCTCTGTGTTCAAAATTTCCGTTTTTATAAAATACCAGTAATATTAAATTAGGGCCCAACCTAATGACCTCATTTTAACATGGTTATCCCTGTAAAGACCCCATTTTCATATAAGGTCACATTCTGAGGTACTGGGCATTAAGACTTCAACATATCTTTCTGGTGGGGACAGAGTTTAACCACAACAGCATCTAAGAGTTGACCTCCCGGCAGGCCCAAGGTCAGTAGCCTTCTGTCTAAATCTTGATCCTGGTTAAGAATCTGGACGAATCTCCTCTTTCAGAGCCTCAAAAATGAATCAGCCTGAGACTTTGTATCATAATTTATGGTAATTTGTAAAAATTACCTTAAAATTAGCCTTAAATCCAAAGACTTTTAATGATAATTACTTTTAAAGTATTTATGTTCAAGCAAAAACATTACCAACCCAAATACTCTGAATAGATACTTATTGGTAGTTCTTAAATGGTCATAGCAATATTTCTTTTCTGAATGCTGTCCCCAGAAACTCCATTGTTTTAGTTTTCTATTGCTTTGTAACTAATTGCCACAAATGCAGCACCTCAAACAATACAGATTTATTAGTTCACAGTTATGTAGGGCATAAGTACAGCATGGTTCATTTGGATTCTCTGCTTAGTATTTCACAAGGCTGAAATCTGGGATCTAGTCAGGCTGGACTTTTACGTGGAACCTCTAGGGTAGTATCTACTTCTGAGTTCATTCAGGCTGCTGGCAGAATTCAATTCCGTGTAGCACTGAGATACACATTTCCTAGCTGGCTGTCATCAGGGGGCAGCTCTCATCTCCTAGCGCTACTCACATTCTTTGGCACGTGGCCCTCTCCATCTTAAAGCTAGCCATGGTACATCAAATCCCCACTGAGCTTCAAATATCTCACTTCTTCTGCCTTCAGCCACCAGCCAGAGAAAATTTTCTGTTTTAAAAAGATTCATGTGGTTAGATTAAGGCACTCAGATCATCTCCCTATTTTAAAGTCAACTAACAAGTGGCCTTAATTATATGCCTTTTGCTAAGGTGACACCCAGCAACAACCACCAGACATATGGACTCAGCAAGACTTCACATGATTCCAGCATTTAGTTTCTGAGCTACCACAGATTTTGCCAAGCAGAGCAGGGAAGAGCTCTCCCCATCAGCACAGCCCAAATTGCAGATTTCTGAAAAAGATAAATGTCTCCTTGTTTAAATTCAGTAAATTTTGATGTGTTTTTGTGTGTGTGTGTGTAGCAATGACTATCTGTAACAACTTATGTACATATATTTATTTTATTCTGAGAAATTTGCGTTCATTGATTAATGTATTAGTCCATTTTCATACTGTTATAAAGAACTGCTGAGATTGGGTAATTTATAAAGGAAAGAAATTTAATTGACTCACAGTTCAGCATGGCTGAGGAGACCTCAGACAACTTACAGTTATGGAAGAAGGCAAAGGGAAAGCAAGGCACCTTCTTCACAAGGCGTCAAGAAGGAGAAGTACTGAGTGAAAGAGTGAAAAGGGAAGAGCCCCTTATAAAACCATAAGATCTCGTGAGAACTCACTCACTCTCAAGAGAATGGCACGGGGGAAACTGCCTCCATGATTCAATCACCTCCACCTGGTCTCTCCCTTTACAGATGGGGATTATGGTGATTATACCTCAAGATAAGATTTGGCTGGGGACAGAATATCATTTATTAATCATTCAATAAATATTAGCTGGATGTTTACTACATGTCAGACACTATATTAAGCCATGGGAATGCAAAAATGAAATAGGTATGGTTGTAGTACTGAGAGAATTTATGATAAATTTAAAAAGCCATTTTATAAAAGATAATCATATTACAATGTTATAATTTTTATGATAGAATTTTCAATAAAGTATTATAAAGGAACAGAGAAGAGGCCTCTTCTACAGCCAGATAGTGGTGGTATCAGGAAAGTCTTTGCATGGTGGGTGACAATAATACTTAGTTATACACATTAATAAAGAACTTGCTATGTGCCAGGTGCTCTTCTAAGCACTTTGTAAATATCTCAATTAATCCTCAAAACAACATTATAAATAAGTATTATTGCCCCTGTTTTACAGATAGGGCAATTGAGCTTGGGCCGGTTGAATAACTTGACTGAGTTCATGCAGGTCGTATGTAGTGAAGGGGCATTTAAACACCACTCTGGCAGATTTGAAAACTATTCCCTTGACCACAGAGTTATGTCCCTAACTTGGGGGCAAAGGATAAGTCAGATTCAACCAGGCTGAGATGAAAGTAAGGTGTGACGTTCTAGATGGAAGATCCTACGTGAGCAGAGGCATGATATATGCAGGAAACAGCCAGCACTTTTAGGTTGCAGGAATTTAGAGTTTGGCAAGAAGTGAAGTTGAAAAAGAAATTAGGAACCAGACCAGGGAACGAGGAGCTTGGATTTCATGTTCCTGGTAATTGTAGCCACTGCAAGGTTAGAAAGATTTTACACAGAGGAGTAGCGTAGCAATTTTGTGTCTCATTTAGATCATTTTCACAGCTGCTTGGAGGCAGGGAATAAATTAGTTTCAAGAGATAAATGATGGCAACCTACATGGGGACAGTGATACTGTGTCTGCAGAAGAAATGAATTTGACTGGATGGTAAATTTATCCTGCCTTAATATAGAATATGAAAAAAGCAATTGCATATTACAAACCCAGAGTAAAGAAAATTTTTGCATTTCACACTTGAAATGTATCATCTGATTCCTGGTTTCCATTATGCCTCCATTATCATCTATTAGTTAAAAAAATTAAGCAGGGCAGGGGAGAGGGAATATTTTGTTTAGTTTTGCACTGTGGAGACTTGTGTCATTCTTGTCAGATGAAGACCAATTCAACTACTTTCTAAGCTTGTTGTTATATTATTCTAAAACAAAAATCTCAAAGCAAAGTTTATTGTTCTCCAATTCTTTAGTGAATCTTACTGATTCAGGAAGTTAGTCATAACTGAAAATGACTTGTCTCTGGCATCCTTCCTTTTGCTCTTTGGCATGTACAGAAACTTGTTTGATGCCTTAGCTTAAAGTCTTTAACCTGGAGAAATGATATGCTACTCATGAACCAAAGTATATCACACAGGAAAGGCTTGGCTATTTTTCCACCCGTCAGGTAACTTTCATAAACCCCAAGGCAATGCCCAGGCAATGGCCGTGGCCTTTGTACTGTCATATATTTGGGAACACACATATTCACTCATACATCTTTCAAAGGTGTGTCTTCTTCAGAAGGCTATGTCGTGGAGCATCGGTATTTCCTTTAGGAGCACATCATTAAGAGTTTTGATAGATTTCACTATTAAAAATAAAATATTATAGTATTAATGTGTGATTTTTATCACAATAAAATACTAGGAAGGATAAGATTAGAAGTGTTTAAATTGAAAAATATCCTGACCCAACATATACAACAATAGCTAAATAAAAGGCATCAATTAAAGACACTTTGGAGGCTGTGGGGTGCAGTGGCTCATGCCTGTAATCCCAGTGATTTGGAAGGCAGAGGCAAGAGGATTCCTTGAGACCAGGAGTTCAGAGCTTCAGTGAGCTCTGATTGTGCCGCTGCACTCTAGCCTAGGTAATGGAGTGAGTCACTCTATCTCTTGGTGGAGGGAGATGCTTTGGTTGTTAGCTATGTTTTTACAGGAAGGTGTATTATAAACTTTAAGTTACAATTATACAGCTTAACCTGGTCTAAACAAGCAGTTCTATTGGCTTATATCACTGCCAAGTCTCTTTAAGCCTTGGATTTATCAGGATCACAGGTCTGTTTCTCTGATAGTCCATTGGTTCTGCCTTCCTCCATATTTGGTTTATTTTTATCTTACATCCTTAAAAAATGCGTGTCAGAAGCAATTGAAACACTGTTTTTTCTTATTGAGATACAGGGAGAGAGCATCAGTTTTCACAATTAGTGAAATAATCTTTTTTTGAGGTGTTGATCTGGATCTACTAGTAGCATTATGGAAGAAATTCTGATGTGAGCCCCGGGGCTCTTACACAATGTCGGCAGGGTGTTCCCCAAAAGGAAAACTGGGTGCTGACAGGAAATGAGAAGGTGGATTGGATATTGAGTAGCAATAAATGTCCATTACAAGGATTAAAGGATTCTTAAGCAACCCGGAAGAGTACATTTCTAAGTGCACAATGCCAAGGAAAATAAGGAAATTAATTTTCCTGTGACTTTGTCTTTTTAAAAAATTACTTTAGCATCTATTTCTTACCTGTGTTATTTTTTGCTTCTCTGACATTTTGTATTCTTATGTGAGTCATTATTTGCATAGTACTGATCAATTTTTTTCTCTAATAATTCCTCCTATTTTTGTCACTAGTTTTAGATTTATTAAACACCTCACAGTAGTATTCATTCATTTGAAAGTGAATTATCTTAGAAAAACATCATTTCCGTTTGTGCTTGTTTCTCTATGGCAGTTGTGGAATTTAATATTTATTTATGCTCACAAGGAAGGGAATTGTAACATGTTGAATAAAGAATATGAGAAATAAACACTTTTAATGTTGCACTAGGAACATGAAAAAAAAGAGAACTTTTCTTTTTAAGGCCTAAAAGGATTTATTCAAAAGAATCCCTGCAGAATCTAGTAGATTCGAGTTTGCAATAAAATGTCTTAGCAGAAATTTTTGGCACATTTAGGCAGTATACCAAGCAGCTTTGCAACACAGATAATGTCTCCCATCAGAAGCTTCTGCTGTGGCCATGTTAAAAATATAAATATTTTTAGGTACGCTTACAGTACTTGAAATATTTCAGTAGATATAGGGGGTGTCCTTATATACCATATAATCCAAAAATATAATTTTATTGCTTAGAAAACTGACATGCAGAGAAACTAAGTAAATTGCCATAGGTCACACAGCAGGAATAAGAGAGCTTACATTATAACAGAAATACAATGCTAGCCTACAAGTTTACAGAAGTTATTATTAGGGAAATCTCTGTGACAAAACTTGATGGCTATCTTAGTGGAAAAATTTGATGATGTTTTCCCCTTGGAAAAAGATGAGCTGGAGGCCCTCTGGTACCATGTTAAGTTTTGTTATATGGATGTAATGTCTCCCATTTTCCTTCTTTGTCATAATAGATGATTTAGAGAGAAATAGCATGAGCATAATACATCAAGAGAAGACATTAGAATGGCTACAGGTTTGTCTTGTCAGGTAAATTATCTGGTTTTCTTAGAAAATGAGAATTGCACCATGTTGACATGACATATGTGAGGATAAGATCTTATACATTTAATTAGTTTTTTAAAAGATTTTGGTGTCAAGACATATTTAAGTTTGTCAGTTTTACTGACGAGTTATTGTATTAGTTACCTACTACTACAGAACAGCACACATTTTTTATCTTATAGTTTCTTTGGGTCAGGAAACTGGGCATGGCTGAACTGGGTTCTCTGCTATACAACCTATCACAAGGCTGCAATTGAGATATCAGACAAAGATCCACAGTCTCATCTGAAGACACAACTGAGAAAGGATTCTTTTCCATGCTCATTCAGTGATTTGGGGCTGTATTCAGATCCTGTGGTCTGATGGACTGAGGACCTCATTTTCTACCCATCCGTGAGAAATGGGTTGGGTAGAAAGTGAGGCCTCCCTTATTTCCATGCCACCTGGGTCTCTCCCATATTTTAGCTTGCTTCATCAAAGTGTGCAAGCCACAAAGGCAATAGAGTCTGCTAACAATATAGAAGTCATAATATTTTTCATTTAATCACAGAAATGGCATCCCATTATCTTTTCCATATTTTATTGGTTAAAATCAAGTAATCAAGACTATGCTTAAGGGGAGGGGATCACACAAGAGCATGAATACCAGGATGCTGGGATTATTGGTGACCACATCGGAACCTGCCTATCACAGGTAGAAAACAACCTTTCCAATAAAGACTGTCAGTAAAACTATTAATATTATTCTGTGAAAACCACAGTGTGATATCCACAGCCTAAAATTCACAGCCTAAAAACATTCTCAGCAATAGATTTTTATATAGAAACACTGATGCAATGGAAAGAAAAAAAGATTTTAAGCTAGTTTTGCTATATTTAAAGCTACATAACATACTTAAGCAATAAAACAATGCCAGAAACTATTTATAACCCAAAACTTCTTATTTCCCCAGTCAAAAACAATCAAACATATGTAATAATAAAATTTGAAATACATCTTTTTAATATAAATATTTGTCTTTAATAGATAGTAAGCAATTAATTTGTCAGTTTTGTTAATTGCTGTGATTTATCACTGTTTTTCGTTCCACAATATGTATATGTATGTGTGTGTATACACACACACAAATAAAACAAGCTCATGTAAGTCATAAAGATCATTACATCATTTGATACATTTTACATCATTTGATAAATATATTTAAAATAGTCCTGAAAATCAATTCTGCCACATGAATTTGAGAGTATATGTCTTATTAGTCCCATTTTTGAATGTCTGCTGTGAACATAATACTGTATATTTCATTTATCATTTAATCAATTTATTAGTTAATCAGAATAGAAATAAATTTATATGTATATCTTATTTTTAATAAAATGCTAATAGTAAATGACTATGAAAAGAGAATCTATTGATAGGGGTTTTCCTATGTTATATGATATTTTCAAGTATATTACGCTGATAAAATATTAAGAAAGCCTCTTACACAGAGATTTCATTCTAAATAGATACACATTAATTTTGACAAGGTAAAAAAAGTGAGGTTAAAAAAAGTTGTCTTGTTTGAGTATTCATTAATTCAACAAACCTTTATTGAACATTTATTGCATCTCAGGAACTGTGCTAGGTGCTATGAAGAATGTAAGAATGCAGTTAAATGCTCAAGTGAATCACCAGAATAGAATATAAGCCTTCTATATAATTATAGTAGATGGTAAGTGATGGCAACAATGAGATATCTAAAAGAAAGATTTTCAACTTAAAGCAGTGATTGCCTATGATATAATTGGACTATATGATATGCTGTGTTTCACCCTAACTAGTGCTAACCAGCTGAAGCTTTTAAGCAATCATGAACATTGAACATTCACCAACTATGGCTGATAAATGAATGTGAATTTTGAGTGACTCCAGGATTTTGGACCATTACTGAACACAATTGAAGACTCTTTCTCTTTTTTTTATTTCAAAAAGTATTTTAATTGTTCAAAATAGCACAAAACGACATCGCGCTATGGTAATACTGAGTCACAGGGATTACTCTACAATAGTGAACGGTGTACTCTTCTCAGAAACGAGAAATCAAAGGGCGCGCGGGAGAAGAGATGGGGTAAAACAACAGGACCAGGTGAGTGGGCTGCAAGGTGAATAAACGTGATATTTTCCACAGCGAAATATACTATAATACAACAAACCAGAGGCCCTGGATGACACAGGCCGCTGCATCTCCAGGCAGAGTTTAGTGTTTGCGGGGTGGGGGGTGGGGGTTGGGCGCTGAAAAGATTAGCTGCTCAGTTCAAATCCTTCTGACTTGTTCGCAAGCCTTGCTCCTTGCCAGAAGCTCGGGGTGTGGGGCAGAAAACTCCGAGCAGATCCCACAACCCCGGATCCTGGCCTGGCCCGGGTTCCATGCTGCACATTCACGCAGCAGCTGCTGCTGCTGTTGGACTGCTCCGTTGCCCTAGCCTCCCTTGTGGGTGACATTACACAGTCGCCCTCCCAGGCTGCCTCCAAGGACGCCTGGTTCTCCCCCATTCTCCACTCTTTCCATGACAGTTTGGGGGAGGCGGCGCAGTGGCTGCGCAGAAAGCAGCAGCCCAGTGTGGGAGGTGGCACCAGTAGTGCTGAGGGACGGGGCGTGGAGACAGCTGTGAACCCAAGACAAGGAGCCCCCAGCCCACCCTCAAGCTCCCCCAGGCTCTACCCTTTAGGTGCGAAGTTATCGCCCATGGGGAATGAGCTGTCCTTCCTTTGTTCCAGCGGCCTGAGGACAGGCAAAGGCGCAGAGGGTAGGGGCAAGCAACAGGAAGTTGGGCTGGCAGGCAAACAGCAGGCCTCACGTGGCAGATTCCATACCTCTCCTGCCATGGCTGGCCCCAGCTTTTCCTCCAGAAAGATCCCTGCCAAGAATTAGCCAAGGAGAAAAAAGAAAAACACACAAACAACACACACACACACACACAAAGAAAAAAGATTACACATTCTGTACACAGCTAACAACAACAAAAAAGGGTCAAAACCTCACATGCTAAAATTACAATGGAAGTGTGAGCTTCACTCTTTCTTAACAGGTGAACAGTGGGGCTTGTTTTAACTAACCTTGTACGGACTTACGGACTGGTAGTCCTATCCAGAAAGCAAACATCAAGTATTCATTAGCATAACCATCACAAACTCTCACTACATCCCTATTACATAATACTGCCTAAAGTTTTTCCCTCAGAAAACTGCTCCTTCAATTCTTCTCTGGTGTGTGTTCTCTTGCCTGGCAAATCAATAAACTCTGTGCTCACTTTGATGATCACAATAGTGTTTCTGGTCTTTCCTTTATTAGTCACCATCTGAGTTTTGGCAATTAGAGCAACCGCATTAATCACTTAAAACCTAAAATCTATAGGAGATGAGTTCAAGAATATCCAAACCCACTTAAAGAAGAAAGAATAATGTATAGTAGTTCCCTCTTACACGTGGTTTCTCTTTCCAAGTGTCATAGTTCATTTGTGTCGCTATGAAGGAATAGCTGAGGTTGGGTAATTTATAAAGAAAATAGGTTTATTTGGCTCACCGTTCTGCATGCTGTGCAAGTAGCACAGCACCAGCATGTATGTCAGATGAGAGCTTCAGGCTGCTTTTGTTCATGGCAGAAGGCAAAAGGGAACTGGTGTGTACAGATCATATGGTGAGAGAGGAAGCAAGAGAGAGCGGGGAGGGAGGAGCCAGGCTGTTTTTCACAATCAGTTCTCACAGGAATTAATAGATCAAGAACTCACTCATTACTGTAAGGACAGCACCAAGCAGTTCATGAGAGATCCACCCCAGGACCCAAACACTTCCCAGTAGGCCCCACCTCCAACATTGGGATCACATTTCAAATGAGGTTTGAGGGGACAAATATCCAGACCATAGCAAGCATACAGTTTCAGTTACCTGTGGTCAACTGTGTGCCAAAAGCATTAAATGGAAAATTCCAGAAATAAACAATTCATAAGTTGTAAGTTGAGTGTCATTCTGAGTAGCATGATGAAGTCTTGCCCTGTCCTGCTCTGTCCTTCTGCTCCACTGTGCCCAGGACATGAATCATCCCTTTGTCCAAAGTATCCACACCATGTTTGCTCTTTGCCCATTAGTCACTTAAGTAGCCTTCTTGGTTATCAAATCAACAAAAAGAAGGGTGAGTACAGTACAATAAGATATTTTGAGAGAAAGAGAGAGAGACCACATTTACATAACTGCTATTACAGCATATTGTTATAATTGTTCTATTATTGTTAGTCTCTTACTGTACCTAATTTATACGTTAAACTTTATCATAGGTATGTATGTATAGGAAGAAACAGTATATATAGGGTTCCATACTATCTGTGGTTTCTTAGGCACCCACTAGGGGTCTTGTAATGTATCCCATAAGGATGAGGGGTACTGCTGTACAGAACAGCACAACAGTTGGTATAATGTAACAAATGGTTTCAATATAACTGAAGAAAAGCACATGTTCATCAGAAGGAAGATAAATCAGAAACAAACAAGAAAGAAAGAGCATTAAAGAGAAAAAGGCTGACAGTACCTCTGTAGGATTCAAAGTTGTGAGTGCCTTGAACCAAGAACTCTATCTGCTGGCTAGAGATGGTGACAGATAAAAACCAATTAACTTGGTAATTAAAGACCAAGTCCCCATTCTCTGATTCCACCTCACTAAGTAATATTCCTGTTAATCTTTTTTCTTCCACATGGATTTATCTGCAACACTTTTGGTTGAATGTACATTTTTATGTTAGGAATTTGAAGGTTTAAGCCCAATAATTCTCACCTCCCAATGAATGCTGTCTCCTCCCTGGTGGGAAATATATAAGATTAAAAAATTATGCTGCTTTTTATTGTTGTTAAGAAGATGACATAAAGAGACATGTGTACCCTTTACAAGGGATGACAAATGCATATTGCAACAAATGGAACCTGTAGTACTTGCAAACTTTGTGTAAGAAATTTTACTATTTACAAATCTTACCAACTTCTATCCAAAGAACAGAGATGCTCAGTCAATTTGCTGCCTCCCTATTTGAGTTTCTTATGGATCAATTTATAATCCACTTCACAACCAGTGTTTCTTCCCAAGACAGGCCCTTTTCTACGTTAGACCCCCTGTGTGGTTCTTGTAGGATGTTAATATTTCTAAAACCCTTGTTGTTTAACTGAGAGGGTTCACAAGATGTGCCCATGAGATATTTAGAAGCCCGGCTAAGTATACCCTTACATCTGTCTGAAGTCTTAACAAATGGTTTATAGTCACAACCTTCAGTTTATCTCTGAGCCCATACTTTAATGGTGGCATCCTAAGTTTTATCTTTGTGCTGAAGCCATTTTCTACTTTGGAGAATTTTTGCTAAGAGAGACTAAGGTTGGAAAACTATTCTGTTTTCAAATCAAGCAAGTCCTGGCCTTTTTAAATTTCCTCTAAATTCCACTTAGAATCTTAACAGTTCCTGCTTTAGTTTTTGTATTTTAGTCTCCTTATATGTTCTTATAAGTTGCTGCAAGAAACCGGTTGGCATTTTCTGTATTTTGTCTGGAAAGTTCCCTTGTCTATTTTTCACATTAACCTGGGCACCAGTATTGCCAAACTTTTTGGTACTACATAAAATAAGTCTCAATTTTTTCCATCCTACAAAAACATATTTTTCACTCTCCTTCAAATCCTAAGCCTGGGACCCTTTGAGCTTCCACTAATAGTCCCCTTGGGGTGTTTCCATCTTTTTCCTACTACTTGGTCTCAGATGCAATGTAACATTTTCAAAAACCAATTCCATTCACCAAATGTGTTCTAGTTATTTACTGCTATATCACAAACCACTCCAAAATGTAGTGACTCACAACAATCATTCCTTTTGTGTATTCATCTGCAGTTTGGGAAAGTCAGGCAGGAATGACTTGTTTCTGTGATGTCTGTGGCCTCAACTGGGATGACTCGACCAGCTGGGGACTTGAAAATCGGGCATCTCTTTCTCTCTCATCTTGTAGTCACAGTCTCTCCATGTGGTCTCCCCATACAGCCTCTTCAGCATCACAATCTCAGGTACTTATTACATGGCAGTCGGACTCAAAGAACAAGTGTTCCAAGGGACCCAGGCAAAAGCTAAATAGCTTCTTATCCAACCTTGAAAGTCTGAGAACGTTGCTTCCTCCACATTTTATTGGTCAAGCAAGTCACTAAGGCCAGCCTATATTCAAGGTGAAGGAAATTACATCCCTTTTTAAAAAGGAGTATCAAAGAATGTGTAGCTATCTTTAATCTGGCTCAAATTGCAAAGTGTTCAATTGCATAGGTGTATCATGATTTAATTAACTAGTCCTCTAATATTAGACATGCAGGTCACTGTAAGGTTCGTTTTTTTTTTTTTTTTTTTTTTTGAGACAGAGTCTTGCTCTGTCACCCAGGCTGGAGTGCAGTGGCGCAATCTCCGCTCACTGCAAGCTCTGCCTCCCAGGTTCACGCCATTCTCCTGTCTCAGCCTCCCGAGTAGCTGGGACTACAGGCAGCCGCCACCACTCCTGGCTAATTTTTTTGTATTTTTAGTAGAGACGGGGTTTCACCCTGTTAGCCAGGGTGGTCTCGATCTCCTGACCTTGTGATCCACCTGCCTTGGCCTCCCAAAGTGCTGGGATTATAGGCGTGAGCCACCGCGCCTGGCCAAGATTTTGTTTTAATGTATATTCCCTGATTAAGTCTTTAGGATAAATTATTTTAACTAGATTTGCTAAATCAAGGGAATATAGACGTTTTATAGTGCTTTTTAATGCTTAGTTACCAGCTAAAGATTTTGTAAAACAATATATACTAAAATAAACTTTATATGAGATTTTTGGTTGTCTTCAGCCTTACTAAAACTAGATATTTTTATTGTATCTTTGCTAACTTGATAGGTCAAACATTATGTCTTATTTTAGTTTAAAATTATTGATAGTGAGTTTAAATACTTCCCACAGATTTTTCCGTTATGAATTGGTCGTTTCTTTGCTCTTCTTTTTCTTTTTCAATTTATTTCCTTTGCCCTTTTATTTTGAATTAGGAGATAATATATTAAGTGTAGTCTCTATATCCCTGATCCAATTGTCAGCACTATCATTTATACTATCATTTGCATTATTTTACTAGATTTTTTACAGTGCTTCCTAAACTAATATGTCTTTGCTCTTATGTTTTGTTCGAATACATTGTCTTTACATTTCATCTTTTCCCTGACTCTGACTTTGAAGCCATGTGTGCATATTGTAAGGGCAAGCTTAAGTTAAAAAATATAATTTATTACTGCACTTAATGCACACTCACAAACCCCAGTACGCTGTGGCTCTGTAAAAGGGAAGGGATGAAAATGGGTGTTGCTTTCAACATCTTCATGTGATAGGTTCCCAGGCTTCCTCATGATCCAGCCAACTCTGCAGATAAACCCAGGCAAACAGGGAGAGTACAGTAACTGTGTAAACTAAATACTAGTAATGATTAATATATTTCATATTTTTATATAGAAATAAATATAAATAATAGTGATATGGTTTGGCTGAGTCCTCGCCCAAATCTCTTCTTGAATTGTAGCTCCCATAATTCCCACATTTTGTGGGAGGGACCCAGTGGGTGATGATTGAAGATAATCGAATCATGGAGGCAGTGTCTCCCACACTGTTCTCATGGTAGTGAATAAATCTCAAAAGATCCAATGGTTTTATAAGGGGTTCCCCTTTTGTTTGATTCTTATTCTCCTATCTGCTGCCATGTAAAATGTGCCTCTCACCTTCCACCATGATTTTTCTTTGTAAATTACCCAGTCTCGGGTATGCCTTTATCAGCAGCATGAAAACTACTAATACAAATAGTCTACCGTTGTTTTCTCTACTCCATTGGATCGTCTTGCACAGTTTCACATCAGAATTTTGGGTGAAAGTAGTGTGATACATGAAAAGCTTCATTCCCCCGGTATATATTGTCATTGGATGCTTTTCTCTGATCTTATAACAACAGGGTAGTGGGGAGACTATAGTTCCCAGGATGCGTAGAACCATTATTAGTGTCTTAGTCTATTCAGGCTTCAATAAAAAAGTGACATAGACAGGGTGGCTTGTCAACAGTGGAAATTTATTTTTCTTAGTTCTGGAGGCTGCAAGCTGAGATCAGGGTGCCAGCATAGTGGAGTTCTGATGTGGGCCCTCTTCCAGGTTGCAGACTGCTGAGTTCTTATTGTATCCTCACATATTGGAAGGAAACAGAGCTAGCTCTCTGGCCTCTTCTTATAAGATTACTAATCTCATTCATGAGGGCTCCATCCTCATGACTTAGTAACCTCCCAAAGACTCCACCTCCAGATACCATCACATTGGGTTAGATTTCAATGTATGGATTTGGTAGGGGGACAGGGGGAGGGCATAAACATTCAGTCTATAACACCTTTTAAAAATTGTATTTATTTATTTTTTATAAAGGTGGGGTCTCACTATATTGCCCAGGCTAGTCTCAAACTCCTGGGCTCAAGTGATCCTCCCACCTCAGCCTCCCAAAGTGCTAGGATTACAGGTATGAGCCACCACACCCTGCCAGTCCATAGCAATTACTGAGAACTTCCACCCCAATCCCACTAAGCCACAACTCCCTTTCACTATATATCCTGAGAGCGGTCCTCCCTTCTCCCAGGTGTGACTTTCCCCAAATATATATCAGACCATAAGACCAGGTGGCAGGATTATTTCTCTGGCACTTAGAAAAGCAGCATCGTTACAGTAGGGGGATGGCTGCTTTTCTATTTATTACAAAGCCTGAATCTCTGAGGGTCTCAGGAATCTTCTTCCTTTCATATGAATGAGCTGTCCTGGTGCACGACGGAAAGACTGCAATGGTCTAAAATCATTTTTTTCACTACATACTCATCGACCTTATCACAGAAATTTTACCCAGGCTCTGGCAGGAGGTTGACTCCAAGCATTAGTTTTTCACATTGTGGCATGTTTATCCTTTTATAAACCTTCATAGGTCATTTTGCTGGGATTGTGAGACAACTTTCTGGCCTAGTGACACTTTAAACCAGACAGTCAACTATATTTGTTTTAAAAGAAGATTCAATTGTATTTAAAACATTATTTTGTCATGCTATACCTTACTATCCCTAGCTCAGATTTGTGTATGAAACATAAATACTGCAAGGCAGAAAGTTTTCCTTTGAAGAGCTCCCCATATAAACGCGATGTTTGAGTAAATGTTCAAATTAAGTTAAAATTCTAAGCTGTAAGTCATTAGCTTCTCCTGTCGAAAGAAGGTAGAGATACTCTTTATGAAATAGAATTTGTATATTGACAATTACATTAAAAACATACTATATCTGGTCATTTTCCTCAAACTGTCTTAACAATTCTCACCTGCTGATCATAATAAAATTTTCACAATAAACTTGGAATACTTTGACAAAAATCTTAATAATGGTGCAATTGCATAGGCCATGAAATAGCAATGTTGTCATAAAAAAACATAACTATGACAGAACATTGTGAAGAATTTCACCTTTCTTTGCTAAAGGAAATATGGTCAACATAAACATACGTCCTTACTGAGCAGTACCTAAAGGATTTTAG
Organism: Homo sapiens; assembly: GCF_000001405.40. Taxonomy (NCBI): domain Eukaryota; kingdom Metazoa; phylum Chordata; class Mammalia; order Primates; family Hominidae; genus Homo; species Homo sapiens. The sequence continues at coordinate 44,656,909 of NC_000004.12, read as the reverse complement.
TCAAAATAGTAAGTAATACTTGGACAATAAAGTCAATTTTTACTTTTCTTATTAGAAATTTTATTTTTTTATTGTAAAATAAGACATGAATGCTAAGGAAACGTTGAATCTCTAATTGCAGTCTCTCTACAAGAGAGAGCATTTGTAAATATCCAGCCTCCTATCTTCTTTTGATAAAATAACTTTATTCAGATTTATGTAATATCAAAGTAGAAAAAAATATGTGTTGAATGATTGTAAATAATGAACACAAGAGTAAATTTGGATGCTTGCTGTTGATCCAGTTTCATCATCACCTAGAAACATAATCAAACAGGTCACATTTATTGACAATTTACTACTTGCCAGCTACCGTACTCAATTGTACCTTTTGCAAAATTCTATCTAATCCTCATATTTTATACTGAAGTTTATATACACACATAAAAGTTATATATTCATTAATTAATAATCTTGATATGTTGTGAAACATGGAAAAATAGAATTAAGTGGATGAGATAAAGATGAAATAAACAGCACCTAAGAGGTAAGAATAAGTTTTATTCCTTTTTACTGATGAAGGAACTAAGGATCTATGTGATTAGATAACTTGTGGAAGAATGTATATAATTCCTGGGAAAGACTTCCTATGAAAATTAATTACATCAATTTGCTAAATGGATGTAAATTTGACTTCTTGTTACATATTTAAATGACTATTATAATAATATGGTTACTAAGAATGTACAACTCAATTACTGCTCATATCAACTTTCATAATCTCAGGTGTAAATTATATTTTTGCTAACAAAACATATTGCCAAACTAAAAACTTAATAAGAATTCAGCAATAACTCTGCTAGAATGCAATGTTTTCTGTAAAGACAAAGTCTTGGCAGGAAAAAAAAAGTGGAAATTCAGAAGAAATAGCCAAATTAAAAGTCAAAGATAATTATGATAGTATTAATGAAGCAAAATCCTTTAATTTTCTTTTCTTTGCTTGCCATAGAACATATTGAGCTCTTTAAAATTCATTCATGCAGTGCAACAGAATTTTATGCCCATTTTCATGTGTCTCTGTAATATTCAGGGCTGTAGTTTCAGGCTTATAAAATAGAAGCAGCACGGTCTTTAAAAGGCAGATGATCAGGAACAAATCTTATGTGGTACTAACAAAAAGAGCATTTAAAGAATACTGATAAAAATGCATTAAAAATAACGGAAAACAATGCGTTCTATTCTTCTCTGAATTAATGCAGATGTGCATTAAATTGCAATACAGATTGCCAGAATAAAGTAATTACATGATAAACACTGGTAACAAACAACCTGTTTCTCTGTCAGCAGAGGTAGAAAATAATGACATATTTTTCTTTTGGTTTATTGGCAGCTCTATTCAGCTGAAAATATTTGGGGTAGAGGGATACAAGTAAACATCATTTAGTGTTCCTAAATAGGTACATTCATAACACCAGAGTTCTGGGCAGCCATACATAATATTTTTGAAGAAACAGAGTAATCAAAGAAAACTGAGCGAGTGAGAGAATTGATGCTTCAGACTAGGTTCTTTCACATACTAAGTGTGTGACTGCACAAATCAATTTGCTTCTCTGAGTCTCCATTTTTATATCAGAGGACTGCAGTGATGAATGTCACAATTTTGCATTATACTTAGATTAATAGACATCAACTAAAATATTGGATTCTGAGTATGCAGTATTTATAATAGTTATGATTCATCCATACATCAAGCCATGCATTATTTAACTTAACACAAATATGTATGCATAACTGTCAGGTATATGGCAAATTGTTGCCAATATATCTATTGAGCAACTCACAGCCTCTACAACATGTGACAGATCACCAGAGAGATGCTAAGAAACTATGGATGGAAATTCCTATTGATTCCTACTGCTAATTGCAGTTAGCAACCACAGAAGAATCTTTCCTGGTTTTGTCAAGTCATTAAAGGTGTATTTTTACAGTCTTTTTAAGTGAGCTTTGTTATCTCCTACCAATCTGCTACTGTAAAAGTGATATTTCACTTTTTAAAATAATTACAAAGAGAATTATAAGTGGGAGAAAATGGTGACTTCAACCAGGCTGATAGCAGTGGAAATGGAGGAAATTGGTTAGTGAGAGATATATTTAAGAGACAGAATTGATAGAATTTGTTGAAAAATTAGATGATTTCTGATTTGAGTGAGTGCTTTGTGATGTCATTTCTTGAAATAGAGAAGGCAGTGTTGGGTTGGGAAGGGTAAAGACTTTAAGAATCCAGTTTGGATTATGTTAAGTTTGAAATGTCTATCAAATAGTCTGATCCTGAGAAGAAAGGTCAAGGATGCATATGTAACTTTGGGAATTGTCTATATATAGATGATATATAAAGCCATGGGAATAGATAGGATCAACTTAAGAGAGAGTTCAGAGAGAGAACTGAGGGAGAGAAGGAAAGGATGAAGGTAAGGAGAGAGGGGGGAGAGAAAAGAAAACGAGAAGGAAGGAAAAGAAAGTGTCTATGAGTAGAACACACGGCTTTTTTACATCAGGTGAGAAACTTTATTCACCTAATGCAGCCTTTTTGGTCATTCAGGACACAGAAACAATTACTAAAACAGATGAGTTAAAATAATTGATGACACTGTGACTATATGTAATATCAATCTACACTCTGTTCTTCAACATGTGCTACAGAAATCAGATAATTCATTAATGGAAAAAACCCACTTAAATGTATATTTTATAGATACACAGTGTTATAGCCATAAGAATAGCTCTAAAATATTCTTGCCTATGCATTAATGGTCCATTAATGCACTTCTAAAGAGGCTGAAGTCATTTTGTCTTCAATGTTCCATGGTTTATAATTCACTTGAGGCTGAGATTAATTTTTTTATATGCCATTTTCAGTCCATATATTCCTGTAATTCATTTAATCGAGCCAGGTTTTTATGAAGGAAACTGTGTTGAAAAGTACAACATCACAAAATAAGTTTAAAATGTACCTAAATGGACTAAGATAAAAAGTATTATCTTTGGTAGGCTTTTTGTGGAATTTATACGTCAAAAAAAAGAATGTACCATAAATCTCTGCTGTTTTAGAAAAGGACCTATGTTCTCACGTAAAGAACTTTGAAAGAAGGAATAGAAAAGATGGTAATAATCAAAATTTGGCCACTATATAACAATGTGGCCTTTTCCTATGGCATTATGCACTAGAATGGAAAAACTGACAGAATTCTAGAAATCATCCTCAGTAATTGCCTTTTCCTTCTTCCTCCTATTCAATAGAAACTGAATCCTATTAAATCTTTCCCAAATATCTTCTGTATTTGTTCAGTACTCTACCTATTGGTTGGCCCTTCCTCAGTTCATATAACTCATCATTTTCCTGGACTGAATTTTCTTTTTACTGATACTACTGCTTCAGTATTGACCCCTGTAATTCATCTTTTCCTCAGTTGCCATGACTTTTGTACCAGTTCTCCTTCCACTGCTACCCTAGTTCAGGCCACTCACATCTCATGCCTGTGTTATTGTAACTTTCTCTTCCTAACCAGTCTCCCTCTTCCACTTGTGACTAATACGGAATCATCACATTTTATACTACCCTAGAATGACATTTCATTTCAATTATGTAACCTTTAGACTCTTTACCACGGCCTACAGGCTCCTTTTTGGTCCAGCCTCTGTTCATACCTCTGACCTCATCTCCTTCAACTTTTCTCTAATTCAAAAATCCCTAGCAACATTGGCTTTTTATTTCTAAACCAGAAACCACAAAACTCCTTGCCATCTGAAAGTCTTTGCTTGAAATGTTCTTCACGTAGTCTGTAAAGCGACTTCTTCATTATCATCCATCAGATCTCTATCCAAATGACCCTCTTAAGAAGCCTTCCCTGAGTATTCAAATCCTCTCCCCTTTGCACTCTCCATCTTAACAGTATATTCTATTGTATAATTCCTGAAATTATCTTGGATAATGTGAGTTCTGAACTCAGTCAGCTTTCAAACATTGGCTTTTTCACCTACTAGCTAATGACCTTGGGAAAATTATTCAATCTCCATTTATTTTTTGGTAAAATGGGATAATAATACTTCATCAGGTTGTTACAAAAATTAAATGACTTAAAGTTTGTAGAACAATGCCCAGTTATTCATTATTATTAGTTGTAGGTGTAGCAAAATCAGTACTAAGATGTAACTCTTTAAATGTTTAGTTTGCTTGTTTCTGAAACCCTGGCATCTACAACAGAGTGTGGAACTCAACAGTATGTCCTTGATAAAATGTGTGACCAATTGTTGCCTGACTAGTGATGTAAGAAGGGCAGCTGTGATTAAAGACATTCAAATTTCAAATGCTTTTAAACAATGTGGAAAAAAATTACTCCAGCATTCTGCTGTTGGCTCCAGTTGAAGATTCTTAAGTGCCAAATTATCTGCCTTTGGACAGAAAATTTCAGTTACTGAGATTTGGATACATGGGAAGTCTTAAGTCCTAGAAAAGAGAATCAGCATGAAGCAAACCACAGGGGACTTGACTTCCAACTGTGAGATTAATATTAGGGATGAGAACACCAGATCTAGATAGAATTGATAGTATTAGCTAGGTTACCTGGGTCAGAACCAGAAAGTAGGCTCCCAGCAGTGACCCAGTGATACAGAGAAGGGCCAATTCAGGGAGCTTCCTGAGGTGGGGATGGGCCTAACACCTTCCAGTGGTTAGGATTGGCTCGATAATGGTATAGAACCTGTCCATCAGGTAAGAAGCACTAGATCCCATTAGCATATCCATCTTGGCCTCTGCTGGAAAAGTAGGAAGCAGGAAAAAAGTCAGAGGCAGACTGTAATTAGTCTTCTTAAATATTGCTCATATAAATAGAATAGCTCTGATTTAGATAAAATTGACCACAACTCATTTTCATTTTGGTGCTGAGATCTTCTACATAAGATCATGTGCCATATTTTGATTTTTACTGCATATTATTAGGAAATCCATGAAATGGAAGGGACATTGAGGCCTCTTACTTTTTAACTGCTTGCCTCAAATAAATGATCTTACCTCAGAGTTTAATAGATATGTACAAAAGGGAATTGTATTTATCTTTCCACAATTTCCATATTATCAAATTGTAAGTCTGTAACACTGTTCACTGTGTTTGTAAACCATAATAAGTGTTATAAGATACTGTATTTGGCTTTTGGCAGGCTTTTTTATTTTTGACTGTAGCATCTGCTCAGGGTGTCAGAATACAAATTTAGAAAGGTATATATATAGCCAGCATGTCATCTTTTCACCAATGGATTTGCTTAAAATTTCTCACACAAAGCTACATTTACTGGAGGATCTTTCTATAAAAAATAAACAGAGGTATGTGTCTGATCCTTCTAAAAGACTTGGCATTTAAACAAAATACAAAGCTCGGTTATGTAAGGACTGTAGTACCAATAGTCATGTTACATAAAGCTTTGCATGTTATGAAAATTTAGTGTATTCTCAATAAATTACTCTCTATGCTTTATAATACCATATTTTCATGTGTTGAGAAAGTTATGCTATTACATTGTAATTTCTTTAAATTATAAATTGTTAAAAGATTTATCACTAAGTCCTGATTTCAGTTTACATAATTCATAGCTACTTTTATACACATTACTAATGAAAAATCTTGATTTATTGCATCAGATGTATGAATCGCTGCATCTAATTTTAGAGAAGCTTTTTGTGTTTTCATTGAACTGAACAAATTTGATATATTTGACAACTGTTACTTGAATATTTCTGATTAATGATGCCTTTAGAGTTGAGGCTGTTTATGCAATTTCATTTGATATTTTTATAAGTAGTATTCCATAGATTATTATAAGCATATGGATTACTCCTGGTGATTTTTAAATCCACTCTTTTAAAATAACAAGGTTTTCAAAGAAAAATAAAGAATTAAATGTTGAGTTGAATAACCACATTTGTCCAGTTGAAAAGAGTCGCTTCTCTATTCTCTACTTTTTATCCAAAGAGCCACTATTACCTCTCTAATGTCCTCTTCTCCCATACCTCTTCCTTCTCTCAGTTCTTTATTTTTCCCTCTGGTATTCCTGGCCATTAGGTCTAATTCAAAAACAATCATTCCTCTTTACTCCTAGAAGTGAGTGGAAACTATAGAGAGAATGTATAGAACAAAGACTTCCCTTAGCAGGATTGAGTCTTTTTCTCTCTGACTCAGCCAGAAGCCCAGGTGCAGTATCCAGAGCAAAAGAAAAACGAAAATATTCCAAACACTTTTTAAGAATTGCCAAGTAGAACAAGGAAATGGGTTTGTAGGGTTTTGGTTTTGCTTTGGGAAGGAGTATTATTATTATCAGCCATTTGCAGATAATAATCCTTGGTACAAGTGTGTGTGTGTGTGTGTGTGTGTGCGCGCGCGCGCGCATGTGTGTGCGCCTGCTTAAAATGAAGAACATCGTTTTAGGGAAATCCTTCTAGATGTGTCCTAAGTTTTAAGCTTTTTCTCTTAAATTACTAAGAATAAGATATTTGGAGAAGATTAGTTCTTTCAGATGAATTAAAGTCAAGTTATTAAAAGCCACAGTCCAGGGTGCGAAAACTTCAGAAAAAGTAGTTGAAGATAACACATTCTGTAAATAACTTTCTAGCATATATTTCTATACCCTTCCCCCAATACTTTATTGACCCCATTCAAAGGACATCTTTTTTTCTGATAGGAATTCAGCCATAATCACATTGTCATTTGATGTTTGTAAATATCTCAAACTAAGTTTTATTGACTCATGAACTTATTAAAAACATACTCTTATTTTTCAGGATGTCAAACTTGGCACAATTTGACTCTGATTTTTACCAATCTAATTTTACTATTGATAACCAGGAGCAGAGTGGTAATGACTCTAATGCCTATGGAAATCTTTATGGATCTAGAAAGTAAGTACTTAATATTTTTCTTTTTTTTTTTTTGACAGAGTCTCACTCTGTCACCCACATATTGTAAAAATTCAATATATTGTAGTTATTATGAAAGTTGAAGGGTCTGATCTTTCTTGCCCTCTAAACTAGACCCACAAAAAAAATCCAAGAAAGCAACTAATTAACAAAATACAGTATACTTAAGTAACTTTAGGCAACAAAGTGTCAATTGCTTTTGTAAGGCTGGAGTGCAGTGGAGTGCAGTGGTGCAATCTTGGCTCACTGCTGTCTCTGCCTCCTGGGTTCAAGCGATTCTGTGCCTCAGCCTCGCATGTAGCTAGGATTATAGGCGTGTGCCACCATGCCTGGCTATTTTTTTTTTTTTTTAATGTTTAGTAGAGACGAGATTTGGCCATGTTGCCCAGACTGGCCTGGAGCTCATGAGCTCAAGTGATCCGCCCCGCTGGGCCTCCCAAAGTGTTTGGATTATAAGCATTAACAACCGCACTGAGCTGTATTGTTCTTGTTTTAAGAAGTCTTAATATTATGGCAGGGATTTCTAGAGAGGGAGGTTTCCTTGGGAAAAGCCAACATTTGCCTCAACATATCTCAGTAAATTGCCCAAGAATACATGTCAGGAAATGGCAGAGAAATTCATCAAGTTCTCCATGAATCCCCTTTATCACCTCAGCCTGAGCCAAGTGAAAGGCTTGTCTCCTCTTTTCAAACTATCACTTAACAGAGAGCTGGGATACAGGCACTGGGCAAACAGAAACCATTTTCCTTTTGCCTAATATTTTCCAGGGCACTTCTTGAGAACCAGATTTCATTAATTTAATAAACATTTATTGAGATTCTGCTTGTGTTTCAGAAATTAAGAAGGGCACTGCAAATCCAAATATAACGATGAAATTCATAGTTTTTTCTCTCATGCAATTTTATGTTGAAGAATTGGGCAATTAAATATGCAATTTAAAGTATGAAAAATGCCATGACGGAATCAAGGTAAACACGTTAAAATATGATAGTTATTTGAAGTAAAAATTCAACTTGAGTTGAAAATGAAACAAAATGATTAAGAATTTGATAGCGGCAAAATATGGCATTTAGAGTAAGAAGAATTTGGTTCAAATTCTGGCTTTGGCATTTTCTGTCTGTGATATTGGTATGACTTAACTTCTCTGACTGTCTTAATCTGGAAAATAAGGATATTAATAATACCTACTTAATGGAATTGTTATGAAAAAAATTATGATAATATGTAGGAAAGTGTGTGTTAAAGTAAAACCACTATATAAACAGTATTTATTCATATAAATGTGACTTACAAAAGCAATTGACACTTTGTTACCTAAAGTCACTGAAGTATACTGTATTTTGTTAAATAGTTGCATTCTTGGAATTTTTTTCTTGGGTCTAGGTTAGAGGGCAAGAAGAGTCAGACTCTTCAACTTTCATGATAACTATACAATATATTGAGTTTTTATTATATGTTAGGAACTGTTCTGAAATTATATAAATTAATTCATTGGATCCTCAATTATATACATTAACTCATTGGAGCACCATATGAATTAGGCACTACAGGTTGAGCATCCCAAATCCCAAATCAGAATCTGAAATGTCCCCAAATCCAAAACTTTTTGAACACTGACATGTGCTCAAGGGAAATGCTCAGTGGAGCATTTCGGATTTCTAGTTTTCAGATTAAGGATGCTCAACCAGTATGTGTTCTGTAAATATTCAAAAATCCATAAAAATCTGAAATCTAAAACACTTTGGTCCCAAACATTTCAGATAAAGGATACTCAACTTGCACTATCATCCCCATTTTGCATGAGAAGACAGACACACAGAGAAATTAAGAGATTTTCTCAAGGTTACACATCTAGTAAGAAATGGGGTTAGGATTTTAGCTCAAGGTTGTTTGATTAGTGCTATAACTAGTGTGAGCATATGACTTATTATAAAATAAAGACTTTTTAAATGTAAAATTAGTGCTATTATAATAATGTTGGGATAATAAGAATAAACTGTTCCATAAATTAGGATATGTGGTATATTTCAAATGTATTAATTTTTGAAGCTTTGTTATACACACACACATCCACACACACACCTTAAAAGCTCCAGATAGAAAGAGGAAAAGACAGAATACATATAACAGGCAGTGGGGAGTCTTCTGTTCCTACTCTGCCCAGAAAAAAATGGACTCTCTTTTTACAGACTGATCACTCCTACAGGTGTAAGCAAATAGATGCTGCTTTCATGATAGGGAAAGGTATTGAGATATAATTTTTTTTAGGCTGGAAAAGTTGAATATCTGGAATTGTATCTAATTCACACTCCTATGCTATCCTGCCTAGCACTAGTCAGGCTGCCTTTTATGATTTACACTTTGGAAGGTGAAAAAAAACAGGAAAATGTTTGAGGCACAGGGAGTAGTTTGAGCACTAAGGTATACAAAGGTGGTCACTCTAAATTTGCAATCCACAATGAAAGATATCTACTAAGATTTTTAAGCTCTGTTCTGTTTTGTAGAAAGGAACTAGTTGCCTTAAACCTTCTGTTTCTTTTCTCAACCCTCTTTTCCAGATAAGATTGGTATTTGGGTAGCATTGATATTTTCAGATTAAATTAAACTAAAATGCACAATAAGAGAGAAAAAACTTTCTCCCTAAGCAAGGACTCATGGACCGCGGCTTTATCCACCCACCCCACGCACTCCAATTTTCTTTTTCCATTTGACTGAACATTTCCTAGAAATCAAAATGACAAAGAGATGGAAATTAATGTAGCCAGATGAGGAAAGCTCATAATTTTACAGTACCAGGTTGACGGCCTTCCCTGCTTCAGATGCTTAGCATTTAAATCTAAGTCCTGATTTGGATGCAGCAACATTTAAATTCCGATTCACACTGTGCATCTCAGGAATTAGGAAAGGGCATAGTAGCTGTGGTAGTTTTATGAGGTACGTAAAACATGGAGTCAGGTCAGTGATTTACTATGTACGTCAAAGGAAATCCAGAGATTTGATCTTTTATTCATACCATGAATAGTTCAATTAAAATATACCCCATATCAGAACAAGATGATGATCATCCTGGCAAAATATGTGGGAACCTAGAGAATAGTTATAATCAGTCATTCAGCTTCTGTTTCCTCTGTCTCTGTCTTTGCCTCTTTCACTCTCTCTCTTCCTTCACGCCTGTCCACAGTATACGAGAGCTCATTTTAAAAAGCCTGTTTGGCTCAATGGTGTATTGATCTGAAAGCTGGGTGACTGTGCTCACTAAGACGGTGAAGATATTTATATTTAAAAACAAGTTTTCTTATTTTAGAATGAACAGTAGGATCATTATCTTTTTAAAAACATAATTATTCAGCCATTCAGATAGGGATAATTTCCAACCATCTATAGGTAGTCACTGAGGCTATATTTTTCCACCTTTTGAAATGTGAAATCTATTCATATTATGTGGAAAAAAGAAATAGATACTGTTGCAGAAAGGTGTGAACAACTGGAAAAATCCCTTTGAGTGGTTTGGTAGGACCTTAACAGGTAAATATTGAATCATCATCTTTTCTGAATCCTCAGACCTGATCTTCTAGTATTTCAAACACAGTTAAGGCATTACTGTGTACCCAGCTAGACCAACCAGAGTATAGGAATGTTGCAGAAGCCAACTATCCCAGCTACCACTCCCTGACTCATGCTACCACCAAACTCATCCTATTTGATAAGGTCTTACCAAGGGCACTTAGATTGCCTGAGTTTACAAGCTTAATCGGAAATTTACATAGGTAAGTTACACAGATAAGGTTTTGAATCAGTTATGTTTAACTAGTTAATTCTATGTTGCCTCTGGAATTAATAAACACCAAAAAGTTCTGAGCTGTTCTTGTTAAACATTTTCCTTGACTCCACCAACATCTCTGCTTTTAGAAAACTATAAGATATCTAATTGTATCCAGTATAGAATTTGGAAAATATAGAAGCATATGAATAAAATATTAAAATCACTTCAAATCTTGTCTCCAAGACATGACTATTATTAACAATTTGGTGTACCTCCTTGCTGCCTTTATTCTATTTTCCTATGAATGTGTATATTATATATATTTAAAAATAAAATGCTATTTTTCAATGAATGTATATGTATTTATGAGTACTTATAAATGAAATTTGCTGATTGTTCTAAAGGAGCCCTACAGTCACTTCTCGGTAGTTTGAAGTGATTTTTAAAGGAAGAGGAGACGTTTACTAACAAAGCTAAAGTTTAAATTCAATGAGCCAGAGTTCAATGTTTCTTTTGATCTAATTCAGTTAACATTTATTTCATCTGTAATAGTGTGCTGAATTTGAAATTATCACAATTTCAGTATTTATCTTCCAATAGAGCTAATGGAGATATTGCATAATACAGGAGAAGAGTTACATTTTCTTGGCATATTCTGCAAAAGTCTTATTGTGTGTGAGGTACAAATATATAACGTTGACATCTTAAATATTGAGCATATTAATCTGACTTATTACATTACCTCTACTAGGTTAATCGTCAAGGACTATAGGCTTAATAGAGCAAATAGTGAAGTGTCCAGATCCATTATCTCAGAGACTTTTTTCATGAAAGGATATTGTAGGCTTGAAAGATGTCTCTAAGAATATATGAAAACTCATTGGCATAGCCATTCAGAGTTGGTGCCACTTAGTAAAAAAAGGAAAATACCAGAAGACATAGGGGACTAAATGTAAATTCATAATATGTGTTTAAAATTAAAGTTGTTCATATAAATTTTTAGAAAAAAACCCTAAAACATAAGAATTGGGTTATTTACTGTATCAGGCCATTCCCACAACTGCTATGAAGAAATTCTCGAGACTGGGTAATTTATAAAGCAAAGAGGTTTAATTGGCTCATAGTCCCACAGGCTGTAGAGGAAGCATGGCAGCAGCTGCTTCTGAGGAGGCCTCAGGGAGCTTTTACTCTTGGCAGAAGGCAAAGCAAGAGCAGGAGTCTCAGATGGCAGGAGCAGAACCAAGAGAGAGTGGGGAGGTGCTGCACATCTTTAAACAACCAGATATCATGATAACTTTATCAAAGAGCAGAAATGGGGGATGGTGCTAAACCATCTATGAGAAACCACCTCCATGATCCAATCACCTCCCTCTAGGCCCCACCTCCAGCTGGGGATTTCATTTCAATGTGAGATTTGGGTGGGGACACAGATCCAGACCATATCCTTGTACCCCTGGACCCTCCCAAATCTCATGTCCTCACATTTCAAAGTTCAAATTAAGCCTTCCCAACAGTTCCCCAAAGTCTTAACTCACTCCAGCATTAACTCAAAAGTCCAAGTCCAAAGTCTCACCTGACACAAGGCTACTCCCTTCTGCCTATGATCCTGTAAAATCAAAAACAAATTAGTAACTTCCAAGTTACAATAGAGGTGTAGGCATTCTAAAAGGGATAAATTGGCCAAAAAAAGGGAATGTCCCATGCAAGTTTAAAACCCAGCAGTGCAGTCATTAAATCTTAAAGCAAATTTGTCCAACCCACAGCCCACAGGCTGTGTGCAGCCCATGGTGGCTTTAATGTGGCCCAACACAAATTCATAAACTTTCTTAAAACATTATGAGATACTTTTGCAATTTTTTCAGCTCATCCGCTATCATTAGTGTTAGCATATTTTATGTGTGGCCCTACACAATTCTTCTATTTCCAGTGTGGCCCAGGGAAGCCAAAAGATTGGACACCCCTGTGTTAAAGCTTCAAAATAATTTCATTTGACTTCATGTCCTACATCCAGGTCACACTGATGCAAGAGGTAGGCTCCCAAGGCCTTGGGCAGCATCAACCCTGTGGCTTTGCAGGGCACACCATGTTCTGGTGATGAATGTCTGAGGCTTTTCTAGATGCAGGTTGCAAGTTTCTGGGGGATCTACCATTCTGGGGTCTGGATGATGATGGCCCTCTTCTCACAGCTGCACTGTGAGGGACTCTGTGTGGAGACTCTGTGTGGGGGCTTCAACCCCTCTTTTTCATTCCACACTTCCCTAGTAGAGGTGTTCCATGAGGGCTCCACCCCTGCAGCAGGCTTCTGCTTGGACATCCAGGCTTTTCCATAAATCCTCTGGAATCTAGGTGGAGCTTCAAAGCCTCAACTCTTGCACTCTGTGCCCCTGCAGGCTTTACACTATGCAGAAGCCACCAAGACTTATAGCTTGCATCCTCTGAAGCAGTGAGCTGTAACTGGGCTCATTTGCCCCAAGGCTGGAGCTGGAGTGGCCAGAATGCAGGGAGCAATGTCCTGAGGCTATGAAGGGAAGAGGGGTCCTGGGCCTGGCCCATGAAACCATTCTTCCTTCCTAGGCCTCTGAGCCTGTAATGGGAAGGACTGACACAAAGGCCTTTGAGTCCTTTTCCTGTTTTCTTGACTAATAGCACATGGCTCTTTTTTTTAACTTATGCAATTGTTTGTAGCCTGCTTGAATTCCTCCCTTGAAAATGGGCTTTTCTTTTCTATCATTTGGCCATTCTGCAAATCTTCCTAACTTTTACACTCTGGTTCATTTTTAAATATAATTTCAAGTTTCAGATCATTTCTTTGCTCACATATATAAACATAGATTGTTAGAAGCAGCCAGGTCATATCTTGAAGGCTTTACTGCTTAGAAATTTCTTCCAGTAGATGCCCTAAACCATCATTCTAACTTTTAAAATTTCACACTTCCCTAGAGAAGGGGGCACAATGCACCCAGTCTCTTTGCTAAAGCATAGAAAAAGTGACTTTTACTCCAGTTCCCACTAAATTTCTCATCTCCCTCTGAGATCTCAGCCTAGACTTCATTGTCCATATCACCGTCAGCATTTTGGTCATAACAATTTAACAAGTCTTTAGGAAGTTCCAAATTTTTCCTCATCTTCCTGTCTTCTTCTGAGCCCTCCACACTCTTCTGACATCTACCTGTTACCCAGTTCCAAAACCACTTCCACATTTCCAAGTATCTGTATAGCAATGCCCCCACTCCTCAGTACCAATTTCTTGTATTAGGCCATTCTTACACTACTATAAAGGAATACCTGAGACTGGATAATTTATAAAGAAAAGAGGTTTAATTGACTCATGGTTCCACAGGCTGAACAGGAAGCATGGCGACAGCTGCTCCTGGGGAGGTCACAGGGAGCTTTTACTCATGGTGGAAGGCACAGGAGCGTCATCTCACAGGGCAGGAGCAGGATCGAGAGAGAGGTGGGAAGTGCTACACACTTTTAAACAATCAGATCTCATGAGAACTCTATCATGAGAACAGCCCTAGGGGGATGGTGGTAAACCATTCATGAGAAATTGCCCCCATAATTCAATCACCTCCCACTAGGCCCCACCTCCAGCATTGGGGATTACATTTCAACATGAGATTTGGGTGGGGACACAGATCCAAACTATATCATTTACAGATTTTTTGGATCATACTTTGGACTAATAATGTGATTCTTTTGGTATTGGTTATGCTTTTTTTTATTGAGATGAAACATTTAATATTACAGTGATGGTATACAAAGATATAAGATAAAGAAAGCTATAATTTAAATTTAGATAGTTATCAAAGGTGAGCATGGTAATTTTATGAATAATTATGTGTTTTCCTTTATGGGACAAATTTTAACATTTTACTTTCTTAAATAAGTGGTAGAGGAATTTTAGTATTATAACCCCATTACAATAAGGACAATGGAATCCAAGCTCCTGAGAATTTTTTTCTGTAAAATTTTGTTTCTCTTTGAAGAGGATGGTCAAAGTTACTACCTGAAATAGTCCACTCATTCACAGAGGTTGCTTTGCAGCTAATAACAGTGAAGGTTATGTTTACTCAAGCCTGATTAGTAGCACCTGACATGAGTTATGGTGAGGCCAGACAAGTATGGCAATGACATAGTCTTACTTAGACATTGGTCCATTTAGTCATCTTTGTGTGTCCCTTTCATTTTTCTGGAAAGGCTTACATTAAAAAAATAGGTATTGGGGGATTTTTATCAATAAAAAAGCCATTCGGATTCCTATTGCTAATTTGTTTCTACCAGTGTTTTTGATGATGTGCCTATTTTGCTGGAAAATAGATTAGGAATATTACATATGGCTAAGTGAACAATAATAGCAGGTAATCACCATACATTCTGGCAGGTTCAAATATTATTACACCAGGCTCTTGCTCTTAATGAGCATACATTTGAGTTAGTAAATGATTAAGTGTATATCTCCCCCCTCTATATCTGTGGCTTTCTTTTCCTAAATAAGTTATTCTCTTGGTCAGGCTTACTCACATAAAGGAGGTCGAATATGTTATTCTTAGATTTCATATTAAGATTAACATTCGAAGGAAAGTACTAAAGGCCATTTTGTAAATATTTTATCATAAAGAAATCACAAGGAGTTACCAAGTTCAGAACCTTGGACTGTACATTCAGTTTACCCCAAGGGCTTTTATGAAAGAAACTTAAAACGTGTTACTGGGCAGCTCTATGTTTCTTTCCATTCTTTAAGGTAAAAACAACTTAAAATGAATAAAAATAAAAAGCAAAAACATGTCAAAGAGGTATTATGGCTTGGCAAAGTTGAATTGCCCATTTTCAAAAAGGGACTCTTTTTTTTATTCAAGATGGCTGACTTGAAGCATTTCAAGCATGTTTTATCCACTTAGAAGAAGCAAAATGGTGTGTAGACAATCACACTTCTAATATATTATCCAAGGCAGAACATTGGAATTCAACAGGAAAGTGACAGAAAACACCAAAAGCTAGGAAGGGGAAGGAAAATAGGCAGCATACATGGCCAAGACCAGCCAAGAACCAGGAATGACTCTCCAGTACAGGAGAGGGTGAGTGAGAGTCTATACGTGGTCCACTTTCCTGCTGGGGAATTGCATAATTCAGGTTATGGGAGAGCACCTTGACTCTCTCAAACCCTAGATCTAACTTAGAAAGCAACCAGGAAACTGTGAGAAGGAACTGCTTTAGGGAGGGAGCATGCCTTGGGTTCCATGCTCTTTCTGAAACCCAAGCAGCTAAAGTAAGACACCATTCTAGATCTTAGCCCTTAACAGACTGTGTGAAGTCCTGAGAATTCCAGTCCTAGGCATTAGGGAAACTTAGGCTGGTGTTTGCAGAACCGGGGTGTGAACTAGGGGCTGGCCCTAACAACCAAGACTAAGAAGCTAGTGTGGCATGGGCTGCAGCCACCAGTGCAGGAAGCAGGTACTGCTCCTCCTACTTGAGCAGGATGAGAGTTGCCATGAAGGCTTAGTGTTGAGCTAAGTGGAGACTCCTATGGGCCATGAGCATGAACTGAGGGGCAACAGTTGGGTTGGCTATGACACCTGTCTGGACTGGGGGCTGTAAGAAGGAAGCAAGTCTCTTACTCACTGGCCAAGGCTAAGGCCACTGGGACTGGTCCCACCCTTCCCATGGAAGGACCTCAGTGCAGTGGTGACTACACTTTACCCAAGAATTCCACCAGAGGCCTGAGGACTGTTTCTCCCCAACCTGTCATGGCCAGTGCATGCACTCGTGACTGGGAGTCCTGAGTGTAAGCTTGCCCAGTCCAGCTCCATCTGGCTTTGGCCCTCAACCAATGATAAGTGACAAAATTGAATCAGCAATAAAGAGTCTGTCAACAAAGAAAAGGCCTGGACCACATGAATTCACAGTCGAATTCTACCAAATGTACAAAAAAGAAATAATACTAATCCTCTTGAAACTGTTCCCAAAAATTCAGATGGAGGGAGTTTTCTCTAAGTCATTCTACAAGGCCAGTAACACCTGATACCAAAACCAGACAAGGACACAACAACAACAAAAACTAGACCAATAGTTCTGATGAACATAGATGCAAATATCCTCAACAAAATACTAGCAAACCAAATGCAACAGCACATCAAAAAATAATATGCCATGATTTAGTAGGTTTTATACAAGGGATGAAAGGATGATTTAATACATGTAAAGCAATAAATGTGATAAATCACATAAACAGAGCCAAGGACAAAAAACATATGATTATCTCAATGGATGCAGAAAAGCATTTGATAAAATTCAACATCCTTTCATAATAAAAACCCTCAACAAACTAGGAATATAAGAAATGTACCTCAAAATAATAAAGTCTATTTAGGACAAATCCACAGATAACATCATGCTGAATGTGAAAAGTTGAAAGCATTTTTTTCTAAGAAAAAATGAAACAAGACAAGAATGCTCACTCTCACCATTCCTGTTCAACATAGTAGTGGAAATCTTATCTAGAGAAATCAGGCAAGAGAGAAAAATAAAAGCCATCCAAATTGGTAATTGGATGATATGATCTTATTTCTAGAAAAACCTAAAGAATTCACCAAAACCTCTTAGAGTTAATAAATGAATTCAACATACATATATAAAATACATATGTATAAAATACATACATATATAAAATCAACATACAAAATCAGTAGCATTTCTATACAGCAATAACTGTCTAGCTGAGAAAGAAATCAAGAGGGCAATCTCATTTACAATAATTACAAGCAAAATTTAGGAATACATTTATTAGCCAAGGAGGTGAAAGATATCTACAAGGAAAATGACAAACAATGATGAAAAAATATTGTGCATGACACAAACAAATGGAAAAACATCTCATGCTCATGGATTGAAAGAATTAATATTGTTTAAATGACCATAAGGCCCAAAGCAATCTATAGATTCAATGCAATCACTATCAAAATACCAGCAGCATTTTTTAACAGAATTAGAAAAAAACTATCCTAAAATTCATACAGAAGGAGAAAAAAGCCTGAATAGCCAAAGCAATTCTGAGAAAAATGAACAAACCTGGAGGCATCTCATTACCTGACCTGAAATTATATTACAAGGCTATAGTAACCAGAACAGCATGGTACTGCTATAAAAATAGACATATAGATCAATGGAACATAATAGAAAACATGTAAATAAGGTCACATATTTATAGCTAACTAGTCATTGACAAAGCTGACAACAACATAAGTTGGAAAAAGGACACTCTTTTCAATAAATGGTGCTGGGACAATTGGATTGCCATTTGCAGAAGAATTAAACTGGACCTCTATCTCCCACCATATACAAAAATAAACTCAAGATGGATTAAAGACTTAAACATAAAACCTTAAACTATAAAAATGCTTGAATAAAACATAGGGAAAACTTTTGGACACTGGTCTAGGCAAAGAATTTATGACTAAGACCTCAAAAGCATAGGAAACAAAAACAAAAATAGACAAATGGGATTTAATTAAAAACTTCTGCACAGCAAAAGAAATAATCAACAGAGTAAAGAGACAGCCAGTAGAATGGGAGAAAATATTTGGAGAATATTCATTTGACAGGGGACTAAAAACCAGATATACAAGGAACTGAATTCAACAGCCAAAAACCCTGAAACAATCCCATTAAAAAGTGGACAAGGAGTAAGGTGGTATTGCATCATGGTTTTGATTTGCATTTCCCTGATCATTAGTGATGCTGAGCATTTTTTCATATGTTTGTTGGTCATTTGTATATCTTCTTTTGAGAATTGTGTTTATGTCCTTAGCCTACTTTTTGATGGACTGTTTTGCCCTCACCTGTCATGGCTGGTACATGCACTCATGACTGGCGGGCCTGAGTGCAAGCTTGCCTAGTCCAGCTCCATCTGGCTTTGGCCCCCAGCCAATAATGATTCAAGATTGAATCGGCAATAAAAACAGCCAACAAACAGCCAAAAAAAAAAAAAAAAAAATCCTGAAACTCAACAGCCAAAAAACCCTGAAACAATCCCATTGAAAAGTGGGCAAGGAGTAAGGTGGTATCGCATCATGGTTTTGATTTGCATTTCCCTGATTATTGGTGACGTTGAGCATTTTTTCACGTTTCTTGGCCATTTATATATCTTCTTTTGAGAATTGTCTGTTTATGTCCTTACCCCACTTTTTGATGGGAATTTTTTTCTTGATAATTTGTTTGAGTTCCTTGTGGATTCTGGATATTAGTCACTTTTGAATACTATTCAGCCATAAAAAGGAACGAGTTAATGGCATTTGCAGCAACCTAGATGGAACTGGAGACTATTATTCTAAGTGAAGTAACTCAAGAATGGAAAACCAAACATTGTATGTTCTCTCTTATAAGTAGGAGCTAAGCTATGAGAATGCAAGGGCATAAGAATAATACAATGGGCTTTGGGGACTCGAGAGAAAGGATGGGAGGGGTGTGAGGAATAGAAGACTACAAATTGGGTTCAGTGTATACTTCTCAGGTGATGGGTACACCAAAATCTCATAAATCACCAGTAAAGAACTTACTCATGTAACCAAATACCACCTGTTCCCCCAAAACCTATGGAAATACAAAATTTTTTTAAAAAAGAAAAAAGTGGGCAAGAATATGAATAGACATTTTTCAAAAGAAGACATACGAATGGCCAACAAGTATATGAAACAATGCTCAACATCACTAATCATCAGAGAAATGAAAATTAAAACAACAGTGAGATATCATCTTCCCCCAGTCAGAATGGCTCTTATTAAAATGACAAAAAGTAACAGATGTTGATGAGGATGTAGAGAAAAGGGAACTCTTACACACTGTTGGTGGGAATGTAAATTATTAGCCTCTATGGAAAACAGTATGAAGATTTCTCAAAGAACTAAAAATAGAATGACTATTTTATCAAGCAATCCCACTACTGGGTATATATCCAAAGGAAAAGAAGTCAATATATCAAAAAGATACCTGCACTCATATGTTTATTGAAGCACTACTCACAATAGCAAAGATATGAAATTAACCTAGTATCCACCAATGGATGAATGAATAAAGAAAATGTGGTATATATACAATGAAATACCATTCAGCCATGAAAAGAATAAAATCATGTTATTTACAACAATATAGATGGAAATGGAAATCACTATCTTAAGTGAAACAAACCAGGCACAGAAAATCAAATATCACATGTTTTTACTCATAAACGTGCTAAAAATACGTACACATGGAAGTAGAGAGTAGAATCATTGGCAATTGATACTTGGAAGGGTGAGGGGGTAGGAGAGGAGTGATGATAAATTAGTTAATGCATATAATGAATGTTATTTGGGTTTTGGATACCCTAAAAGCTCTAATTTGACCACTACACAATCTATGCATGTAACAAAATTTTATACGTACCCCATAAATTTGTACAAATAAAATAAAGAGACACTAAAGCCAACTAGATAATACATTTAGCTAGGAACTCAGAGACAATTCTACTGGCAATGACTGTCTTGGAATGGCTACAACTGAAGTGTATTTCCTTATGCACAGCAATTAGTGTATGTATTTATTTTTCCTATCAGTTGACTATACTATTAAAATTATATTTTTTCCTGGCTGCTTCCACATATTTGGAGGGGCTTCATGGCTGGAGACTGTCCCTGAAGATAAGTTAAAAAGCATCAGTGTGTGGCGAGCAGATCACTGCTCAGAAAGCTTCACACCAGAGTCCAGCACCTGCAATGTTATTTTGTGTTACTGGACAAGTCGTTTAGTCTCTGTGAAATTCTATGTCTTTTTCTGTAAAATGGGATTAGAAATACAGCTTTTACCTTATAGAGTTTTAACTGAGAAAAGATTAGGGGAAGCATTCAGCATGTTGTCCATGCTCAATTAATGTTTATTGGCGTGGATTATTTTTCTAGAAGGCTTTAGATGACCAGTTATTTTACATTTTTGGACTAAAGTTAAATTTTAAGTAAGTTGTTTCTTTCATGAGTAAATACTCATAAAAACTACATGAATTCATGTAAGTAAAATTGTAATTTTCCTCCTTTGTCATGATACCTTTTTCTTAGACATGTAAATGTTTGTATTTTTCTTTTTCTAGACAACAAGCTGGTGAGCAGCCTCAGCCTGCCTCCTTTGTTCCATCAGAGATGCTCATGTCATCGGGTTACGCAGGACAATTTTTTCAGCCAGCATCCAACTCAGATTATTATTCACAATCTCCTTACATTGACAGTTTTGATGAAGAGCCTCCTTTGCTAGAAGATAAGTTAAGGAAGTGTTATTAATGTGTGTACAGCTAGAAGAATAATAGCAATAATTAGCACTTAATGTGTGCTGTCAGCCTGCAGTGTACAGTGTCTTATGTTTGATTGTTTCACATATAACAAGAGTTTGCTGAACCAAAACCCTTAAACCATTGGAAGTTTGTTGCATGTTTGCATAGGGGAAATTGGGTGCAGATATGAGATATTCTGTGATATTGCTGCACCTATTAAATGCTCCTTCACTCTTTCTTAAATTCGAACTCCTTGGCCAAGAATAGAAAAAAATGAAGACATCTTTTGGCAGAGTAGTTACATCAAAGTGACCACCCTTCCCACCCTGTTAATGAAGCACTTCATAACAGCGTATTTTATTTTCTGCTATGTTTTCCTGGGAGCAAAGTGGATATTTTCTCAAATTAATATTTTTTGTTGTCATTGTTGACATGGAGACAAGCCAGTTTTTTTTCTTTCCTGACTCATACAAGCCCTTTCATATCAGCTTGGCATGGGTAGGTGAGGAAGAACATAAATCCAGTAAATAATGCTGCTGGTGGGAAGGAAATCCAGACATTCTTGGAACTGAAGGTACTTAGGGGATTTCGGAGTTGTTCCATCCATTGATTTTTTTTTTTCATATGTAGCCAGTCTGTATGTGCTGTTTTTGCTCTTAAACAATGTTAATACAATGCTGGAAACATAGGCGTTAAGACGCTAAAACCCAAGTGGATTTAAATTGGAGAACCAAGCAGAAATAGTCACTGGTTAACTACTCCAAGTCCTTTGCATGTAGTCAAGTGAAAAGGAATAGATTAAAATTTCCAGTATTTTACATCACAAGATGTAAAGGTGTTTGCCTCACATGAACACAACCAGCCACATTCTTCTTTCTTTTCCTTAAAAATATAAAAACATGAAAGATTTAAACTGTTCAGAACAGAACAGAGATTTATATAATCGATCTATTGGCTCTTTAGAAGCCAGTCAAGTTTCTGGATCAGTTATCTTTAACCAGTTCATTCAGTTTTGCCTCTACAAGTAATAAACACCTAGAAGTTACAAGTTATTCTTGTTAAACATTTTCCTTGACTTTGCCAATATCTCTCCCTAATTGTCTTCAGAATTTGGAAAACATAGAAACATAAGAATAAAAATATAAAAATTACTTCAATTCTTGTCTCAAAGACATGACTATCATTAACAATTTGATGTATTTTCTTCTAGCCTTTATTCTATTTTCCTATAAATGCCTGTGTATATGTATTATGTATGAATATACATGCATACTTTAAAGTAAAATACTATTTTTTCAATGAATATATATGCATCTGAGTACTTAAGTATTATATTCTTTTTATTTACTTTATGTCACGAGTATTTTTTTTCTTTTTGAGATGGAGTCTTACTCTGTTGCCGAGGCTGGAGTGCAGTGGCCCAATCTCAGCTCTCTGCAACCTCTGCCTCCCGGGTTCAAGCGATCCTCCCCCTCAGCCTCCTGAGTAGTTGAGACTACAGGTGCACACCACCGTGCATGGCTAATTTTTGTGTTTTTAGTAGAGACAGGGCTTTGCCATGTTGTCAAGGCTAGTCTCGACCTCCTGACTTTGGGTGATCCACCCGCTTCAGCCTCCCAAAATGCTGGGATTACGGGCATGAGCCACTGTGCCCAGCCTGTCACGAGCACTTCTATGCAAGCATTCTTTAAAGTCATTAAATATTATTTGAAAACAATTTATAATGGTTTCACAGAGTTCTATCATATAACATAACCGTAATTTAAACACGCCTTAAAGGTTATTCCTTATAGCAAGTAATGCTTTGTTGACCATCATAGGAAACCATCTTTGACCTTTATAGAGTCTGTCCTTAGGATGTACCCATAACAGTGGGATTGCTGGGTTAAAGGTACTGACACTGTCAACTGATCTCAAAAATGGTGTTCTACTCCACTTCCAGAGTAGAATATGACATGTCTTTGTCAATTTTGTAGGAAAAAAGGAAAAAGGAATACTTTGTACCTCTGGGTTACTAAAAAAATTTTGACATTTCTCATATATGTATTGACTTTTTATTTTTCATGGGTTTTTTTGTTCAGATTTCTATAGAATCTAAAGAGTTTTCTTTCCTCGTTTATTTTTTAGGGATTTTATATAGTAACCATATTAATTATTGCCTAGAATGTGCATTTTAAACTTTTTTTTTCCTAGCTTGTGTTTGCCACCTAATTTGTTTATGGGTCTTTGGGACATATTAAAAATGTGATATTAATTTTTTAAACCCAGCATATCTTTTCTAGTAACATTTCTTTCCAATTGTTCTTTGTTTAGAGTCTATTTCTCCAGCTCTAAGTACTGCCTCTATCTCCTTATAGATGCTCACATTTTAAAATTATCCTTTTATGTTTTTTGTTTTATATTGAAATTTTTTATTCAATAGTTGTTTAAGCTTAATATGTGAAGTAAGGATTTATTTATTTTTTCTGTGCTGCTTAACTAATTTTTTTCCTGCAGCATTTGTTGAAAGTAATCTTTTCTACTATCTGAAATGTCTCTATTGTTGCATTAATTTACCACTTTCTATACATCCTCCTCTAACATGTCTTTCAATTTGAATAGAAAATATGTAATAGATTTTTATTTCCATTTTATACAGCTCAGAGTTAATTTCCCCAAAATACATAGTGTATTAGAACAGCAGTCCCCAACCTTTTTGGCACCAGGGAACAGTTTTGTGGAAGACAATTTTTCCACAGCCAGGTTGGGGAGATGATTTTGAGATGAAACTCTTCCACTTCAGATCATCAGGCATTAGTTAGATTCTCATAACAAGCGTGCAGCCTAGATCCTTTGCATGCACAGTTCATAATAGGGTTCACGCTCCTATGAGAAACTAATGCAGCTCATCTGGCAGGAGGCGGAGCTAAGGTGATAATACTTGTTCGCCCACTGCCCACTGCTCACCTCCACCTCCTGCTGTGCGGCCCGGTTCCTAACAGGCCATGGGCAGGTAGATATGGGTCCACGGCCCGGGGATTGGGGACACCTGTATTAGAAGATAGAGTACCTAATATAATTTTGTGCTTTGAATCTATGAAATATCTGGATTTTGGATCCAATGTGTTCTTCAAGCTGAGTGACTTGTGAAAGCCTCAAGCCTCTTTTGTCTAAAGATATGAAAAAGGCCAGGGTATGTCTTTTTCAGATATAAAAAAAATACAATTTCTAGGATAACGCATTAAATAACATTTACTAGTTTTTATTGACAATCCAACAGAATGGCCTATAAAATTATGAAGCTATAATACTATGCACAAAAATGTGTTGTTTCAAAAGTGTCCTACTTTATTTCTTAAATATTTTGTTGTCTAAAATATTTGTTTGGTTTTATGTAAGAATGATAAATTTTGCTCTTTGTTAATGTAAAATCAATATGTTAACAAATGCATTTTCAAGAATAATAATAAATTCAAGTCTGTCAGATACGAAAAATTACTGATATTTGGTATTTTGTATTTATAGCGTAGCTCGAGACTTCCATATGAAAGGCCAATGCCACAATTTGCGTAGAAAGTAGGGATCTTAATTCACTTTTATAGCATATGTATCATATACTTTACTACCACTAGATGACAGCAAAACAATAAATTTTGCATTAAAATTTCACAGCAGTTTTATCTTCTTTTATTTTGTACAATAAGATGTTATATTAGAGTATCTACAATTAATAGTTATAATCACTCACATACCTTATAATAAATAAAAACCACAATATTATAGAGATCTATTTCAGTAGAAAGCACATACAATCTTTATTATTATGAAAATATTTGTATGGGCTTATGTTCATTTACTGCCTCATGGTTTGACGTTAAAATATGAGCAGGAGTTAGTTATGCCATTAAATACATGGTTGACATCAGTGTGATGTCGTGTGAAGCATTTTCATCTGAATTTCTTCCAAACTAATTATATTTTCTGAGGAAAAGGTATTTGGAATTAAATACCATTTTATTGTGGTAAATACTGAAAACATATTTTTAGCATACATGCCAAAATTAAAAAATAAAGTTTGAGCGCATAAATTTCTGGTGAAATTAATTTAAAATTAATTAATTTAAAATATGTAGTATGTCTCAATTTTTAAAGTCTTCTTCTCTTTCAAAAATTACGTTAGACATTCTAACCTCCTTTTAAGCTTGGTGAACTGCTCATATTCTTCAAAGCATACGTTCATTAATAAATATATAATTGCACTGTGCAAATCAAGGATGAAACAAGGAAGCAGAAATGTAAATTATTTGCTATTAATTTACATTCAATTTTTTTTCAAGCTTAAAATAACAGATGTCATTCTGGGCATGAAATGAGTAGAACTTTATTTTTTGGTTTAGACCAGTGTCTAGCTGACCCTCTGAAAGTTTCTGAGTTGTTAGAATAAGGGTCCTCTGTGTCATAGGGATTATTAGAAGTCCATGTTGTAGTCTGTGTACAGAAAAGTCAACTTTTCAAGGTATTTAGATGATACGTGCCTCTGTAAAATAAGTTGAGCTATACCCCTGTATCTGACCAAACAGGGTTACTAAAGCTTGGAAGGGTGGTTGAGTGCCACATATAAATACATTTAGGAAGACAGTCCTTCACATGGAAGAATTGGGCTCATTTAAAAACAAAATACAACCATTATGAGAGTAGATGAACATTGACCTGACCACAAATCTATGGTTAAACATGTGCTTTCTTGAGTCAGATTGTGCAGCATTGAAACCCAAGTTTTCTACTACTGCTTTGTGTCTTCAGACAAATTAATCTGTCAAAGCCTTATATATCTGATGCATAAAGTAGGGATAAAATAATAGTAACTGATTGATTGTGTATTTATAAGACCGATGTATGTAAATCTTGTGGAGTCCATAGCAAACACTCAGTAAATTTTAGCTTTCATTCTTCCTAGCCTCCACCTCACCCTTACTGATATTCTGAAATTATAGAAGGAGGATAACCAATTTGATTGCTGGTCCCTAAATAGTCAAGTCATACTCTTCTCTTTGAATATTCGCTTTCTCTACCCTAGATACATCTTAGTTCATCTCTACAGAAGCGGTGAGAAAAGAAACTGATCTGGTATCGATATTTATTTCTATGTTCAGGGGATGTCAAATGGCTAAGTATTTGCTTTATAGTAATAAGAGAAGCAGATTCTAGCAGAAGGACCTATGAGGCAGCAGTCAGAAGTATTTTAAAAATGGGAATTGGAGAAAAAAAATCAGAAGTTTCTAAATGGATTTGGACTCATGAACACTGAACCTCATTGATTTTGGATATTTTATTTGAATACTACCATGTATAAAAGAGAAAGGTTAACTCGTCTCAAGAATTTAATCTTTGAATGCATAGACTCAACTTCACAGTACATTGACCTTACAAAAATATGCATGCACATCATGATCACTTTTACTTACAGAAAGAGCCCTTTTCCCCTCTGTGTAGTTTCAAGCATTTAGCATAAAATTGCTCTTCTCATTAGGCATAGTGGAAGTAAAAACCCAGACTTGGACTAAGTCTCATTAGTTCATTATAGTACTGCTAATTGAAAAATTATGCCATGGCCAATATGACAGGATTTCAGAAGTGTCAGCAATTGAAAATACAGGAAAAGGGCCAGGTGTGGTGGCTAAGGTCTGTAATCCCAGCACTTTGGGAGGCCGAGGCAGGAGGCTCCCTGGAGCCCAGGAGCTCTAGACCAGCCTGGGCAACATAGTGAGACCTCGCCACTATGGAAGAAAAAAGATTAACCAGGTGTGGTGGTGCATGCCTATAGTCTCAGCTACTCAAGAGGCTGAGCCAGGAGGATTGCTTGAACCCAGGAGGCGGAGGAGCTGAGATCGTGCCACTGCACTCCAGCATGGGTGACAGAGGGAAACCCTGCCTCGAAAAAGAAATAAAAAAGAAACAGAAAATGCAGGAAAAGGAAATATCTAGATGGACAATAGGATGAAAGTTTTGATCTGTTAGCTACAATTTTATTTTTTACTGTATATTGCCAACTTCCCAATTTTCAATTAGATTTAAAGCTTGTATTTGCTGCATAAATCAGGGAATGTTTTCCTTGATGGAAATGTTTCTCTAATATATTTATTTTAAGTCATTCTTTGGAAGCCAAATTATTTTTTAGTTTGTTTTTTAAGATTATTATATGTTACATAGAACTTGAGTTTCTGTGTAATACAGAACATAGAACTTTAGAAGGTATGATAGAACAATCAGATTAAAATGCTAAGTAAATTAATCAGATATGTTAACCTTTAAAGAGTGTAACTTATTTTTATTTTTCTATATTTATGTTATCATATTATTTATCTTTTTTCCTTTTTACAGAACTTGGAATCCATTTTGATCACATATGGCAAAAAACTTTGACAGTGTTAAACCCAATGAAGCCAGTAGATGGCAGCATTATGAATGAAACGGACCTCACTGGACCCATTCTTTTTTGCGTAGCCCTGGGAGCCACCTTGCTTCTGGTAATGTGTCACAGGAAGCACCAGATTTTAATGCTTGTCCTTTCCAGTGCTGGCTTTGAAGCAATCTGTATAAATATAAGAGAAACTGTGTCACCTTACATAGTGAATTTTTTAAGTGAGAGAGAATAATTTAACCATAGTGACAAAAATATGCTACCATTATGCATTGCAACAGCTAAAAAGTATAAATTTAAATAGAATTTCAAAAATCAAGAAGCAGATCAAAGCAGGAGATCATTTATGTCTTTTTTGTTATTAAGAAAAGACTGTAAATCTGGAATAATGGAAGGAAAACATAGATTTGGGAGATATAAGGCCTACATTTTATTTTTTGTTATTTTGTGAGAGTTCTATTGTGACACTGAAGAAGTCACTTCTCTTTGGTCACCATCTTCTTTGCTGTGATATATCTCCAGACTATTTCTAACATCTTATGAGGTACGAGACAGATCTCCTTGTTTTGGGTTAGGCTACTATGAAAAATTAATTTGCAATGACAACCTATGTTTTGTTTACTCAACCTACATATTTCCTCTAAAATGTTAGTTTTCCACCTTTTATGAAGACATTTGTTCCCTGACTTCACTATATGTCTTATGTATGCTTTCATTCTTTATATCTGGAAGTAATGATATTAAGGGTCACTAGAAAAGTAAAGAAAAATGTACTTCCACCTAAGTAAAGTTTAAAAGACATTCTAGCTCATAGTTTAGGAAAATGTTTCATTAAGAAAAAAAGGCAGAAGAAAAAAATGAGAAAATGTCTCTGACTTTATACCAAGGAGGAGGTGGCAATACATTAAAAACAGAAAATGATAAAGATGGTTAAGTCAGTCTGAAAAGTATAGTTTCATTAAGACACAAAGAGATAAACCAGGCAGAGGAAATAATATGGGAAATTAAACATTATAGGAAAAGCTCTTACAATAACTATTTAGCCCTCTTCCCCATTTTCCTGCTCTTCATGTTCCATAATAATAATTTCTTCCAATGGATATACAATTTTCAAAAGTAGTTGTAAAATGCATTTGCAACTAAATAAAATTCTGCTTTTCAATTATTGTATATAATCAATCAAAATACTGATAGCAATCTAGTTTCTGTAGGCAATATGGCCAATAATGTCATATTCATCCAATACAATAGTATTTAGCGATAACATCTTATTTCTTGGTACTACAGCAAATGCAAATACTCTGTAAATCAAACACTATATCAACTAGAGTTTTAATTTAGTCTCTAACCTCCCTTCTTCTGTCTTTGTCACAGTAATTTGATAATCTTAGATTAACTGCTAAGTAAGGCCATGTCAATTAATCAAATAGTCAGAAACAATCAATTTAATATATTAACTCATCTTTCTTTACAAGTCATTTGTAATAAAGCAGCTGTTGGTTCTGTGGCAGAATATTACTGTTACTATCCCTTAAAGAACAGCATCAATTCCATTATGATCTCTCTTGGATGCATAATGTTAGTTGGAGTTATTTACATAACCCTTCTTATATTTTAAATACAAAGCAATAGAGGCAAAAAATTCTTAACTGGAAGCGAGAAAATTGGATCTACCCTAGCTTTGCCACTTGCTGTAATCTTTAACCCTTGGCTTCATATTTCTAGGCTTTCATTTCATTTTCTTCAAGGCAAAAGTTTATTTGAGTGGCTCTTCAGGTTCTATTTAATTCTAAAATTGTGGAGAATATGTGAAAATACGTATTTTCTGAATGTCTTTATGCAAACATTATCACTTGAAAGTTTACCATTAGATGTGATAACTTCCAAATTGATTCTGATATAAAGCAAAAAGGACTCCCCAAAAACTCCAATTGAATATTACTTGAAGTATGATTTAACTCAGAATTCATTTGATTATAGGTTAATTCTTTCCTGGATATGTAGAATTAAAATGTAAGAGTGATTTTACCGGCTGACACAGGAATTTTACTAGAGAAAGCAAAACTAAATCCAGAATCAATATCCAAATCTGCTTATTATCTCTGGAGACATAAGAGTCATAGTCACATACTCTTCCTCCTTTAAGATTTATGTTGACATAAGACACAATTCTTTCAGTAGGCTTTCTTCAGGCGAAAGGAGACAAACCAAAGAAAACAACTTCAAGCACTTAGCACAAATTTAGTTTTACTTATTCTTTTCCCCAAAATTATTTTCTTTTCCAACACCAAGAAGACAAATGGTTTAAAACTTTTGCTCCATGTAACTTTTCTGGTAGGGCCAAGAGTGTGGTCTGAAAAAGCAATATGCATGGCCAATATAAAAGTGCAATCAGAAGAACACTAAGTATTTTAAATCAAGATGTGGGGCCTGGTGCGGTGGCTCATGCCTGTAATCCCAGCACTTTGGGAGGCCGAGGCGGGCGGATCACGAGCTCAGGAGATCGAGACCATCCTGGCTAATACAGTGAAACCCCGTCTGTACTAAAAAAAAAAAATACAGAAAATTAGCCAGGTGTGGTGGCAGGCACCTGTAGTCCCAGCTACGCGGGAGGCTGAAGCAGGAGAATGGAATGAACCCAGGAGGTGGAGCTTGCAGTGAGCCGAGTTAGCACCACTGCCCTCCGGCCTGGGCGAAAGAGCGAGACTCCATCACAAAAAAAAAAAAAAAAAAAAAAAAAAAAAAGATGTGCTAATGAGGATGGAATAGGGAGGATCCTTAAAAATTTTGAGGTTAAAAAAATAGAACATTTATTTTCTATTTCAATTATAAGCCCTTGTTAGAATTTGAAACACTTTTTTAAAATGGCCGTGATTTCGGCTAAATGGAATTACAACTTAAACGGGACAAACTAACAAGAGAAAGACATGATGAGAGAAGCACATAACTGCCATGAAAAGACACAACTTTACTACCAAATTAGCTTCATCTACTCCCTATTTGCCCCACTCCATTTGTAGAACTGCCTTTTCAGGACAGGAAGGTCCAGTTAGATGTCCTTTGGGTGTAAGAGAGTTGTCCTATACCATTAGGACTAGCCCTACCTCAGATTTATCCCATCCAAGTAAAATATTAAGTAGATGGTTTCTCTAATGCATGACAATGATGTGAAATTGTCACTATTTTGCAAGTGGAGCAAACTCACCCAATAAAGCAGTGGATAGCTGATGTATTTCTGTTAGCATGTCCATCATTAGCATTATTTCATTAAATAGTCACAAGCATACAGAAGGTATCATAAGAATTTATCAGTGGCTAATGCTGGAGACAATTCTGCCAGCAAAAGTCAGGAATATTTATGAAAGGACTTCGTAGTGATCAACTCTCCAACTGCAGAGGAAGAAGAATTCAGAATAGGTAAACA
The DNA here is from genome assembly GCF_000001405.40 of Homo sapiens. NCBI lineage: Eukaryota > Metazoa > Chordata > Mammalia > Primates > Hominidae > Homo > Homo sapiens. Next base: position 44,626,084 of record NC_000004.12, on the reverse strand, counting down.
ATTTTGAACATTAAAATAGCTATGACATTCTCCATTACCCTGATTAATTGTAAAATAAATATCTCTAAAATACTTCATAGATAATAGCATGGAGAAGGAAAAGTGGCAGCTAAAAAGCTCCTTCTCTCCTGAATCAATTTATCAGATCCTTCATTGTTTTTGTCTAATTCCCATGAAAACCAGAGACAGCCTATTCAACTTTTATCTAGAAGTTATGATCAGCATAATGTAAATATAAAAAATTAATGAATTTTTTTAACTGTAGCTTTGGTATTCTCAGATAGCAAACATTAAAATATCCTCTTCTGAAGTAATGGTACGCTGTAAGTAATAGTACTTACTTCTGAAGTAATAGTTCTCTGAATGAATTTATTGGGGCTTGTATTCACAAAACACTAGCTTTATGAGCAATGGCTGTTTTTATGAGTTTTCCTCAGAAGATTGGTAGTGTACTCCGAACACTACTAACTTCCTTTGACAGTACACCTTTTATAATTCATTACCAGTTAGTTTATATAAATCACCTTTTCATAAGGTGTGGTTAATCAACCTGGCAATAGGTATCATGAAACATAAAAGGATTCTGTGGTCAACTAAATGCTAAATTAAATAGGGTTAAATATGTGCCATTATTTTGGGATAGGACTTGTAAGAGTTCCCGTTGATGTTCAGGACCTAAATTTTAGAGCTGAAATACCTAGGTTAAAAGCCAACCTCCATTGCTTAGCGTTATATTACCTTGGGCAAGGTACTTATCATCTCTGCACCTCAGTTTCCTCATGTGTAAAGTTGGTGTAATAATGATACTGATTTCATAAGGTTGTTATGTGGATTACATAAATATATGTAGCACACTTAGAATGGGATCTGACATGGTAAACCCTGTAGGTGTTTGCTAATTTTACTAATATGCCTTGTAAATCTCCAAGACTAAAATTGGATTTTTTATTCCTCTGTTCAATCACTTATTTGTTTAATAAATATGGGAACAAAATATAGTCTTACTTATGCCTTGTACTCGTAATGGACAATTTAGAGTAAAAAATATAAGTCTAGAAATATTCAATCTTTTTTGTAGCACGCTTATCCCATCCTAACTCTAGTCAGAAGTGTTTGTTTTCAGAATCTGAATTCAAACCATTGGCCATGTTTTTCCCAGAACTTCCAGTCTCCTGATGACAGTCCTACAAAGACATGGAACAGCACTGAACTGACTCTAAGATGCTCTCTGCTTCATGATATTCAGATTTCCTCTCGGTGTCCATTGTGTGTTCAAACTGTTTTTTCTTCACGTCGTTTCAGGCAGGAAAAGTTCAGTTTGGTTATGTGTATGGCATGAGTGCCATTGGCTGCCTTGTGATTCATGCCTTGCTGAACCTGATGAGCTCTTCAGGGGTGTCGTACGGCTGTGTGGCCAGCGTGCTGGGTTACTGCCTGCTCCCCATGGTCATCCTGTCTGGTTGCGCCATGTTCTTTTCACTGCAGTAAGTGTCTGTGTGCTCTCAATGACCCCACATGCACAATCATAGCCAAGGTTTGCCACAGCCATGAAAAAGTTGAGCCCTTCCTGATTGTTTTGGTAGTGGAACTGGGAAAACCATGGCTATTAAAAGCTACTCATAGATTAAGAAAAGTAGGTTAGTTTTGGCCCAGGTGCTGTTCTTACTTCAATTACTTAAAAAATAAATTAATCCAAGTTATCTTTAAAACTGACACTTTTTGGCCAGGCGCAGTGGCTCATGCTTGTAATCCCAGCACTTTGGGAGGCCGAGGTGGGCGAATCACCTGAGGTCGGGAGTTCGAGACCAGCCTAACCAGCGTGGAGAAACCCCATCTCTACTAAAAATACAAAATTAGCCAGGCATGGTGGCGCAGGCCTGTAATCCCATCTACTCGGGAGGCTGAGGCAGGAGAATCGCTTGAACCCAGAGGCGGAGGTTGCAGTGAGCCGAGATCGCACCACTGCACTCCAGCCTGGGCAACAAGAGTGAAACTCCACCTCAAAATAAAAAAAAAAAAAAAAAGAGAGAGAGAAAAAAAAACTGGCACTTTTTAAGTTGTCAGATTTTTCAATGTGAACTATTGTCATGTGTAAAATAAGAACTACAGGAACTTCACTTGTTTGATTTTGGAAGAGTAAGTGCCTGGTGAACACTGATAAATTGCTTCAGCTTTCAGGCACTCTGCCTTCTGGGCTGAAAACAACTATTCTTTCTCAGCTGGGCTCTTTGCCACGTAGAATTCCCAGGAACCCTGATGAGGATATTAATGTTGGAGAACTTTATATCATACATGCTCAGTCAATATGTTTTTTTCTTTTTTCTTCCTTAATTTAGGCAATTAGTATGTGCAACTCAAGACCATTACTAAGAATACAGTACATTAAACAACTCTAGAAATTATCCCTAATAGGTTTTATTTAAATCAATAAATGTAGTACTTATTTGGTGTTTTAAAAATATGTTTGTTTTATTAATGGTCTGAGGCATTAGAAGCTATACTGTGGAGCTTTTCACTTGTTTTGCTTTGGTTCAATTATTAGAAGCAGATATTTCTATCATTTTCACAAATAATAAACATAATTCCCAACTTCAGTGTCAAACCAAGATCAAGTAAGGCAGTTTAGTTTGGTGGTGAAAAGAGTACTATGCTAGGAGAGATCTTGACCTATTGTCCACTTTGCCATGCAATTTTTATCATCACTTTATGCTTTAAAACTGGGCAGTAGACATCTCCTGAGATTTCTCCCAGCTCTTATGTCTTATTTTTCTAAATAATGCATTCTATTTAGCACATAAGAAAGGAAATTCACTCTCGACCACCCTTCCTGCCTTATTACTCTCCAAGTGACTAGACTTAACTATCTTATTTGCTCACTTGCCTCCACAGTTACTTTTTGAAGACACCGGTTGAACAAATCTATTTCAGCATTCTAAAAATATACAAAATGGAACTTCAAGGATGAGGTGGGAAGCCACACACATATGTGCTTTCCTGTCCCATGTGTTCCTTACTTGAGCTGTGTCAGGCTTTTTGTGACGTCCGACAAAAACCTGAAAAGTAGATCTGGAAGTAGTGGGAACTAGGCACCCCACTGGAATGTAACTCTGTCTATCTTTCTCCTACGCTGTTGGCCAATTTTTGAGGAAAGTAGGGAAAAGGAAATCTGTAGCTATAAGGAAGTGAAGGCTCTCAATGCTGTATTTAAGGGAATTTTAGGAGTTAGGATTTGAATATTGACAGATGAGAACAGAGTGACTGCAGGTGACTTCTACTGTTTTTTTCTAATTCAGGTTTAACAGAAATATAAAATATTTAGTCTCTGTAATGAATTTGACTAAAAAATGCCTAACTGGCCAAGGGCTTTTGTTCATATATTTTATCATTTTCATTTTACCACTCGGGAAAGTAGTTATAAATATTGTGCCAAGGATATTTCAGAGGCAACTTTAACTCAATAATCTCTTTTCTACTGGCACAGGCAATCATTTCTTTGTCTTTGCTGCAGGGGCATCTTTGGAATCATGTCATCCCTGGTCATCATTGGCTGGTGTAGTCTCTCAGCTTCCAAGATCTTCATTGCAGCCTTGCACATGGAAGGACAGCAGCTTCTTGTTGCCTACCCTTGTGCCATACTTTATGGACTTTTTGCCCTCCTAACAATTTTCTAAAGAATGTTTGAGATGGCATTTCAAGACTCTGTTTGCTGTCCAGATTATTTTGGAAATATATTAACATTCAAATTTGGTGATATGATTTCTGTTTTATTGCTTTTGAGAGAGTAATAAGCAGAGAGACAAAGCAGCACTTAAGGGTGGTGCTCTAATAGCCTGTTGGTTTGAATGATGTTTTGCTTTTGAGTTTGGTGCATTAAAACATTTCAAAATACTTAAAATCAAAAGGGATACAGTTGCTGTACTGATCAACCCTGCTTTTCTCAATAGAGGTATTTCTGAGAAAAGTAAGTAAATAAACTCATATGTTTACTAAAAGGAAATCTCTAGTAAGCCTTTTGAGAAACTTTCATGACAGCTCAAGCTGTGTGCATGTGGCTAAAAACTGCACTGTTCTGCACCTTTGGAGAGTTCAGGGGTATGTTATATAGGGTTTTATTTACCTAAAGAATCAAAGAAACTCTTGCCTTTCAATTCACTTCTTTAATAACTATTCTTCAGTCTCATTTATATAATGCATTGACTCACCACTTTTTCAGGCCCTCACTTCCTTCTTACTTGGTTTAGATGCCATGGTTCATTACTATAATTTCTTTCTTGCATGTATCCTCAGCAACCTTGCCATTTTCTCCCTAAGTAGGTGAATGTTAATAGAAGAAATCCCACTTACTTCATGTTTATTGTATTACCATGTCTTAAATGGCTCCTCAGTACTACCCTTGAATCCCACTACATTCTCTTAAATTTGCCTCCATGCTATCTGAGATGAATATATCCCACCAATTCTTCACTGCTGAAATCCCCAATACTCCTTCCTCATTTTCTACTGTTTGTTGATTCTTATTTTATTGCAAAACAGAAACATCTAGAAGAAAAGTGCTTGTCTTCTCACTTTCTTCCCTCTCAACATACATGCATCTTAACCCATATATACTCTTCTTTTCCTCTCATCTCTCTCTTCTCTCCACAGCCAGCCCCTCCACCTGCATAACCCATATTTTCTCATCACCTATCATTTATGTCAGCACGTGAACATGTTTCAATATCTCTTACCTTAAAATAAAACTCCTTTGATTTAACATCTTTCTCCAATTATGGCTCATTCTCTGCTCCTTTTTATTGCAAAAATTCTTGAAAGAGTTTTCTATTGTCTCTGCTTCTACTTTATCATCTCCCATTCTTGCTTTCCTACATTCCAGGCAATAATTTATCATCCTATTCACCAAGACCCCTTTGTCAAGTTAGCAACAATGCCCACATCTTGCAACATTCAATGGTCAATTCTCAGTTTCATTTTATTTGAACCCTGACAGGTATTTATTTGATTACCCAATCTCCATTAGCCACTATGCTGAAGCACTTCTTCACTTAAATTCTAGAGTGTCACATGTTCTTGAATTATTTTCCTACCTCACAAGTAGCTTCTTTTCAGTCTCCTTGGCTGATCTTTCTTCTTCTTCTCAGACTTAAATCTCTTCTCTAATTCTCCCCTGCTAGATGAGCTCATTTAATTGAATAACTTTAAAATCTAGTGACCCCCAAATTTCCATCTACATTCAATGCTCTTCCCTAAGCTCTTAACATATATACACAACTTATACTTAATATTTCTATTTGATCATTAATATGATATTCTCAATAATAGCATATCTGAAACCAAACCCTTGACTTCTATCCTGTCCTAGCTGTCCTTCTTCCATATTTTCTCATCTTTATAACAAGAACCACAAATCACTCACTGGTTCATTTGCAGAGTAGTCAGTCTTGATTACTCTGACTTTCACATCCAATATCTAGTCCATCAATTATTTTGACTATGTAATCAAAACATGTCCCAAACGTGACCGTGTGTCCTGGGCTCCTTCGTTGCCTGGGCTACTCTGAACCACCCTCTTCTGTTGCCTCACGGAAGCAATTTCCTAATGGCTTCCTGCTTCCACACTTTCTCCCCCACAAGCTTTTCCTCACACCGGTGTAATCCTTTGAAAATGAAAAGCAATTATGTCATCCCAAGGCCCTTTCATGGCTTTTATTCATATTTACAATAAAACTAAACCTCCTTTTTATAACTCAGAAGCTTCCTTTTCAGAGTGGTCCCCAGAATAACAGCATTAGCATCCCTTGGAAGCTTGTTAGGAATTCAGAATCTCAGGCCCTGGCCCAGACTTCCTGAATCAGAGTCTGAATTTTAAAAAGATTCCAGATGATTTACATGCACAGCTAAGTTTGAAAAGTGTGAGACAAGAAGGCCTTGCCTGCACGATCTCACTATGTCTTGCTTTTGTGACATCATCTCCTTCCATTCTCTCTCTTGGTCGCTGGTTTTATTGCTTCTTCTCAAACCACCAACTTTATCCACTTCAGGATCTTTATACAAATTCAGTCTACTTGCAACATTTTCCCCTCAGATCTTTCATATTATCAACGTCTCTGTTTATATGTTACCTCCTGAGAGAGGCCTTCACTGGCTTTTTTTTTTCAACAGTACATCCACCCAGATTTGCTCAGTCCACCCTCTGCAGTAGCTGTTACAATTATGTGAAATTATGTTATTTATTTGGATACTTGCTTTCTATCCTACCCCAACTCCGCAGAAAATAAACACTCTGAGGCCAAAGACCTTGTCTATATGCAACAGTTCATGATAAGGAATAGGAGATAAATATTTATTTATTCAATTAATGAATAAACAAACGAATGAGACTGTGATTGGGCATTGTTCACTATGGTGAATAAGATAGGTGATGGTTGCAGCCCTAATGGAAATACATTGGCAGTGGACAAAAATAAACAATATGCAATCAATTAATATGAGATAATTACAAAAGTATGAGAAGAATTCTAAGGTAGGAGTATGTTGAAAAGAAGGCAGGATTGTAGTAAACGTTAGACTGTTACGGTCTAATAACCCATTAATAGACATGTTAATTAGCACAGAATTTTCTTAAGTTCTTGGTCTTTCTATTTGGGCTGAGACAGTTCTACTGACATCCTTCATGGTGAAGCAAGAATTCCATTTATTGTAATGATTTCTCTATAAAATCACCCCTTTGCTTAGAAGTATACTTATATTATGGATCTTTTTTTTTTTTTTTTTTTTTTTTTTTTTTTTTTTTTTTTTTTGAGGCAGAGTCTCGCTCTGTCACTCAGGCTGGAGTGCAGTGGCGCGATCTCGGCTCACTGCAAGTTTCATCTCCTGGGTTCACGCCATTCTCCTGCCACAGCCTCCTGAGTAGCTGGGACTACAGGTGCCCGCCACCACGTCCGGCTAATTTTTTTGTATTTTTAGTAGAGACAGGGTTTCACCATGTTAGGCAGGATGGTCTCGATCTCCTGAAGTCCTGATCCGCCCGCCTTGGTCTCCCAAAGTGCTGGGATTACAGGCGTAAGCCACCGCGCCCGGCCTTATGGACCTAATTTTTTTTTCCTCTTTGGAAAGTGCTTTTACTTTTAAAAAGATAAAACTAAAAATTGCTCTAAATTCAGGATGTAAGTTGATGTTTTTCTATGTATAAAAACAGAGTCATACACAGAAAGGTTTGATATTCTTTACTATGAAAAATTATAGCCTCTATATTAAAAAATGGCATAAACTACTAAATATTTCCATAACAGTAAGAAATAAGAATACATTCTATTTAATAGTTCCTAATGACTGAGTTGTGAAATACCAAAGAATATATGTACAAAGAAATACAGATGATTTATATGAAAATAATTGCAAAACATTAGAGGTTTATTTTAAGGAGGTTTAAATTTACAGAAAGATAAACTATATCCCTGGATGAGAAGATTGGACTTCATAAGAGAATCTCCCCCAAATAAATGTGTATGTTTAATATAATCTCAGTTAAAATCCAAGAGGCATTTTTTTACAAAGTTGACAAATTGATTCTAAGGTTAATCTGAAAAATTAGGCAAATATATAACAGTGAAGAATTGGAAAAAAATCTAAAAATTTATTACAATTGTTAGTTAAGTAGATTATTGTTCGTCTCTGCAATTGAATGCTTGGTAACTAACAAATGTTTTGGAAGAATCATGACAAGAGAAAATGCATGCAGTAAGTTTTCACAATTTTGATATTTACTGAGGATTTACCATGAGTTGGCCTAGATGCTTTACATTTATTAACTCATGTTTAATCCTCACTGTAATTTTATGAAGTGCAATTATCATCACCTCCATTTAATAGGTGAGGCTACTGAGTTACAGAGAGGCTAAATCACTTGCCAAAGGTTACACAGCCAACGACTAGGATTTGAATAAAGGAAGTTTGATTCCAGAGCCCGTAATCACTACATAACACTGTCTGTAACTAAGCAGTAGTGTGTCTACTTTTCATTCTACTAGGGTTTATCCTTTCTTTTTCATCTTGGCCAATACTAGACAGGGCCAATGGGCTTTACCTACAAGGGAAAAATAATACTGTAATAAGATAGAAGAATCCAGAATGTCTAAGTGGATTATAGTGGTACCTGTATGACTCCTGGGTCCATGTATGAACTGTAATTTAAATGAATGATGCACATTTATATCTAGTTAGCATTTGCATAAAACATTTCACAAAATATTGTCTGTTCCAATTCCAACAGGTGTATACATTGTATGGATTTGAGTGGAATGAAGATATTTTCCTTTTAAATTTATTATATACTTTGTGAAATGTATCTGCAGTCATTAAAATCTGTTACAGAACAAATGAGAAAGTAAAAGAAAACACATTTGGGGTGCACAACAAGAAATATATCTTTTTTTTCCTTTATCTGAGGATGTAACATTTTCCATTTTTCTGTCTTTACTGGTTGGATGAAAGTTACAGATTATTGCTAAGGGTAAATGGCACATTTAGTGGCAAGAGATGGCCTTCATTTCAACAGGAATGATTGGGGACATGGTCTGAAAATAAAAGTCCTGAATTACTCAGACTCAAGTGCCCCAGTTCACAACAGTTTAACTAGGGCAGTGGCCTTTGTCACATTTGATGACAGATGCTTTTCTACTCTGCTCTGACTCCAAGTGAGGGATGCCAACTGTAAACCCACATTGACAAGCTTCTGCTCCTCTTATTCTCAGAGCATTGTAGGTTCTATTCTGTTTCTCCTACACAGTCAAGAGGCTATAGCTTTCCAAATAGATTTTCATATTTGAGTAAAAGTATGGAATAATTTTTTTAAATTTAAAAAGCCAACCAGTCTGTGTCACAGAGAATCCTTGATGATGGTGACCAAATACATATTTTCAGAAAAAAAATGATTTTTTTGCGTGAAGGTAGGATTCATGGGCTTTTATGCTGCTGATTAGACATGCAGAATGGTGAAAATATCTTGAACAGAGACTTTGACATAGAAGAAAAGAAGGAAAGAAGTAAAGCAGGAAGGAAGGAGAAATCACTCAGTCCTAGGTTATCATCCCAGCACTGCCTGCAAACAATTTGCTGTATTTGAGACCATTACGTAGATTTTTGAATTTCATTTTCTTTACATGGAAAATGAAGTGAGTAATGTAGAGTTTGCAAGGGCCTTGTGAGGACTAAACAAGATGCTGCATATAAATTACCTAGCCCAGAGCCCTGCATATAGTAATTACTCAGTAAGTGGAAACTTGCCACAGCTGTAATAGATCCTCAGGGATAAGATTTTAGGAAAGTCTATTTGCTTTTCCATACTATCATGAATACAATTATGGGTAAAATATGATGACCTTAACTGACATACAGACTTAATGGAAAACAATTATTTTGGCATGGTGGTGCAACTGGTGAGGGAGATCATGTCAAGGTCAGCTAAACTTTTTGTTAAGTATTACTAGAAATATTAACACAATTTTATGAATTTGAGAGAAGGTCGTTTGTTGGAGTTTCATTATTTGGCTGCCAGGCATTTGAATATTTTATATTGAAGGCATTTTCCATATCCTAAAGCAGGCAGTTATTCCCTCTCTCTGATCTCTGGCAGCTAGTGGCATATGAAATAGGATCAGCCAATTTGATCCTTTTGTTCAGCACCTGGAATCCTGATAAAATGATACAAGGGCAGAGGAGCAGTTAGAAATATTCACGGAAGCTGAAGGGCAGATTCTAGGAGTGGTAATAACTATGCATATGTAGTTGGGTCCACATCTGTAGAACGAATTGAACTTCAAGACTTGGGCTGTATTCTCTACCCAGTCTCTCTTGGATGGTGCACTTTTAGCAAGCTCTGTCCTCTTTCCTTATGGTTGATTCTATGATCTAGCCTATATCCTTCTTATAAATCCTATCTCTTTTTATATTAACTATAGCCAACTTCTGTTGTTTGCATACAAGAACTCCTAAAGTGTTGGTAGACTAATTAACATTTCCTCTCTTGGCATCACCAAACTTTTGGAGGGCATATTAGGTTATCATAATAGAGAAGATTGAAATACATGTTATTCTTTACATTATCTGAGAAGACACAACTATTATATTGTATGTAGCACTCACAAGCAGAACATTTAGCACCTAGACTGTCACTGTAGAGGTATTTTTATCACACAGAACAACATAAACATGACACTTGAAACCGACTGTAATTTGGGGAGAGATTTTTAGTAACTAGAGTATAATTTCCATACTCTGGGAATTAAGAACTTGTACATTATTTGTCCCAGCTGCAAATCTTGTGAGACAGATTGAAGATGGTATTTGCTGGTGTATAATGTGGTTCAGAGATGAGCCTTGCTAGAAGGAAAGCAGCATGTGAGGAAGAACATGTTGACTATTTCACTGAGGCAGAATCCAGGGCAAGAGCAGCAGGAATGACAGTGAATACCAGCCAATGGCAGAGCAGTCCAAGGGGCTCCCACTGACCCAGTGACAGGGCACATAGATCCTCAGTTGCTGCCTGTTACCAGTGGAATCATCATCTACAGGTGCTGCAATCTGTCTTGCATTTTAAAATGTGAACACTGGGGAATTCATCCCAATTTAATAAAAAGCGTGGGATTTGTAGATAAACAACCATTCTGAACTTCCCTCAAAGGGGTCATTTATTGAACCAATAGGGGTGAGAGAAGCCAGTACAACAAGTATAATCAAGGTTGTTCTTGTGTCAAAGGCATATTCGAGGAACTCTTACAGAATGCTTTCAAATTTCTGGGATTTGCTTAGAATGCGATTTTTAAGAGAGACCCCAATGTGCCATTTCGTTTCTGTGTTTAATATTCTTTATTTGCCAAGGGAGTTTGTTGGAGGGAGTCTAAAAAAACTTATAGAATGAGCAAGCATATTTTTATTCCTAGCATTATTTTTGTCAACACTGACTACAAAAGCATTTATTTCCTATCTATTTGGATATGACCCTGAGCTTGTCCCTCTGCAACAAGTCATAGAGCCTGATCTAATGCTTCGCATACCTATAACCTTTACCCTATGTATCTGCCCTGGATCATCACTGCTATCAAGAAGCATTGCTTAATTAAAATGATAAATCAGAAATGTAAATAACTCTTCCCTGATGAATCATATGCATTAATGTTAATCTTAGAAATCAACTTCTAGCAAGATTTCCCAAGTTAAATTCCTTTCATCAAAATTCCTTTTTTAAAAACCTCTCATCATTCATAAACTTGGATAAAATAAATCCTTTAAATAGCCATTAGTATTGGCTTAAACATTATATTTTCATGGATTATTATGTTTAAATAATGAGAAGTTCTATTTACTAATCTTTGCTTTCAGTCGCAACTTGAACTAATCTTGAGAAAATTCCTCTTAACTTGAGCAGAATGAACTCATCCAGAATATTTTAAAATGTCTTCAGAACCATCCTGGTTCCAGCACACAGCTTTATAAGGCTTCAGAATTAGTAGCCCTTTGGTTGTGAAAAACTCCTAAGTGACCCAGAGCTGCCAAAACGAGGCTTCTGCCTCATTTTTGGGTGTGCATATAATCCTCTGGGTCAGTGGTGTTTTTTTCAGATTCTTCCACTCTGACTTTCTACTTTTTTTTCTTTCCATGGGTAGAAGGAGAAAAAAATATTATGTATGTATATAATAGGTTTGAAGGAAGGAGCTAAAGAACTAATATATAATAGGCACCTATTACTTCAGTGCTTTACATAAAATGTCTCATTTCATCATCAGAAAAAGCAGTGAGACATTATTTTAAAGAAGAATCTAAACGAAGAGAATATGATGCCCTTTTTCTATGTTCCTATGGCATCCTGTGTCTACCCCTATTGGAGGTATTATAACACTGTATTGAAAAATCTACTTATTTGTCTACATCATCCATGCAGTTTAAGTGTCTTGAGTATACTGTATTCTATCAGCTTGCTGGGACATCCATAACAAAGTACCACAGACTGGGTGCCTTCAACAATGGAAACTTACTGTCTCACAAGTCTAGAGGATAGAAGTCTAAAATCAAGGTGTCAGCAGGTTTGCTTTCTTCTATAGCCTCTCTATTTGGCTTGCGGATGGCCCCCTTCTTGCAATGCATAATGTCTGCCCATATGACTTCATTTTACTTTATTTACCTCTTTATTTTATTTTATTATTATTATTTTTTGAGACAGAGTCTTGCTCTAGCCAAGCCTGGAGTGCAGCAGCATGATCTCAGCTCACTGCAACCTCCACCTCCTAGGTTCAAGCAATTCTTGTTCCTCAGCCTCCCAAGTAGCTGGGATTACAGGCACCTGCCACCGTGCCCGGTTAATTTTTGTATTTTTAGTAGAGATGGGGTTTCACCATATTTGCCAGGCTGGTCTTGAACTCCTGACCTCAAGTGATCCACCTGCTTCAACCACCCTAAAGTGCTGGGATTACAGGCGTAAGCCACAATTATCCTGTTTAAAGGCCCTGTCTCCAAATGAAGTCACATTCTCAGTTACTGAGGGTTAGAATTTCAACGTATAAATTTCGGGGTGCAGGGAACACAAGCAAGCCTATAGCACTGTCCATATTGAATCACTTTTATATCTTCGCCATCAAGCATAGAAAAGGGTGTATATTGGACACTCAGTGAAAAAAGGCTGATGCCAAAAGTAGTGCTTATTTCTATCATATGACCTTTTCATTCAAGTCATTTTCTAATCTCTTTCTCAATCTGCTACAGCTTCTTTCCCATACCCCTTATAACTTTCTGTACTTCTCATAGCATCTCTCAAGGAAAAATGGCCACTGCCATCAATTCCTTTCCTCTCTGTACACATGGCCCTCTCCCCCTCTTGAATCTCAGCTGCTTGTACCTAATTTGACTAAGAGAATAGTTGAAAATGACATTGTGAAACTTCTGAGTCCAAACTTTAGGAAGACTGGCTGCTTCTGCTTCCTGGATTTTGAAGTCTTGAACTACTTTCTAAGAAGTTCAGGCTCCTCTGCTGAAATGAGACTCCACATAGAGGAGCGGCAAACTGAGGTGCTGGAAACATCAGTGAAGAAGACATCTTGGACAGATAATATCTACCTTGAGAAAATAATACTGATAGGAACTATGATCAGAATTACTATCTCCCCTTGAACCCTCTCCCTTGACAACACAACTACTTCTAGGCCCTTTTGACTTCACTGAAGCCCCTGCTTCCATTTTACTACCTTGAGGATGGATAGATTATCATAACGATAGAGAATTATTTCACACTAGCCCAGTGTATACAGTAGGCAGTGAGGGCAGTCTTGTCTTCTGTCCTTTCCCAAGATGCTAGCTGGCTCAGTTGTAAGGGAACTCCAAGTCTCTAAACAATTTAATAAAATTAATGCATTTTTGGGACAACTTTTGCACTTCTAACAAAAAAACCAATTTCATATAATTTGAAATCTATTCACTGGAGCAACCATCCACAGAATGGTTCTCAACTATTCTTGAACCTGAAATGTCTGTTCAGAAGCAATTGCTACTGTCAACATTTCTTGTATGATTTTAATGAGAAAAAAAATTAAAAGCAGATTCTCCATTCGGCCAGTCATTAATCACTGCAATGATAGGTGGGAAGTAAATTAACTGATACTATAACCTCTTCTCCTTCAGAAGCTAAGTAATCATAAAGGTACCACAGGAAAATTGGTTACATCTGAACACATTTCTAAAGAAGTGATGATAATTAAAAATGTTAAAAATCAAAGTTTTAAACATTTATTTTAAACGTAAGACATCCTGAGAACTTCAAGTGTAGAGACAGTGCTGCAATTCTCATCTCTTCATGTCACTTCCTGTGTGCTGCTCAGGCCAGGCCACCTCCTGCTCCAGGGCACCCCTCTGCATCCATTGAAGACTTAGGATCCTTATTGTGTTCTGCTCTTTCCTCAAATGTTGGAGTCATCCCAAAGGACCTGCAGATCCATGTAGACTGTATGTCCTGCATCATGTCTTCCAAGCATCTCCATGACTGCAGCTTTCGATACCCCAGCTACCCTCTGGACTTTTCTGTTTCCTAGAATTGCTTCAAGAAAAATCGCATTAGGATTCTCAGTCCCTCAGTTCCTTCATTTTACTTCAGTGTTCCTCTCCCATCCTAACACATATAATTTTTGTTTCTATCCAGGGCAGATAACATGGTGTCACACTCTCAACTCCCTAAGACTTTTGCCCTTCTGCCAACTTGTTTTGCTAAACGTCACACAGCTTAAATTGAAACAAACTCTTGGTTTCCTAATTCCCCGCTTGGTCTGATGGTTGCTGCTGGACAACTGTTGAATCACGCAACCTATACAGATGAGTTTGATTTCATATTTGTAAACCAAAATATCAAATGAATTTTCAAAGCAACTCAATAAGTAAAATGTATTTATTATAGAACTCATAAAAGCAGACAAGCAAACAAAAACAGTGTGGAGAAAAAAAGGCACCCACAATACCATCACACAGAAAAATGGTGACCAACTTTTTGGTGCTTTTCTTCCCAATCTTATTTTTATGCATATAACAGGAATAATGTTCATGTTATCTTATAAAATACCCCTTAATATTATAAAATGCACTTAGGTAATGTCACAGAATTGATTTTCAGTGTCTAATTTTTCATGGCTCCATATTATTCCTCTTCTTAGAAGAAACATTCTATTATTCATCTTTAACTTTCCCTTACTGGTGGTTATTTAGATTATTACTGATCAGCAACTCTAACTTTTTATTTAGAATGCGTTTCTAAAGATAGAATTAGGGAGCAAAAGAAAATAACAGTTTAAGGTTCTTGATGCACTTTGACAAATCAATTTTGAAAAAAGTGAGAACAATAGATTCCAACGACAGTGGAACAACTGTCTTGTCCTGTACTTGGCACGCTGAGTAGCTTATATAACCAAATGTGAGACCATACATGATCAGTGACCAAAGTAGCTCTGATAGCACTTAAAATTCTTCAAGTGAGTAAAAATCAGATATATGTGTGTTTCATCTCTGTGATTACTAGTAAGATTAAGTTTTTCATTTTATAAGTTTCTTAACATCAATTATTTTTGTGAATTACCTGTTCACAGTTTTAAAGGAATCATTTGAACTATTCCTGACCATCTCATTTCCAATTCCACAACTTTCAAGTTTGCTTCCTATATTTTAGGTGGTATTTAGTCTGTCTGGCAAAAATATTCCCTCTTCTTTATTCCCATGCACTGTCTTTTGTACTGTGCTGGTTTATTTATGAGCAACTCAGATTTATTTTCCCATTTTTTGCCTGTTACTTTATATCACATGAGCTAGAACCCTGGGGATTATATTTACTTAAATTCCACTAGCTGGATTTCAGGTAAAATTTCAATACAACTTTTATGCAATATGTGGTAGGCCAAAAAGAAGCAGAAACCATCATTCCTCATAAGCAGCAGTGGCCACACATATCGGCTTTGGCCGAAGGCAAATGTGAGGTTTTTCCACCTTCTGGTGTTTTCTTGCCTGCCTTCCAGTTTGGTGCTACAGGCAGCTGAGATTATCACTGGCATTTTTCTACAATACCCATATAATTAAACTCTTGAATGCTAGCAGTTTCCCTGTAAGGGGTCCAGCTCAACTCCCAAATTCTATGTGTGATCTTTCAGTCTAAACCACAGGCAAGGGTGGAGAGGCCTCCTAGGGGGAATTTTCCCTCCCACACCAGACTTGTTGCATTGCCAGTCTATTGTAGTTTTCTGGAGGGAACTGCAGTCAAGGAATCAGGCTCCCCAGGACTAGCCGTGATCTTTCATGGAGGCACTTTTATTAGGCCCAAGGGGTCTTCATCACTTCCCAGGCACCTCCTCCCAGACCTTAGTAGAGGACTTGCCTAAGGCACTTCTCTCCGTTTTGACTCCATAACTTCCAGCTCCTATTTCTTCCCCTATGACTCCCCAATAGGTTTTCCTTGCCTGCTGCCCAGATAAAGCCAATTTATCAAGGCAGGGGAATTGTAATAGAGAAAGGGTTTGATTCACACAGAGCCCACTGAATGACAGACCAGGGTTTTATTACTCAAATAAGTCTCCCTGAAAACTTGGAGACTGGAGTTTTTAAAGGCTAATTTGGTGGGTAGAGGACAGGGAGTAGGGAATGCTGATTGGTTGAGTCAGAGATGAAATCATAGGAGGTCAAAGTGTGTTCTTGCTGTCTTCTGTTTCTGGGTTGGATCACAGAACTGATTAAGCCAGATTGCCAATCTGTGTGGCACCAGATGGTGTATCAGAATGCAGGGTCTGAAAAATATTTCAAGCATCAATCTTAGGTTTTACAATAGTGATGTTATTCCTAGGAGCAACTGGGGAGGTTCAGAACCTTGTGGTCTGTGGCTTTATGACTCCTAAGCCATAATTTTTAATCTTATGGCTAATTTGTGTTACAAAGGCAGCCTGGACCCCAGACAAGAAAGGGGTTTGTTTCAGAAGAGAGCTGTTATCATCTTTGTTTCAAAGTTAAACTATAAACTAAATTCTTCCGAAAGTTAGTTGGCCTATGCCCAGTAATGAACAAGGACAGCTTGGGAGCTTAGAAGCTAGACGCGGTCTGTTAGTTCAGATCTCTTTCACTGTCATAATTTTTGGAGTCCCTCCGTTTGACTCACAAATCCATAAAGAGGCAGAAGCATTTTGTTTGGGACTCCTCAGTAGTGATATCATGCCCACCATCTGGGCTGCATCCACCTGGTTCTTGCCCAGTTGAATTTCTAGAGGAAAAGTGGAACACTGAGTAGCAAGTGTCTGCTTATGCTCAACCCTGTGATCCTTGTTTCACTGGGCTCTAATATGCTGAGTTAAATCTCTTTCCATATCAAATATCTAGAGATGTTTCTTTTGTTCTGATAGAAACTTTACTGAATCTATTACTTTTAATGGCAAAAACCACAATTACTTTTGCACCAACCTAATAGTATTTCTTCTTTTTCATCCACTTTACAGGGAGAAATGTTGCATTTCCTCCTCAAGGTTAATAATTCATTCTCTCAGTCATTAATTTATTTAAACATGTTTACTGCACATCTGGTACTATGTAATAATCACTGGCACTCTTGTTAGTTCCTAAGAATACAAGATGAAGACGATCTGGTCTATGACTTCAAGGAGTTCTTGTCTCATTCAGGAGAGATAAACAGACACATCATTACAATTCACAAGTTAACACAGGGAGCTATTGGGAAGCAGAGGAAGGTTACCCAATCCAGTCAATGGTTAAGTATTTACAGAGAAGTTGATATTGTGACACAGAAAAAAATCATACCATGAAAACGTGTTGAATAATGCTGAATAGAGATGGTAGCTTGCCAGAGGATGTGAAGCTGAGGAGAAGAAGAAGGAGAAAAGAGGGGAAATGTAATACAGCCAGAAGAGAGTGGAGATCTTCAGCCAAGAAAAAGAAATGACAAGCACTACGTGTGCAAAAACTGTGGGCAGTTCTGTGTTGCTTGACTATAAAATATCAAATAGAGGAGGGAGAGATGACCATGGAAATGAGGTGGTGGCCGAAGAGTTTGGGCTTAATCATGAAGGTAATCGGAAGTTATTGGAGGATTTTATCCGAGAAGCTGTCAACTAAAAAAAATAAATTTCTTGAGCAATTTTAATTAAGAAGATCTTCATCATTATTAAGATTTGCTGTAACACAATGCTGAGAAAACCAAGAATTCTTACAGGCTTCCAGGCAACTTCCCATGAAGAAGAAGGATGTTTAGGCATGGGAGATGATGTAAATAGGACTAGCAGGAAAAGGCTTTGGCTTCAGACTCTTTGGTTATCAAATAATCTAACGAATTAAAATAGTAATGCCATACTATTTCACCTCTACAACTAGCATAGATAAAAATGTTAATCCTTATGAGGGTACGATGAAGTAGACACGCAGTAACTATTGCAAGCTTCTGTGGAAATCAATTTAATGATATGCTCTGAGAGCTTCAAAATGCTCATACCTTTTGACCCTTTAATTCCACTCTTGTGGATTATGAATGCAGACAATGATTATCACTACCGAGTGGAAAATAAAACAGCAATAACTTATGTTGCTGTAAAGAATAAATGAGATAATGCTTGAAAAGTGCCTGTACTACTGCCAGGACACAGATGAGTTCAGGGAGTGCAAGGAGTCACTCTTCGTTTGCATCTTGATTTTTAAAGTGCTTATGCATTAAATAAATAGTGAGCAAACCACAGTATGTATTGACTGCCCACTGTGCACTAGTCTCCATGCCAATTGCTGAGCCTATAATAGTAAATATGGTAGGCTTTGTTCTTACCCTTATGATATTTACAGTCTAATGGCAAAAACAGGCTCCAAGTAAATAATTTGTACAAAATATTACATATGTGTGTCTGCATATACACACAGAGATGATTAAGGAAATGAACATGGTGTTATGAGAGAAAAACAGGAGAGATTAAATTTAGAGAGGAAGGTGCAGAGCAGCACTTGCTGAAAGTAGGGACCTTGTTACACACTAAATTGTGTTCTCCCAAATTCATATGTTGAAACCTTAACCCCCAGTGTCACTGTATTTGGAGATAAGGAGGTAATTAAGGTTAAATGAGGCCAGAAGGGTGGGTGGTACTGTAATCCAATTGGACCATTCTTTAAAAGAGGAAGAGACATGAGAACCCTCTGTCTCCTGGAGGATGCACACGGTGAAAAGGCCAGCCGAGGGCACAGTGAGAAGGAGCGGTCTAGAAGCTGAACAGAGAGGCCTCACCAGAAACCAAACCTACTGGTACCTTGATCTTTCACTTGACTTTGAGGAAATAAACTTCTGTTTTTGAAGCCACACAGTCTGTGGTATTTTTTATGGAAGCCCCAGAAAACTGAAGGATGGGAGGAGATGGCTATATGCAGAAGGGCATTTCCAGGGAGAGAGAACAACAGACACAGCCCTGGATGCTGAAAGGATCTTGGTGTGTTTGGACAGCTGAAAGAAAAGCAGTATGCCTAGAATCTTATGTATCCATTATGAATATTTCTGAAACATCTTTGGGAAATGAGGCCACGATGTCATCACTAGCTACAGCAATAAATAGATTTCGCTTCTGAGGACCTGAGTTTTGGTTCAAAAGAGTACAATGTAATGGAGATAGAAAGAAGAGGCCAATGTTCTACAGGCTAGAAGAGTGTGAGGCACTGGTAACCACTAAGTGATTTCAACCTTTGTATATTACAGATGTCAAAACCAAAACTCAGAAACACTAGACGTGTTAACAGGGATTAAAGAAAAAAACGACATACTAGCTAATGTTAGACATGTTTAAGAACCCAAGTCTCTTATATTCCTTACAAGTGCCTTAAGCAAGCCCATTAAACTAAACCAAATTCCCTCTCTCAAACTGATGTCTCATAATTGAGCACCAAACCTGGATTTCTAGAAAAATGATCTGCATGGGGTCTGAATAATTCTAAGGAAAACAGAAACTGCAAGCTAAAAGAATTAGCTATAAATTATCTTGAATGTATTTGCCTCTATATTCTTAGCAGTATTGACCAAGCCCTGTTTGAAGGTTCCAGGACTGCAGGTTTATGAAGTAGATTGCTGGTAAGTGTTTAACAACCAGCTCTCTAGGGGCAGAGGACTGCCCTGAATCTATAGACGGAAAGTTTGCATCACTTCAGATTTCGTATGTTGAAATCCTAATTCTCCATGTGATGATATTAGGAGCTGGGGCCTTTGGGAGGTTATTAAGTCATGAGGGCAGAGCTGTCATGAATGGGATTCATGCCCTTGTGAAAGAGAGAGCTCCCTTGTGCCTTTTGCCATGTGAAGGCACAAAGAGAAGATATCCATAAGTAAGGAATCAGGCTATCACCAGACACCACATCTTCTGGCCACTTGATTTTGGACTTCCCAGCATCCAGAATCTAGCAAATACAATTCTGTTGTTTGTAAGCTATGCAGTCTATGGTAGTTTGTTACAGCACCCTGAACAGTCTGATATTGTTCAGTCTCTAGCATCAGGGTTCCTCTCTGCCTTCAGAGAGGTAGTTCTTAAACATTTAACAGCAAACCACTTCATTTTTGGCTGCTTGATTTTCTGGTCTGTAGCATTTGAATATTTCTGTGGGGTTAATATGCTCATTAGGATTGATTTGGTTGATTTCAATGTGATACCACTGAAGCAGAGTTGGAAACAGATGCTCAGTAGTAGCATACCATTATATAGCACTTTCACTGTAACCATTAGTTCTCACAAGCCTGGATGACCCAGCCCCAATTACACTATTGTCAATAAAAGTGTGACTCTAGTGCTTGCATGTCTAAAAACTCTGGTATATTTTCTCTTCACCACTGGGCATTAAAACTAGTGCAACTCATACAACTTGCCAGATGTATGTAAAAACCAGGACAAATGGTACTTTTTTGATGTTCCATCTCTTCAACTTTGTAGCACAATGTAAGTTTCTCTCTGCCTGGTAGATAGGCAAATGCTGGATCTGTTTAGAAAGACATTGCCTTCCTTTGCGAATTTCTGTGTCTTCCAAAAGTAGATTAGAAAGTGGGTTAAAGCTGGGCATGATGACTCATGCCTGTAGCCCCAGTACTTTGAGAGGCCTAGACGAGAGGATCACTTGAGGTCAGGAGTTTGAGACCAGCCTGACCAACATGGTGAAACCTCCTCTCTACTAAAAATACAAAAATTAGCCGGGTGTGGCGGCACATGCCTGTAGTCCCAACTACTTAGTAGGCTGAGGCAGGAGAATTGCTTGAACCCAGGAGGCGGGGGCTGCAGTGAGCTGAGATCATGGTACTGCACTCCACCCTAGGCAACAGAGTGAGACTTCGTCTCAAAAAAAAAAAAAAAAGTGGGTTGAAAAATTCCTATATTCAATTACATTCTTAGAAAGATATGAGGTCTAGGACATTAATATGTAGAGCAGATATAGGTAAAATTGATACTTGGTCACCCAAAACTTACTCCCAACCTTTTTCCTCCATGCAGAGCTGAAATTTTATTCTGGTTTTATGTTCACCTACCATAGACTGAATGTTTGTTAAATATTATGCAGATGTTAAATCCTGATGCAGAATGTGACAGTATTTGGAGGTGGGACTTTTGCCAGGTGCTTAGGTCATGAGGGTGGAGCACTCATAAACGGGATTAGTGTCCTCATAAAAAAGACTCCAGAGAGTTTGCCTTCTTTTCTGCCATATGAGGACACAGAGAAAAGATGGCCATATGTGAACCAGGGGCAGGTTCTTTCCAGACACCAAATCTGCTGGTGCCTTGATCTTGGACTTTCCAATTCCAGAACTGTGAGAAATAAATTTCTGTTATGTGTTAGCCACCAAGTTTATGGCATTTTGTTACAGCAGCCTAACGAAATTTGTTACAGAATCCTCTGGCCCATATGCCTTAGTAAATTCTTATGGATCTAAACCAATTATCAGGTCCTATCACCTTGCCAATGATTGATTTTGGTTTGGGCTTATTACCCACTTATGACGAATGAGATATGAGGGATGCCGGAGAGATTCTGAAAAATCCTTCTTAGTTTTAAACACAATGAAAGTATAGTCAGTTTTTCTGTCTCCCTTCACTGGCATAGGAATATTTGATGCCAGTAGCTGTAGCCATCTTACAACCAAGAAGCAAACTGATGAGGTGATTACAATGAGGCGAGATGGAAAAACCTGGGTTGTTGATAATGACTTCAAGCTACTAAATTAATAATCCTGGTGGATAAGCTTTTAGATGTGCTGCTGGATTCAGTTTGCCAGTATTTTATTGAGGATTTTTGCATCGATGTTCATCAGGGATATTGGTCTAAAATTCTCTTTTTTTGTTGCGTCTCTGCCAGGCTTTGGTAGCCGGATGATGCTGGCCTCATAAAATGAGTTAGGGAAGATTCCGTCTTTTTCTATTGATTGGAATAGTTTCAGAAGGAATGGGACCAGCTCCTCCTTGTACCTTTGGTAGAATTCAGCTGTGAATCCATCTGGTCCTGGACTTTTTTTGGTAGGTAGGCTATTCAACATACGTAAATCAATAAATGTAATCCAGCATATAAACAGAACCAAAGACAAAAACCACATGATTATCTCAATAGATGAAGAAAAGGCCTTTGACAAAATTCAACAGCCCTTCATGCTAAAAACTCTCAATAAATTAGGTATCGATGGGACATATCTCAAAATAATAAGAGCTATTTATGACAAACCCACAGCCAATATCATACTGAATGGGTAAAAACTGGAAGCATTCCCTTGGAAAAATGGCACAAGACAGGGATGCCCTCTCTCACCACTCCTTTGCAACATAGTGTTGGAAGTTCTGGCCAGGGCAATCAGGCAGGAGAAAGAAATAAAGGGTATTCAGTTAGGAAAAGAGCAAGTCAAATTGTCCCTGTTTGCAGATGACATGATTGTATATTTAGAAAACTCCATCGTCTCAGCCCCAAATCTCCTTAAACTGATAAGCAAATTCAGCAGTCTCAGGATACAAAATCAATGTGCAAAAATCACAAGCATTCTTATACACTGATAACAGACAAACAGATAACCAAATCATGAGTGAACTCCCATTCACAATTGCTTCCAAGAGAATAAAATACCTAGGAATCCAATTTACAAGGGATGTGAACGACCTCTTCAAGGAGAACTACAAACCACTGCTCAATGAAACAAAAGAGGATGCAAACAAATGGAAGAACATTCCATTCTCATGGATAGGAGGAAAGAATATCGTGAAAATGGCCATACCGCCCAAGGTAATTTATAGATTCAATGCCATCCCCATCAAGCTACCAATGACTTTCTTCACAGAATTGGAAAAAACTACTTTAAAGTACATATGGAACCAAAAAAAAAGCCCACATTGCCAAGACAATCCTAAGCCAAAAGAACAACCTGGAGGCATCATGCTACCTGACTTCAAACTATACTACAAGGCTACAGTAACCAAAACAGCACGGTACTGGTACCAAAACAGAGATATAGATCAATGGAGCAGAACAGAGCCCTCAGAAATAATACCACACATCTACAACCATCTGATCTTTGACAAACCTGAGAAAAATAAGAAATAGGGAAAGGATTCCCTATTTAATAAATGTTGCTGGGAAAACTGGCTAGCCATATGTAGAAAGTTGAAACTGGATCCCTTCCATACACCTTATGCAAAAATTAATTCAAGATGGATTAAAGACTTAAATGTTAGACCTAAAACCATAAAAATCCTAGAAGAAAACCTAGGCAATACCATTCAGGACACAGACATGGGCAAGGACTTTGTGACTAAAACACCAAAAGCAATGGCAACAAAAGCCAAAATTGACTAATGGGATCTAATTAAACTAAAGAGCTTCTGCACAGCAAAAGAAACTACCATCAGTGTGAACAGGCAATCTACAAAATGGGAGAAAATTTTTACAATCTACCCATCTGACAAAGGGCTAATATCCAGAATCTACAAAGAACTTAAACAAATTTACAAGAAAAAATCAAACAACCCCATCAAAAAGTGGGTGAAGGATGTGAACAGATACTTCTCAAAAGAAGACATTTATGCAGCCAACAGACACATGAAAAAATGCTCATCATCACTGGCCATCAGAAAAATGCAAATCAAAACCACAATGAGACACCATCTCACACCAGTTAGAATGGCAATCATTAAAAAGTCAGGAAACAACAGGTGCTGGAGAGGATGTGGAGAAATAGGAACACTTTTACACTGTTGGTGGAACTGTAAACTAGTTCAACCATTGTAGAAGTCAGTGTGGCGATTCCTCAGGGATCTACAACTAGAAATACCATTTGACCCAGCCATCCCATTACTGGGTATATACCCAAAGGATTATAAATCATGCTGCTATAAAGGCACATGCACACGTATGTTTATTGTGGCACTATTCACAATAGCAAAGACTTGGAACCAACCCAAATGTCCATCAATGATAGACTGGATTAAGAAAATGTGGCACATATACACCATGGAATACTATGCAGCCATAAAAATGGATGAGTTCGTGCCCTTTGTAGGGACATGGATGAAGCTGGAAACCATCATTCTCAGCAAACTATGGCAAGGAAAAAAAACCAAATATCACGTGTTCTCACTCATAGGTGGGAATTGAACAATGAGAAAACTTGGACACAGGAAGGGGAACATCACACACCAGGGCCTGTCGTGGTGTGTGTGGGTGGTGGGGAGGGATGGCATTAGGAGATATACCTAATGTAAATGATGAGTTAATGGGTGCAGCACAGCAACATGGCACATGTATACATATGTAACAAACCTGCACGTTGTGCACATGTACCCTAGAGCTTAAAGTATACAAAATAAAAATAAAAATAAATTAATAACCCTGGAGTTTCTCTTCCACGGGGCTTCATGTTCTATGTACCAATAACTTCCCTTATTTGAATAAGTCTTCTGTTACTTGGATTCTTATAGCTAGTCTTACACAATTTGTCCATCCTTAAGTTTTTTACTCTCTTTCCTCTAGATTATTTGTTATATCTGTCTTATTTAAATTTTTCTAATGGAGTACCCTGGCTGGAATTTGACCTGAACATTTACAAAATTTTGAGCAATCACTGGGCAAAAAATGAAAGTCACTAACACTTTCTGCCTCTCAAGGGCCTCTTAACAATCTTTTGTGATGAATTATCTTTAATTTTAAAAAGATAGATAATTGGTGTGAATATTTTATGTAATCATACAGGCAGTATCTACCTATTATTCTTGTGAAAAACTAAAGAAACAGGTAATGTCTATGCAACTCTTTTAATTGGAAAATTGTTTCTGCGATGTAATTGTTTTGGATGTGTCAATGTTGTGCCTTGGTGGTTTTTATTTTTGTTCTTGCTTTCTGTTTCTTTGGCTTAGTTTGGGAATGGGATAATTTTCTATTTTTTTCTCTGTGTGTATGTTGAGTGCACTTTGTGTTTAACGTCTTGCATGATCTTATAAAGATGTTTGTTTGTGTGCATATGTGATAAGCAGGCTCTTACAAATATAAGAACCTGAGATGCTTGGAGACACAGGAAGGACATGTAGGCCTGAACCAGTCCTCAGCCTGGAGGAAACACTGCAAAAATAGTTTGTCTGACAAAGCAACTTGCCTGGAAATTTCTCAAATGCCAGTGTCCAGAGAGATACATAAACACACAGAAAAGGATGGAGACTAAACAGACATGACTTAAATGCAATGTGGAATCATGGATAAATTCTTTAAAAATAATTATGGAGATTGTTATTGAAACCAATGGCAAAATGGAATAGAAACTGTAAAATTTCCCAAGTGTGATAACTGCATTGTGGTTATGTTGGAGAATGCCCTTGTTCTGAGGAGGAATATACCAAAATGTTTAGAGAGGAAGTATTTTGCTACCAGTAATTAACCCTTAAATGGTTAAAGAAAACAAAAAAATTGTCTATGGATAGAGAAAATGTGGCAAAAATGTTAGATAAATCTGGATGTAGAGTATATGGGTGTCATTGTACTATTTTCCAACAACTTTTCTGTAGATTTGAAGTTTCAACAATTAAAAAGTTAGGAAAATAAAATAAAATAAAAAGATTTGGGTTTTGGGTAGCTCGACCTCGATTAACTGCTGATATTCTACATATAGTGAATAACAGCACTGGTAAAACAGGAGACACTGGACCGTTGTGTTCCAAAGTGATTATCCATTTGATAAAGGATGGGTTATAATTAATGATGGTATAATAGAATGATGGCATTTCCCCTGAATAGAGCAAACATTCCCTCTGTAAATTTTGCTGGGAAGAAGCTTAATGTAGAAGAAGAAATGAGAACTGGAAGGCAGGCTTTCCAGTGGGAAGGATGAATGTGAGAGGTCAGACCTGACATTTCACGAAGAGTACTATTACCTGTGAGTGTACCTTGGGAACTGCCTCCTGCCACATGGAGTCAGCCTTTTAGCCAAGTGTGGAAGTGCCTTGTGAATACTGAACTTAGGGGCTTGAGAATATCTACATCTAGTATTAAGCCTTCCTTAAAGTTTCATGACATGCTAGACTAAGCTCTCCTGTAAGGCCATAAAAGTAGACTCTTCCATGCTTGTGTTTGTGTGAATTAGCAATGGAACTTGACAAACCCATGTTTATTTTCAGAGACAGATGATCTGGATCACCTTCTTGCTATAAACCTCAACAGTAAGCCTCAAAAGCCAAGTGATTTTAACAGAAATAAAACTACACCAAGCATTTTAATATGATGAGCTTGAGAAACATATTTGACAAACTTCCTTCAAGGGATTCTTAAAAGGAGAATTCATTAGACAGACACTGAAACACTGATCTGTTTTGGTGTGAAGAAAAGGTCTCAGCTTGTGTATGACTGATTTTCAATTGTCTTGTTTTTCTCAGGTGTGCATTTCCTTACATTGAACACTTTCAAGTATTTTTCTAGTTTAATTCATGGATATGGGTTCAGTTGTTTAGAATATCAAGTAAACAGAGTATGTGTATGTGTGTGTACATATATATGTGTATATATATGTCTGTGTGTGTTTATACATAAGTATACACACAATGACAAGTACATATACTTTGTTTAAAGCATTATACTTTATAGTGTTTTATACATACATATATATACACGTACAGACACATACACATATAATGCTTTATAATGCTTTTTTAATTTTAGCTTTGTTTTAATGAAGAAGTTAAATACTGTTACATGCAAATGTGGACATGTTCTAGATCTAAACATGCATTCCTTCAAACTGTCATATTTATCCATGGATGACCTCTTACTATCTTCTCTGCAGAGAGAGTTGCCTATTGTTTTCACTCTCTTCCAACTTTTTTTTTTTATTATTATACTTTAAGTTTTAGGGTACATGTGCACAATGTGCAAGTTGTTACATATGTATACATGTGCCATGTTGCTGTGCTACACCCAATAACTCATCATTTACATTAGGTATATCTCCTAATGCTATCCCTCCCCACTCCCCCCAACCCATGACAGGCCCCAGTGTTTGATGTTCCCCACACTGTGTCCAAGGGTTCTCATTGTTCAATTCCCACCTATGAGTGAGAACACGCAGCATTTGGTTTTCTATCCTTGGGATAGTTTGCTGAGAATGATGGTTTCCAGCTTCATCCATGTCCCTACAAAGGGCATGAACTCATCCCTTTTTATGGCTGCATAGTATTCCATGGTGTATATGTGCCACATTTTCTTAATCCAATCTATCACTGATGGACATTTGGAATGGTTTCAAGTTTTTGCTATTGTGAATAGTGCCACAATAGACATACATATGCATGTGTCTTTATAGCAGCATGATTTATAATCCTTTGGGTATATACCCAGTAATGGGATGGCTGGGTCAAATGGTATTTCTAGTTCTAGATCCTTGAGGAATCACCACACTATCTTCCACAATGGTTGAACTAGTTTACAGTCCCACCAACAGCGTAAAAGTGTTCCTATTTCTCCACATCCTCTCCAGCACCTGTTGTTTCCTGACTTTTTAATGATTGCCATTCTAACTGGTGTGAGATGGTATCTCATTGTGGTTTGATTTGCATTTCTCTGATGGCCAGTAATGATGAGCATTTTTTCATGTGTCTGTTGGCTGCATAAATGTCTTCTTTTGAGAAGTGTCTGTTCACATCCTTCACCCACTTTTTGATGGGGTTGTTTGATTTTTTTCTTGTAAATTTGTTTAAGTTCTTTGTAGATTCTGGATATTAGCCCTTTGTCAGATGGGTAGATTGTAACAATTTTCTCCCATTTTGTAGATTGCCTGTTCACACTGATGGTAGTTTCTTTTGCTGTGCAGAAGTTCTTTAGTTTAATTAGATCCCATTAGTCAATTTTGGCTTTTGTTGCCATTGCTTTTGGTGTTTTAGTCACAAAGTCCTTGCCCATGTCTGTGTCCTAAATGGTATTGCCTAGGTTTTCTTCTAGGATTTTTATGGTTTTAGGTCTAACATTTAAGTCTTTAATCCATCTTCAATTAATTTTTGTATAAGGTGTATGGAAGGGATCCAGTTTCAACTTTCTACATATGGCTAGCCAGTTTTCCCAGCAACATTTATTAAATAGGGAATCCTTTCCCTATTTCTTGTTTTTCTCAGGTTTGTCAAAGATCAGATGGTTGTAGATGTGTGGTATTATTTCTGAGGGCTCTGTTCTGCTCCATTGATCTATATCTCTGTTTTGGTACCAGTACCATGCTGTTTTGGTTACTGTAGCCTTGTAGTATAGTTTGAAGTCAGGTAGCATGATGCCTCCAGCTTTGTTCTTTTGGCTTAGGATTGTCTTGGCAATGCGGGCTCTTTTCTTGGTTCCATATGAACTTTAAAGTAGTTTTTTCCAATTCTGTGAAGAAAGTCATTGGTAGCTTGATGGGGATGGCATTGAATCTATAAATTACTTTGGGCAGCATGGCCATTTTCACGATATTCATTCCTCCTATCCATGAGAATGGAATGTTCTTCCATTTGTTTGTGTCCTCTTTTATTTCATTGAGCAGTGGTTTGTAGTTCTCCTTGAAGAGGTCGTTCACATCCCTTGTAAATTGGATTCCTAGGTATTTTATTCTCTTGGAAGCAATTGTGAATGGGAGTTCACTCATGATTTGGCTCTCTGTTTGTCTGTTATTGGTGTATAGGAATGCTTGTGATTTTTGCACGTTGATTTTGTATCCTGAGACTGCTGAATTTGCTTATCAGTTTAAGGAGATTTGGGGCTGAGACAATGGGGTTTTCTAAATATACAATCATGTCATCTGCAAACAGGGACAATTTGACTTGCTCTTTTTCTAATTGAATACCCTTTATTTCTTTCTCCTGCCTGATTGCCCTGGCCAGGACTTCCAACACTATGTTGAATAGGAGTGGTGAGAGAGGGCATTTCTCTCTTGTGCCAGTTTTCAAAGGGAATGCTTCCAGTTTTTGCCCATTCAGTATGATATTGGCTGTGGGTTTGTCATAAATAGCTCTTATTATTTTGAGATACATCCCATCAATGCCTAATTTATTGAGAGTTTTTAGCATGAAGGGCTGTTGAATTTTGACAAATGCCTTTTCTGCGTCTATTGAGATAATCATGTGGTTTTTGTCTTTGGTTCTGTTTATATGCTGGATTACGTTTATTGATTTGTGTATGTTCAGCCAGCCTTGCACCCCAGGGATGAAGTCAACTTGATCATGGTGGATAAGCTTTTTGATGTGGTGCTGGATTCGGTTTGCCAATATTTTACTGAGGATTTTTGCATCGATGTTCATCAGGGATATTGGTCTAAAATTCTCTTTTTTTGTTTTATCTCTGCCAGGCTTTGGTATCAGGATGATGCTGGCCTCATAAAATGAGTTAGGGAAGATTCCCTCTTTTTCTATTGATTGGAATAGTTTCAGAAAGAATGGTACCAGCTCCTCTTTGTACCTCTGGTAGAATTAGGCTGTGAATCCATCTGGTCCTGGGCTTTTTTTGGTTTGTAGGCTATTAATTTTTGCCTCAATTTGAGAGCCTGTTTTTGGTCTATTCAGGAATTGAACTTCTTCCTGGTTTAGTCTTGGGAGGGTGTGTGTGTTCAATAATTTATCCATTTCTTCTAGACTTTCTAGTTTATTTGTGTAGAGGTGTTTACAGTATTCTCTGATGGTAGTTTGTATTTCTATGGGATCAGTGGTGATATCCACTTTATCATTTTTTATTGTGTCTATTTGATTGTTCTCTCTTTTCTTCTTTATTAGTCTTGCTATTGGTCTATCAATTTTGTTGATCTTTTCAAAAAACCGGCTCCTGGATTCATTGATTTTTTGAAGGTTTTTTTTGTGTGTGTCCCTATCTCCTTCAGTTCTTCTCTGATCTTAGTTATTTCTTGCCTTCTGCTAGCTTTTGAATGTGTTTGCTCTTGCTTCTCTAGTTCTTTTAATTGTGATGTTAGGGTGTCAATTTTAGATCTTTCCTGCTTTCTCTTGTGGGCATCTAGTGCTATAAATTTCCCTCTATACACTGCTTTAAATGTGTCCCAGAGATTCTGGTGTGTTTTTTCTTTGTTCTCATTGATTTCAAAGAACATCTTTATTTCTATCTTCATTTCATTAGGTACCCAGGAGCAGGTTGTTCAGTTTCCATGTAGTTGAGCAGTTTTGAGTGAGTTTCCTAATCCTGAGTTCTAGTTTGATTGCACTGTGGTCTGAGAGACAGATTGTTGTAATTTCTGTTCTTTTACGTTTGCTGAGGAGTGCTTTACTTCCAACTAAGTGGTCAATTTTGGAATAACTGCGATGTGGTGCTGAGAACAATGTATATTCTGTTGATTTGGGGTGGAGAGTTCTGTAGATGTCTCTTAGGTCCTCTTGGTGCAGAGCTGAGTTCAAGTCCTGGATATCCTTGTTAACTTTCTGTCTCATTGATCTGTATAATGTTGACAGTGGGGTGTCAAAGTCTCCCATTATTATTGGGTGGGAGTGTAAGTCTCTTTATAGGTCTCTAAGGACTGGCTTTATGAATCTGGGTGCTCCTGTATTGGGTGCATATATATTTAGGATAGTTAGCTCTTCTTGTTGAATTGATCCCTTTACCATTATGTAATGGCCTTCTTTGTCTCTTTTGATCTTTGTTGGTTTAAAGTCTGTTTTATCAGAGACTTGGATTGCAACCCCTGCTTTTTTTTTGTTTTCCATGTGCTTGGTACATCTTCCTCCATCCTTTTATTTTGAGCTTCTGTGTGTCTGTGCACATGAGATGGGTCTCCTGAATACAGCACACTGATGGATCTTGACTCTTTATCCAATTTGCCAGTCTATGTGTTGTAATTGGAGCATTTAGCCCATTTACATTTAAGGTTAATATTGTTATGTGTGAATGTGATTCTGTCATTATGATATTAACTGGTTATTTTGCTTGTTAGTTGATGCAGTTTCTTCCTAGCATCGATGGTCTTTACAATTTGGCATGCTTTTGCAGTGGCTGGTACTGGTTGTTTCTTTCCATGTTTAGTGCTTCCTTGAGGCGCTCTTGTAAGGCAGGCCTGGTGGTGACACAATCTCTCAGCATTTGCTTGTCTGTAAAGGATTTTTTTTCTCCTTCACTTATGAAGCTTAGTTTGGCTGGATATGAAATTCTGGGTTGAAAATTCTTTTCTTTAAGAATGTTGAATATTGGCCCCCACTCTTTTCTGGCTTGTAGACTTTCTGCTGAGAGATCCGTTCTTAGTCTGATGGGCTTCCCTTTGTGGGTAACTCAACCTTTCTCACTGGCTGCCCTTACCATTTTTTCCTTCATTTCAACTTTAAAGAATCGGACAATTATGTGTCTTCGAGTTGCTCTTCTCGAGTAGTATCTTTGTGGCGTTCTCTTTATTTCCTGAATTTGAATGTTGGCCTGCCTTGCTAGGTTGGGGAAGTTCTCCTGGATAATATCCTGAAGAGTGTTTTCCAACTTGGTTCTATTCTCCCTGCCACTTTCAGGTACACTAATCAGATGTAAATTTAGTCTTTTCACATAGTCCCATATTTCTTGGAGGCTTTGTTCATTTCTTTTTACTCTTTTTTCTCTAAACTTCTCTTCTTATTTCATTTCATTCTTTTGATCTTCAATCACTTATATCATTTCTTCCGCTTGATCGAATCAGCTACTGAAGCTTGTGCATGCATCACGTAGTTCTCGTGCCATGGTTTTCAGCTCCATCAGGTAATTTAAGGTCTTCTCTATGCTATTTATTCTAGTTAGCCATTCGTCCAATCTTTCTTCAAGGTTTTTAGCTTCCTTGCGATGGGTTCAAACATCCTCCTTTAGCTTGGAGAAGTTTGTTATTACCGATCATCTGATGCCTACTTCTATCAGCTCTCGAAGTCATTCTCCATCCAGCTTTTTTCCATTGCTGGAGAGGAGCTGTGTTTCTTTGGAGGAGAAGAGACACTCTGATTTTTAGAATTTTCAGCTTTTCTGCTCTGGTTTCTCCCCATCTTTGTGGTTTTATCTATCATTGGTCTTGATGATGGTGACGTACAGATGGGGTTTTGGTGTGGATGTCCTTTCTGTTTGTTAGTTTTCCTTCTAACAGTCAGGACCCTCAGCTGCAGGTCTGTTGGAGTCTGCTGGAGGTCCACTCTAGACCCTGTTTACCTGGGTATCACCAGCAGAGGCTGCAGAAAAGCAAATGTTGCTGCCTGATCCTTCCTCTGGAAGCTTTGTCTCAGAGGGGCACCCAGCTGTGTGAGGTGTCAGTTGGCCCCTACTGGGAGGTGTCTCCCAGTTAGGCTACTCAGAGGTCAGGGACCCACTTGAGGAGGCAGTCTGTCTGTTCTCAGATCTCAAACTCTGTGCTGGGAGAACTACTACTCTCTTCAAAGGTGTCAGACAGGGGCATTTTAGTTTGCAGAAGTTTCTGCTGCATTTTGTTCAGCTATGCCCTGCCCCCAGAGGTGGAGTCTACAGAGCCAGGCAGACCTCCTTGAGCTGTGGTGGGCTCCACTGAGTTCGAGCTTCCTGGCTGCTTTGTTTACCTACTCAAGCCTCAGCAATGGTGGACGCCCCTCCCCCAGCCTCGCTGCTGCCTTGCAGTTTGATCTCAGACTGCTGTGCTAGCAGTTAGCGAGTCTCCGTGGGTGTAGGACCCTCTGAGTCAGGCGCAGGATATAATCTCCTGGTATGCCATTTGCTAGGACTGTTGGAAAAGCACAGTATTAGGGTGAGAGTGTCCCAATTTTCCAGTTACCATCTGTCAAGGCTTCCTTTGGCTAGGAAAGGGAATTCCCCAACCCCTTGTGGTTCCTGGGTGAGGCAATGCCCTGCCCTGCTTCGGCTCACACTCCATGGGCTGCACCCACTGTCCAACAAGCCCCAGTGAGATGAACCTGGTAACTCAGTTGGAAATGCAGAAATCACCCATCTTCTGCATTGCTCACGCTGGGAGCTGTAGCCTGGGGCTGTTCCTATTCGGCCATCTTGGAACTGCTATAATGCTTTAAACAAAGTATTTATATGTGTCTGTGTGTGTATACATATATATACACACACATACAGACATATATTCATATATATACAGACACATTCGTATATATGTATATGTATCTGAATGTATATATATGTATACACACATACAAACACATACACATAAAGTATAATGTTTTAAACAAAGTATGTGTATGTGTCTGTATATGTGCCTATACATATATATATACCCATACAGATATATATACATACACAGACACATACACATACTTTGTTATAAAGTATTATCACATGAAATCTGCATTATGTGATACTAGTGGCAAATGGGCAATCTGTCACATATAAAATATAAATATATATTTAAATATATACATTTAAAACTTCCTTAATAAAATATGTACATGCTAAAAAATTTTGTATTATCTACTAGAGTGTCACTGATATAATAGAACCCAATTATTTGTTGATTATACCATTCAAAAAATGTTTTTGAAATTTAACTATTGATTTAAAATAATGGTATTATTACATTATTATCATTTTTTGAGACAGAGTCTTGCTCTGTCACCCAGTCTGGAGTGCAGTGATGCGATCTTGGCTCACTGCAACCTCCACCTCCTGGGTTCAAGCAATTCTCCTGCCTCAGCCTCCTGAGTGGCTGGGGCTACAAGCATGTGCCACCATGCCCGGGTAATTTTTTTATTTTTAGTAGAGATGAGGTTAAAACCATGTTGGACAGGCTGGTCTGGAACGCCTGACCTCAAGTGATCCACCTGCCTCAGCATCCCAAAGTGCTGCAATTACAGGCATGAGCCACCGCGCCCAGCCAGTATTATTAATTTAAAAGATAAATATGCAAATATTGTATCCCAAATTCAGAATCTGTGTGATACGGACTGCAGGGGAAATAGGAAAGAGGAGAGAAAGGAGAGATCACAGTAAGTCCAGGTACATAGCCTATTAGCTATGCACGTACTGTGCATGTGTTTGGGGGCTTAAGAGAAAAACACATGGCTCCTCCCATACAAGGTTTAAAATCTATGTATTAGATTCTTGCTCTTCAATATAGAATGGAATTATGTATCTGGTTATGTGAAATATAGCAGTGTATCATGAACTTATTGTTGCCCATTCCTATGTAAAAATGAGGAGCACTCTTTTAACTATTAAGGCCAAATGTATATGAGTTTATTCACTGAGACTGATGTAGCAGATAAAATTCTTAAGATGTTCTCATGAGGTTCTCTTAGTTGAAGGAAACAGAGACTCATTTAAGCTGTCTTAATCATGAGGGATTTATGGTGAAGAAACACTTAGGGCAATTAGAGAGAGAGAGAGAGACCAAATATGATTCCAAGAGTGGAATCCAAAGTACAGCTGGCCATCATACAAATGGAACTTGATCCAAGGCAGCACTAATAATTTCAGCAGCAGAAATTCACGAATTGTCAGGGGCTTGACAGCACAGCTCTGCTCTCCTTGGTATTGACTTGTATATTCTCTCTACTACTCATAACTCTGCTTCCAACACATCAGGTTGCTTTTACCCTTCATGACCACAACTTTAAATTCTTCTCAGTCCCATCTAATCCTCATGGCCTCTCATTCTTTTCCACAGCCACAATTCTCAGGATTAATTGCTTAATTTTTCTTTGTATTTAACAGATAACATTCTTGAGATATAAATCTTATAGGATTATATAATAATTTTATTCTATTTGGGCAGAAATTTTCCTATCAGACTATTTAAGTGGACATTGACTGATCCATGAATTGATTGACTTTAAAGCAGATGCTCCTGATTCAAATACCTTCAGTAAAACTCAGTCATCTTGTCTTCTCCTTATAAGAATTTGTGGATATGAGAAAAACTACGTTTGACCAGTACAATGCATTCTGTCTTAACTTCTTTCATGCACACTTTCTTTACTTATCTACATTTCTGAAGATGCTATGACCACGCATACACCAGTGAGAACATGTTTTGATCGACTCCCTGACAACCATCTACCCACCCTAAATGTCTGGACTAAGCCAACCTCAATAATGCCATTGTTCAGGAGTGTGATGAAATTCTAACAGATAAAATGTGCAGGTAAGCTGTAGAAGTGGTCAGGGAAGTTACAGGAAATATTTCCTCTGAGAGAGAGCAAAAGGAAGAATTATTCTTCCTTGGGACATTATTATGTTTGACAGCTGCAACCATCTTACTAATAGTCTGATAAGGGAACTAATGCCAAAGACGGCAGAAAGGGGAGACAGAAAGCCTGAGAACTTGATGATGTCTTTTAGCTTGACATAACCAGTGCTTCCTTTTTCTGCTTAATAATATATTTTCGTATTGATTAAGTTAGCAGCTGCAAACAACCTAACTAATACACACATAACAACCTTCTCAATTAGACCTTTCTTGGCTATCCTGTCTAAAATTAAATACCTCTGACACTTTTTATTCAAATTCTCTGTTTTTTTCTTAGCACATAATTGCCAGTTACTGTACTATACAATTGGTTGTTATGTCCATCTCCCCACACCAGAATGTGAAAGACAATTAAAGATTCTTTTTTCTTTGTTTAGTTCACTATTGTATTCTTCTGCATCAAGAATAGGACCTAAGATATAGTAGGCAATCAATAAATATCTGTTGAATGACTAAAATGACCTGCATTCAAAAATATTTATTAAATGATAAATGATCTACTAAACTAGAATGAAACTAACAAAACTGTATGCATTTAAACATTTAAAAATTATTCCAAATTGGTCTTTAAATGGATTGACATAAACTCCCACTACCAGTTATAACAGAGCTTGTTTTCCCACACTCTTAACTTGTTTCAGTAAGTTTTAATACAGATCTAGTTGATAAAGAAAATTGACATATCTTCTATATTTTCTAATATTTTATAAATTTGCATTTATTTGACTCTAAGATGAATACACTTACATGTATTTAACAGCAAGGTTCAGAGAGTCTATGAATGAATTGCTTTTCAAAACGTGCTTGATCTGCTTTTCTACTAGGATGCCTTTTTTTCTTTTATTGACTTTTTAAAACATTTGAATGTATTAGGGTTAAGCATGGTTTTGAATTAAAAGTAGTTTTTAAAATTTATCATTTACTTTTTAATTTTGATCAGTATTTTCTGAAATACTTTAGTATTAAATTTTTATTTGCCAAATCTACCTGTCTTTTCTTCCTAGATTTTGCTTTTGCCAAGGAAAGCAAAAGTCTCTTCTTTTTGTAAAGTTATGTAATTAGTCCCTATCGTAAGTGTATTTTGAATTGTGGTCCATAGTCCACTTGCAGAAGAATTACCTTGATTTGCTTATTAAAAATGTAGAATCTCAGTGCTCCACCCCAGACTTAGATTTTTTTTCAAGAGAGTCTGAAATAATCTGCATTTTAAAAATCAAGACAAAGAGTTATTCTTTTTCTTCTTTTTTCTTTTCTTTTCTTTTCTTTTTTTTTTATTTGAGGCATGGTCTTACTCTGTCACCTAGGCTGGAGTACAATGGTGTGATCTTAGGCAGTCTCAACCTCTGAGACTCAAGCAATCCTCCTACCTCAACCTCTTGAGTAGCTGGGACTATGGGCATGTGACACCATGCCCAGGTAATTTAGTATTTTTTGTAGAGATGGGGTTTCGTCATGTTGTCCTGACTGGTCTCCAACTCCTAGGCTCAAGCAACACACACCCCTTGGTGTCCCAAAGTGCTGAAATTGCAGGCATGAGCCACTGTGCCTGGCCTGAATTTTTTCTATAGTATGAGTAGACACAGTTGATATATTTTTCTAGTACTTTAAGGCCACAAATTACTTTTAAATAATCATAAAAGGAGTTTTTAAAAAAATGTTCTCCAAAGCATAAGTATACAAAATAAATGTGAAAGTCATCCTCCAACCTCTGTTTAGGAATAAAAACTATTATTAACAAGTCTGTTTTGAATTCTTCAAGACATATTTTGATTATGTCTTAAAATTAGGAGCATATAACATTGAAAACTAAGACTTTGTAAATTTATATAATTGTTTTACAGTGAAACCTAACAAAAAATTAAAATATGGGTTCTTTTGTGCAATATAAGAATTCCTCCAGCAATTATATAGAATATTCATTAAGCAATGTTCTAAAGCAAATAATAAGAATGCTTAGATGTAGTTATATATATTGTTATGCTGTGCTTTTTATTTGTTTGCTTCGTTTCGTTTTTATTTTTATGAGTTCAGGGAGTACATGTGCACGTTTGTTACATGGATATGTTGCATAATGGTGAGGCTTGAATTTCCAGTGTATCCATCTCCTAAATCATGAACATTGTACCCAACAGGTGATTTTTCAACCCTCGTCTCATGCCCAGCCTCCCCCCGCCACCTTTTGTAGTCTCCAATATCTATTATTCCATTCTGAATATCCATGTGGACCCATTGCTTAGTTCCCACTTATAAGTAAGAACATGTGGTATTTGACTTTGTTTCTGAGTTATTTCACTTAGGATAATGGCCTTCAGCTCCATCCATTTTGCTGCAAAGGATATGCTTTTATTCTTTTTTATGACTGCATAGTATTCCAAGGAGTATACATAGCACATTTTCTTTATCCATTCATTCATTGATGGACATTTAGGTTGATTCTATGACTTTGTTATTGTAGATAATGCTGACATAAATGTATGGGTAGAAGTGTCCTTTTGATATAATGATTTATTTTCCTTTGGGTAGATACCCAGTAATGGGATTGGTGGGTTGAAGCGTAGTCCTATTTTAATTCCTTGAGAACTCTCCATACTGTTTTCCATAGGGATTGTACTAATTTACAATCAGTGTATAAGTATTCCCTTTTCTCTGCATCCTCAACATCTGTTATTTTTTATCTTCTTAATAATAGTTATTCTGACTATTGTGAGATGGTATCTCATTGTGGTTTTGATTTGCATTTCTCTAATGACTAGTGATATTCAACTTTTTTATATGTTTGTTGGTCACTTGTATGTCTTCTTTAGAGAAATGTCTGTTCATTTCCATGCTCACTTTTAATGGGATTATTTATTTATTTTTTCTTGTTGATTTGTTTGAGTTCCTTTTAGATTCTGGATATTAGTTTTTTGTCAGATGCATAGCTTGCAAATATTTTCTCCAAATCTGTAGGTTGTAGGTTTACTCTGTTGCTTATTTGTTTTGCTGTACAAAAGCTTTTTTGTTTAGTTAAGTCCCATTTGTCTATTTTTGCTTTTGTTGATTTGCTTTTGAGTCCTTAGTCATAAATTCTTTGCCTAGGTCAATATCCAGAAGAGGTTTTCCTAGGTTTTCTTCTAGGATTGTTATAGTTTCAGGTCTTACATTTAAATATTTAATTCATCTTAATTTTTCTATATAGTAAGAGATAGGGGTACAGTTTCATTCTTCTACACATGGTTAGCAAATTTCCCAGTATCATTTATTAAATAACACATCCTTTCCCCACTGTAAATGGAATTGTGTTCTTGATTTCATTCTCTGCTTGAATGCTGTTGGTGTATAGAAATGCAACTGACATTTGCACATTAATTTTCTATCCTGAAACTTTACTGAAGTCATTTATAAAGTTTAGGAGTCTTTTGGAGGCATCTTTAGGGTTTTCAGGTCTAAGATCATGTCATTAACAAACAGAGATAATTTGACTTTCTCCTTTTCAATTTGGATGCTTTCTGTTTCTTTCTCTTGCCTGATTGTTCTGGCTAGGACTTCTAATGCTATGTTTAATAGGAGTGCTGAGAGTGTAGATCCTTGTCTTGTTCCAGTTCTTTGGAGAAATGCTTTCAACTTTTGACCCTTCAGTATGATGTTGATTGTGGGTTTGTCATCTATGGCTCTTACTATTTTGAGGTATGATTCTTCCATGCCTCATTTGTTGAGAGGTTTTTGTGTCATGAAGGGATGATGAATTTTATCAAATGCTTTTCCTGCATCTATTGAGAAGATCATATGGTTTTTGTTTTTAATTCTGTTAATATAATTAATCACATTTATTGATTTGTGTATGTTTAACCATACTTGCATCAAGGCAATAAAACCCACTTGCTCATGGTGAATTAACTTTTTGATATACTGTTGGATTTGGTTTGCTAGCATTTTGTTGAAGATTTTTGCATCTATGTTCATCAAAGTTACTGGCCTGTAGTTTTTCTTTTTTGTTGTGTCCTGGCCATATTTTGGTATCAGGATGATGCTGATTTAATAGAATGAGTTGGAGAGAAATCCCTCCTCCTCAATTTTTTAGAATGGTCTTAGTAAGATTGCTACCAGTTCTTCTTTGTACATCTGGTCAAATTTGGCTGTGTCATTGTTTTTTGTCATTGTTGTTGTTGCTGATAGACTTTTTATTACAGATTCAATTTTATTACTCATTATTGATATTTTCAGGATGTCTATTTCTTCATGAATCAAACTTGGAAGGTTGTATGTTTTTCTTGAATTTATCCAATTGCTTTAGGGCATCTAGTTTGTATGCATACAGATGTTCATAGTAGTCTCTGATAATCTTTTGCATTTCTGTGGTATCAGTTGTAATGTCTCCTTTATCATTTCTGATTGTGCTAATTTGAATCTTTTCCCCTTTTTTCTTGGTAAGTCTAGCTAGTAGTAAATCATTTTTGTTTACTCTTTCAAGAAAAAAAACCTTTTTATTTCATTGATCCTTTACATGTTTTTTTTCCTTTGGTCTCAATTTCATTTAGGTCTGCTCTGATCCTTGTTATTTTTTTCCTCTTCTTGCTTTGTATTTGCTTTGTCCCTGCTTTTCTATGTCCTTGAAGTGCAATGTTAGGTTGTTAATTGAGACCTTTTAATCTTTTTGAGGTAGGTATTTAATGCTATAAACTTTCTTCTTAGCACTTCTTTTGCTCTATCCCAGAGGTTTTGGTATATTTTGTCTCTATTTTCATTTGTTTTAATTTTAAAATTTTTTTGCCTTAATTTCATTGTTTA
The DNA here is from genome assembly GCF_000001405.40 of Homo sapiens. Classification (NCBI taxonomy): domain Eukaryota; kingdom Metazoa; phylum Chordata; class Mammalia; order Primates; family Hominidae; genus Homo; species Homo sapiens. The sequence continues at coordinate 44,586,150 of NC_000004.12, read as the reverse complement.
CTCAAAAAATTATTCAGCAGTAAGTTGTTTAGTTTCCATGTACTTGTGTAGTTTTGAGGGTACCTCTTGGTATTGATTTCTAATTTTATGTCACCGTGGTCCAAGAAAATACTTGAAATGATTTAGATTTTTTTTTAATATTTTGAGACAGAGTTTCACTCTTGTTGCCCAGGCTGGAGTGCGGTGGTGTGATCTTGGCTCACTGCAACCTCCACCTCCTGGGCTCAAGCGATTCTCCTGCCTCAGCCTCCCGAGTAGCTGGGATTACAGGTGCACACCACCACGCCCAGCCAACATTTTTTTTTTTTGTATTTTTAGTAGAGATGGGGTTTCATCATGTTGACCAGGCTGGTCTTGAACTCTGACCTCAGGTGATCCACCTGCCTTGGCCTCCCAAAGTGCTGGGATTACAGGTGTGAGCCACCATGACTGGCCATGACTTAGATTTTTTAAAATTTATTGAAACTTGTTTTATGGCCAAGCATACGGTCAATGTTACAGAAAATTCCGTGCACAGATGAGAAAAATTGATATCATGTAACTGTTGTGTAGAATCATCTGTAAATGTTTATTAGATCAATTTGGTCAGGAGTTCAGTTTAAGTCCAGGGTTTCTTTACTAGTTTTCTGCCTTGACGATTTGTTTAATGCTGTTAGTGGACTGCTGAAGTCCCTGCGCCCAGCTGGCCTGCAAGTATTATTATATTGCTTTCTCTCTGTTTTATTAGGTCTAATGCTAGTATTTGTTTCATAAATCCGGGTGCCCCTGTGTTAGGTGTATATATATATATAGGTGAGTTAAATCCTCTTGTTGAATTGATCCTGTCATCATTATATAATGCCTTTCTTTGTCTTTTTATACTGTTGTTGGTTTAAAGTCTGCTTCGTGTACTATAAGAAAAGCAACTCCTGCTCTTTTTGTTTTCCATTTGTGTGATATAAATTTTTCCACATCTTTACTTTGAGTCTGTGGATGTTTTTACCTTTTAGTTTGGTCTCTGGTAGGTGGCAGACGGTTGGGTCTTATTTTTTAATCCAATTTCCCATTCTACATCCTTTAAGTGGAGCATTTAGGCCATTTACATTAAAGATTAATATTGATATTCAAAGTTTTGTTCCTGTCATAGTGTTGTTAGCTACTTGCTTTGTATTCTCAATTGTATAATTGATTTATAGCACCTGTGAATTTCAGAATTAGATGTGCTTTTATGGTGTCAAGTATCATTCTTTTGCTGACATGCTGAGAATTCCTTTGAGCATGTCTTGTATATTCTGGTCTAGTGGTGAACAATTTCTGGGAAAGGCTTCTTTCTCCTTTGTTTATAAAGTTTAGTTTGGTAGGATATAAAATTCTTAGCTGGCTTTCTTTTTTATTTATGAAGGCTGGAAAGAAGTCTCCAATCTCTGCTGACTTGTAACATGTCTGCTGATAAGTCCACGTTTGTCTGATGAGATTCCCTTTATAGGTGATTTGACTCTTCTCTCTGGCTGCTTTTAATATATTTTCTTTTGACTTGACATTGGATAGTCTGAAGACTCTATGCTTTGGTGATGTTCCTCATGTATAGTATCTGCCAGTTACTCTCCGAATTTCTTATATCTGGATGTTTACCTCTATAGCAAGATCAGGAAAATTTTCTTGAGTAATTCCCTCAAATATGTTTTCCAAATTTCCTAGTTTTATTTTTCTCTTGCAGGAATGCCTACATGTCATGGTTTAGTTGCTTTACATTATTCCATATTTCTCAAAGACTTTGTTTACTTTGTTAATTAAAAAATAATTTCTGACTTTAGAAGACTGGTCTTCAAGCTCTGAAATTCTTTCTTCTGCTTGGTTTAATCTGTTGTTAAAGCTTTTAACTGTATTTTGAAATTCCTCCAGTGAATTTTTTGTTTTCAGAAATTCTGATTTTTTTAAAACAATATATCTGTCTTATCTTTTGTAATCTGAATTGTTTTTCTGGTTTTATTCTGTTGATTTTTAGCTTTCTCTTGAATCTAACTGTGCTTCCTTACAATCCACATTTTGAATTATTTACCTGTCATTTCAGGATTTTCAGATTCACTGCTAGAGGGCTAAGTGCAATCCTTTGAGAGTGTCAAAACACTCTATCCTTTTTTACTGCCAGAGTTCTTGCATTGATTCCTTCTCATTTGAAGAAGCTGTCACTTCTTATTTTCGAATTTGCTATCATTTAGATAGAACTTTTTCACTTTTTAGTCTTTTCTCCCTTGACTATATGAATGTAGTGTATGTTGTGATAAGTTGTTTGGCTTTGTTTCTGTGTGCTTTCGGAGGGCCAAAGCTCTATATGGGTTACTTGGTTATGCATAGCTTTTTGTGGTGACTTTCTCAAATGCTTCTTATTGTAGCAATGTATTAACCCTATGAGCCAATATACTATCTTCTGTGGGGCAGAAAATGCAGAGGTCTCAGGCAGTTTATCTTGTATACTAGTTCTGTGCTCTTCTGACAGCAGGTTTTTTAATATGGTGGACCAGTTCTGTCTCTAGTCCAGTAGGTGGCACTTCAGAGTAAGAGCTATCTTGTCCTTGAGTAGCCTCATATCAACTGGAATCATCTGCCCCTGTGGCATGTGTGGGTGGCAGGGGAGTTCATGCTGGCATGCACTGAGGTCTTCGGGAAGTGGGGTGGGGACTGCATTAGCTCTTTTTCCTGGGCAGGCAAAAATGCGATCTGTTTCCCTATCAGGCCCCTGTCGCAGGGTTCATGACCTTCAGTTCCTATAGATACAGATACTGTCTTTTGTCTTTCAGCCACAGTATGATTGAGGCCTGTAAAAATGCCCCTCTGGTGACTACTACTGAAATGGACTTAGGACAGAGCCTCTTCCTCCAGTCCAGAGGAAACAGCTCTGTGGCTTCTATGAGCTCAGTTACCTGGATAATGTCACTATGTATGCGTGTGGTGGGGGGAGGGGGGGTTGGTGGGCCCTGTCCTTTGTACACATGTGTGCATCACATGCACACTTTTAGCAAGGTTTCAGCTACCATGGATTGGGCTGGAAAGGCTATCCCCAAGTGCATTTGCTTTAGCTCCCAGTGGAGAAAGCCTCTGCTATATCTACAACAGTGGACAGGGGAGTGGAGACAACCCCATCTTCACATTCATTCCCAGCCACTAGTGCCACCCTCTAGAGAGATGGGCACCACACCTGCATTTTTTTTTTCTTTTTGTCCCAAGGGGCACTTTGGCAGACCTTGCACTCCACTCCACTGGAGGCGTCCCTCACCAGTGGCTAGATTCTGGGGATCCCACAGCTCCCTAGGGTCCCACTAGTCTTCTGTGGATGTCAAAGTCAGAGTGGGTTCTGGGGTATGTTTGTGGGGGGTCTGGTGATGAGGCAATACAAGGGCTTGATCCTTGGGTAGGGTAGTGGCCCACAACAGGCATACAACCAGTATGGTACCTGCCATCACAGTTTGGGCCTGAAAGGAGTGCAGGCACGCCTGCATGAGCTGGCCACCTGGTGTTGTGTCCCCAGGAAGTTCCCAAATTTCCACCAATAACGATTGCACAGGATTTCAAGAGCAGAGTGGTGCCTTGACAATTTAGCAGTCAGTGGTTTGTTGCAGGAGTGAAAAGAGCAAAGAAACATTCCTACCTACCATTGCTGAAGGACTCCAAGCTCCTTAGGGGTCAATTTCTGCAAGACTCTTGCTGCTTTCCTTTTCTGCACCCCAGTCCCAACACATGTTGGCTCTCTTCCCTCAGCTTTCCACTTGGATCATGACCTGTAACTTTGATCTTTCTTTCTGAGAACTGGCATCCAACATCTCAAATCAGCCATCTTGGAAAAAAAAATTTTTTTAATGATATATTGTATAAAACTTTTAATACAGTTTACTTTACATTATTTTAAAAATTCCAAAGGAAATACTACAAATTATTCATTAGAACATGAGCTGAACATAGTAGTAAAGCTATTCATATTTTATTTTCTGTCACGCCAAGTTCTTTGCAAATTGTCAGAGAGCATAAATTACTTTCAAAATTCTGGTCTTGTGCAGTTTGATCTTGTTGATAAAACTTTCAAAAGACATTGAAAGTCTTCAGAAGTGGCAGCTTTACATCAAGTGCAAAAATACATGTTAATATTGGATGACAGTTTTTCTTATATCATGGCTTCCCATATAGTATTGAACCTGACTTTGACGATGAGCTGTCAGATTCCATTGTTTGACCAGGAAAGATTTTAGAGTCATTAGGTACAGAAAAATTTATTCTTTCTTTAATGTTCAATGTAGGCTTTTGTTTAACATATTTAGTACTATTTTAATTGGATTCTGTGATATTGATTTTTCAGTGATGTTTTAACCCCATTGAAATACTTTCTTCTGAAACTGTTATCTTGGCCCTAACCTTCATATGTGTTAGAATACAGTTTTTTTTTTTTTAGTCCATGTGCTTTCTGAAAATTAATTGAGAGTATGGAGTTTACATGAAAGAGAACTCATAGCTATTTTTGTATATCAAATATTTATTTACTTACAAGTCTGGTGGTGTGATACAAGCCACATTCTTTGGGCCCTTCTTCTATATGAATGTTTGCTTTCTAGGTAAAAATCTCCTCCAGCCCCATAACCATCAGATTCAGCTTTATGCCAATGGCTCCTAAATTTCCCAAGTAATTCACTGAGTAATCAATGCTATATCCCTCTGGGTAGAGTGAAGAATCCCAATGAAACCCCTTCCTGGGAATACTGCTGAAGAGGGAGAAACTTTCCGTGGGGGTTTCTGAATGCAAAGTAACCCTGGAGCTCCTAGGGAATTTTTGTCATGTTGTGGGAAAAACTGACTGTGAATGAAATCAACACAAGGGAAAGTGTTGGTAAGAGGTGGATAAAGATGGATTTGCAATTAATTCACTTGAGCACATGAGCCCAAACAGGCTTATTCCTGGCCTTTTCAGTAACCTTTATATTCTTATAGGCCTAAATTTACCTTTACTTGCTTAAGCCACTTTTAATTGGGTCTCAAATCCTTGCAAATAAATCAATAACAAAGAAAATACTTAAGTATAATATCAAATTGTAAAAAGCCAAACGCATTTTAAAAATTTTAGTATTATCTCACATATTGAAAAATATGCAAAGAAAAAGATAAATGAAAACATAAGAATGTAACTCACTTTGAGAAATAGAATGAGTGTTTTATATTTAGTGACTTTCTATATAATCTTCACATTTTCTATAATAAGCATCTATTATGTTTATAAGAGAAAACATTATAAACCTAATTTTAGAAAACCTTCCTTTTCCATTTTTATGGGTGCTGTAAATACAGCACTCAGTATTCTTTGTGCTTAAATGTGGTTTTGCTTGTGAACTCAATATACTGGACTTACTTTCATTGGATGAATGATTTTGAGTTCATTTTTTAAAATACCATAAACCTAGCTAATAGATTTTTCCCCTATCGATAAAAATTTTTTATTTCCTATTCTAATGGTGAATTTTTTAAAAAAAAATCTTATCTCTAAAATTCTAAATTTTCTCTTCCTTTAGTTGCTTATAAATTATCTTTCTACTTCTTGTTTTGGAATATTCTTGCACATATACTTTCCCATTTCTCTTTGTCTTTTGGAATGTAACAACATGAATATACTTTCTTCTAACTATAGCCTTAAGTGCATTGAAAGCAATAACTTGTGAATATCTACATGAATAGTTGTGGTAGGAGTGGACAGTAATTGCTATTTTAAGTGCTGCTACTATTGTCTGTCTATGAAAGAAATGATTTTTAAGCCTTATTGATTTGAAAAAGCTTAGGGAAGACTCAAGCAAGATGTGAGTTGGTTCCTATTTTAGCTGACATCTACAAATTACCCAACATATGTTAAAATATAATCCAATATTAAACAAATGTTATATATATCTAAATAGGTGGAAACTGTAAGATTCATTGTTAGTGAATTTTGTGCACTATGTGGGTGTTGAAAATTTCCATGTATAAGTAGTTAATACATAAAAGTACATGGAACATTAATAAGCATGGGTCATTTGAATGTTAAAGTGCTATATAAAAACAGGGTTTTTTTTTTTCTTGTTAGTATTGGAAGAAGGGTCTTAGTTAGCTTAGAAGTTATTTTTTTCTCCCAATTACCATACTGGACTCAGCAGTAAAAAGATAAAGTATCTCTGGATATTCTCAGGCAGCTAGCTGATCAGGCACATTTGGAAGTGATGGAATTGGAAAATAATTGCATTTATGGAAAATTTAACAACCTAAAAATCTGTGTTGGGGCTTTAGGAATATAGCTGAGAACATTTCTACATTAAAGTCAGCTTGAATAAATTGCAGAAGAGACTGAAATTTTCTGAGATTTGTATAGAAGCTCTTATAAAAAGAAATAATTAACCTGACATGAACCAATTTGAAAGCAGAACAAGGTTAGTGGGTGGTTTAGAAAAAAAGGTGGGAAGGGGGTGTAAAAATAGCAGAAGATCTGGTCCAGACCCAGAACAGAGATCCCCTCAGGGACTCCTAGCTGAGAGTTTTACTGTATCTTAGAAAGTGGAGGGGCTGATCATTTATACTAGAACCATAACTAGTCTTAACTGCCTTTGTATTATTTGTTATTATTGTCATCATTCTCATCTCTAGGACCACACGGTTCAATCTGTAACATATGTCCAATATCTTCTCTCTCTCTTTTTTGTCCAAATTAATAGAGCTTCAGGGATTGTTAAACTGTCCAAGAAGAACCTCACTTCCATTATTTTGTTGAAAAAATATTTTTAAGGGCATAGTAAATGTCCAGCACAGTACTCAGTGAGAAAGATGAATAAAACATCACCTTTCACTGAAGGCACCCAGACAGCATAATGCAGTAAGTTAAGTGGCAGGAAAATGAGTTAATAGAAAGTTACTTTATTCAACCTTCAGTTCTGCATTCAGGTGCTGGGGGACAGGCTAGGCTTGCTCAGGAGGCTATGCTAGAACTTAACCTTGAAGAAGAGTGAGTGTTTGATATGCAAATGATGGAGATGGAGGTGGTTGGGACTGGAGCTGGGGTGAGGGATGGAAGAATAGTCTAGATTTAGGTAGAGGGATTAGTAAAGGCTTGTCAAGATCCTACTACTGTCAGTGAACAGGGCAGATGAGTAGCATGGCTCACGTGACTCTGTTTTTTAATTTTTAAAGATGAGAGTTATTTACTCATCTTGATTAAGCCTGTATTAATTGCTTATTTTCAAAATTTGGCTTCTTTTTTGAGACAATATGTTTTACACATTGGAAGCCTGCACTCAGTGTAATACTAATGGTTTATAATGATTTGGTTGGTTGTATAATCATCTAAAGGTTGTTCTGGGGGCATATATGTATGTAATTTTTGCAGCTTTGGATTGTATTCTTTTTTAAGTTATGCTTTAAATATCTTAGTTTATTTTATTATAATGCCCAGAGATGTTTGTAAATCAAAGTGTATGTGTTTTAAAATCTTACCTCTTTTTTTTTAAGTAAAATTATTGATCAGACTTTGGAAACAGACACATTTGTAAGAGAAAGATATTAGAATATGAACAAATAAGCCAATTGCTTAAAAATTATAAATATTTATCTTTTAAAAATCACCCTCTGCCTTCAAAAATATGAAAACATACTCTTGATACCTTATAAAGTATTTGCAAAAGCAGGTGAAATTCACTTCTTACAATAGACATGGTACAAAAAAAGAAAAAAAGGGAAGCTGGATCAAATTCTATAACCTGGGTACTTTTATAATGCTAGTGAGCCAGAAATGTCAAAAAATATTATGTACTTCTGAGTTTGCCCAAAGCAACAAATCTCTCAATCCCATTTTATCTTTTGCCAGGCTCTGTTTTTATTTTCCCCCTTTCCTTTGCTCTCTTCTTCTTGTATCCAGTGTACTGGGATAGAATCTTAGCTGTTTTAGAATTTCACAGCTTTCTGTGGGCCTCTTTACAGATAAAATCGTTTTCTCTGAGTAACACTGTGAAAGGGAAAATTCTCTCTGGTACTTAAAAATCAGAATCCACCAGAATGTTGGCTAGTGCTTTTATTTCCAATCATTTTCTGTACAGCCTCAGGTTCTATTTTTTGAAATATTTTAATGATTTTGATATTATAAGGGTCTTCTTTGAGTAGCATTTGGTCCTGATTCTTGTAATCCTATGGAAGTATACACTAAACTCAATCAAAATTCATACATAAATAATTTTTTGTGTTATACTGTCATTGCGAATTTGTCCAGTAATGAAGATTTATACTAAATGATTCCGTATAGAAGTGCTAGGGTTTATTCCTTCCCTTTATTCTTCCTGTCTGCAAATATTCAGACAAAAATTAGTTCATACATTTTTACAGTTTCCCATCTTTAAAGTTAGATTTGTTATCTTCTTAAGCCAGTTAACACTAACTCCATTGGTTCGTTTATCTTTGCAGCAATAGCCAAAAGCTGTGAGTATTTTATTTCCTTACTTAAATGGATTTGGAGGTTTTCAGTGACAATAGTTTACCTCTATTGACTGTATAATCTAAATTATAATAGTTCTCCCATTTCCTCTTCTGTGTGCTAGCCATGGTTGTGGGCAAAGGGAGAAAATAATTGTATTTACTTCAAAAAGAGTAAGAGTGCTTCCAATATTTTATTATTTATTATAGCACTCTTCCATCTGGATTTTATATGATTGCTTTACTCTTCTAGAATTATTTAACTTTGTGTTTTACAAAACGTAAAGATCCCTGGGGAAAAAAATTAACCAGAGTATTATAAATAAATCACTCAACTTGTATTACAATTTTTTCTCCTCTGTGAGAAATAATTCAGACTAGAACTGAATGGAAAGGAAATTTTTATGTTGGTAGGGTGTGCAGATTGTTACCGATAGCATTTTTAAAATGATTTTTATTTTAAAAGAAAAGGAGCTGAATACAGCTCTGATTTGTAAGAACTTAAGGAAGATGGGGCGAGGCACAAGAAATCAGGAAGGATGACGGGGAATTGAGGACAGTACAAGAGCATGCTGAATGGGAGGCTCAAAGAATTCCTGGGCCAGATCAAAGATGGTGGTCACATAGTTATGGATGATGGTTATAAAAATTCTGGATCTAGACAGGTGCAGTGGCTCACGCCTGTAATCCCAGCACTTTGGGAGGCCAAGGCGGGTGGATCATGAGGTCAGGAGTTCAAGACCAGCCTGGCCAACATGAAACCCCGTCTCTACTAAAAATACAAAAATTAGCTGAGTGTGGTGGCGGGTGCCTGTAATCCCAGCTACTTGGGAGGCTGAGTCAGGAGAATTGCTTGCAACTGGAAGGCACAGGTTGCAATGAGCCGAGATGGCACCACTGTACTCCAGCCTGGGTGAAACAGCAAAACTCTGTCTCAAGAAAAAAAAAAAAATTCTGGATCTATGTCCCCAGGGAGGAACCAATGCGGGATAATGTCCTGCTAGCAATTGTTCCAGTGAAGTATCCAGAAGCAGTGTTGCCTCAGTGGGCAAACTCTAGCACCAAGACTGAGAAAAACATACGTCGATAGGCCTTTGATATTGTTATTGAAATTTTTGTCCTGATTATGCTGCAATGGCTCATTCATTCTTCTTCAATCATTGCATGAATGGCATCAGCATCCTACTGTTGATTTCAGTTATCTAAAATCAATGTTAGGAAGTCTCATTTATACACCCTAGGCATTTCAGTTGTCTGTCTTGTTTACTGCTGTCTCCTTTCTCCCAAGATTAGTGCATTAGACAGAGAAGGTGTTTGATAAGTATTTTTATATGAATGAATGAATAAATGAGGACTCTATGGACTCCTTGGTGGGTGGGAGAAGACAGAATATCACCTATTTATATGTCAGGGCCATAATAGAAAACATTAGAAATCTTCAAGTTGAATATGGAAGTAAAGGGTCATCCCAGTAATAATTTAATTTGGGCTCTTTTTTCCCCAACACATACACACATTCCTTCTCATCCCTCTCTTCCAAGTCCAGGTTGGCACAGTGTCCTTCTGCACTTTTATTCCTGAACTTCTTCAGAATGACCCCCTGGCTTACTCCATTTTATTCTACTGTCCTTTTAATTAGAACTTGCAAAATATCATTGCTTGAAAGTCCTGTAAACTGATTTACACTACCATAAAGTGAATTTAAGGTGCTATTTTGTATAGGTGTCAGAGGCATTAAGTTTTAATTAAAAAAAAGATAAATTTCAGCAGACATATATGAGGGCTTTGAGAAAAATACTTGATTAGGAAGTATATTCCAGAATCCTTTAAATATAGTGATTTTTAAATTTACCAGAATATGGAGTATCTTCCAGTTGGGGTATAAAAATAAACCTCAAAACGCAATGGCCTAAAATAAAATATTATTATCATGCACAATTCTGTGGGTGGACTAGGCCCAGGTGAGCAGTTCCCACTTATGGCCTCTCACATGGTAGGGCTTGGGTATGAGGACTTGACTACTAGATTTACAAAATGGCTCACTCATGAGGTTGGCAGTCATGCTGTCTGTCAATTGGGAGCTCAAGACCGGAGCTTCCACACGTGGACTCCTCTTAAAGTTTGGACTTTTCACGGCATTATGCTGTGGGCTTCTCCAAGCATAACACTTTCCAAAAGGTAAAGTCCTCAAAAGGAGCAGTCCATGAAGCTGAGGAGTGAACTTGGTGGAGAAATTTGGGACATGTCATCCCAATATATGCTACTTGGGTGTATTGATTATTTTGAACTGAAGGCTCTTGAAAAACATCAAATGCATAGAGGGGTTTCTCTGAACTCCCTTTATCTGCCTAAAGGTAGATCTTCACAAGGAACTCAACTGTTATAAGTCCCTTCCCCAGGAGTGTCAGAAACCAGAGAAAATTGACTTTTAGACCAGAAGTCAGCACCACAGCCATATATTTTGTCACAAACTATCTTATCTCCCATGTATTCTTCTAAGGGCCTACTTACTTTCCCCTAAGTTGCCTAAATCCTCCACTCCCCTTGCTCTATTAAAACATTATATGAACTCCCAAATCTCACCACCACTTAGGGGTATTCACTTTTTTGTGTGAAATGTCCCCATGAACATAATATTAAAAATTAACAAATTTGTATACCTTTTCTCCTGTTATTCTGCCTGTTGTTATTTTGTGTCTCAGATTCAGCTATCAAACCTAGGAGGGTAGAAGGAAAATCTTTCCTTGCCTAGATTAGCCTCAGAAGTTCCCAAACACCATTGTCACACAATTGTATTAACCAGGCAATAGAATCTGGCCTGATCCAAGGAGAAGGAAATTAGACTCCACCATTTGAGTTAGGCAGAATGTGAGTTTACAAAAGACAGGAATTGAATGGTGGCCATTTTTGATGGCAACACCTAGTACAAATAAACAACTTAATTTTTTACCAGTTCATCACTTGCATTTAGGATAACAGGTCTGACAGTGATTAGGATTACCAATTTGCTCATGAATGAATGTGTTAAAAAATCCAATTCCAGGCCGGGCGCGGTGACTCACGCCTGTAATCCCAGCACTTTGGGAGGCCGAGGCGGGCGGATCACCAGGTCAGGAGATCGAGACCATCCTGGCTAACACAATGAAACCCCGTCTCTACTAAAAATACAAAAAATTAGCCGGGCGTGGTGGCGGGCGCCTGTAGTCTCAGCTACTCGGGAGGCTGAGGCAGGAGAATGGCATGAACCCAGGAGGTGGAACTTGCAGTGAGCCGAGATAGCGCCACTGCCCTCCGGCCTGGGCGAAGGAGCGAGACTCCGTCTCAAAAAAAAAAAAAAAAAATCCAATTCCATTATATATTTTTTGGATTATCCTTTTAACAAATATTTATTGCAGACATAAAATGACAGAGCATATAGCATCTTGAAGTTTACAGTATAGGGAAAAAATGAAAAATCAACATGTTATCACTCAGAATTATTTACTTGTATCATTTGGTGATAATTCTTCTAGACGTACCTCTGTCTCTCTCTCTCTGTATATATAAATATGTTTACAATATTTTTCATGTATTTATATAATTTTATATCAATATACATGCTGTATAAATATACATACTATACTAATATTAATATACACAGTATACATAATATAAGCAAGCTATTTTATAACATTTTAAAAAAGAAATTATGTATTATATATTTCCATGTCAGTACAACTATATCAGTTTTGCACAATTGCTGTTCTTTGGGCCTCTGATGGTTCCATGGGCAGCTTAGCATTAGCAGAAGAAAAATAAATGGAATTAATTTGCTTGCATACATATTACAAACTTGAATTCTAAAATTGGTTGTGATTTTCATAGAAACCTTATTATGTTCTTAATAAAAATTAATGTTCTCAAGGTTTGTGCATATACTTAAGGGCTATGTTGATCACTTGTCTCAGTTTACATTAAATTAAGAGGTACAATTCCTAGCAAATTGTTTTCACAGTATTTGCATATTAATGTGTACATTTATTAAGTTTGCAAGGTTCGTCATTTCTGTTGTATTGCAATAGATGAATGGGTCAAAAGTGGTTCGCTGACCGGTAGAAGAAGTGACAAAAATAAAAACAACAAAACTACAACTCAGAATAGCATAATAATTCTAAGTCCACTAACCTAGTGTATTATTGTTTCACAGAAAACTTGGCTAGTCTCTTTATAACTGCAAGAGATGTACTTGAGCCGCCAGAAGTGGAAGACTCACAGGAATTGTTCAAAGGGTGCAGTATAAATGATTGAGGTTTTGGAAGTGCTTTAGTGCTGGTATTCCAAAGGTCTGTAAAGTGAACAGAAAGGTCATTGCATATGAGAAGAATGAATATTGGTAACACTGAGAATTGTGACAGGTATTTGGAGTGAGGAGGAATATTCTGAGGCAGATTCTGAAATTCAATTGCTTTGAATAATTTCTTCAGAACAATATTAAATAATACTAAGGGAAAAAATGTTTTATCCTAACTTTAATAGACATGCTTCTAGGTATTACCCTTAAACATGGTGCTAAGTGTTCACCTGAAATATGTCTTAAAAATCTTTTTAAGAAAATATTTTACTTCTATGTTTTAAAAAATCGGAAAAAAGTATTGAATTATTATCTATGCTTTCTTGGCATCTAGTTATAAGATAATGTTTTTTCTCTCTTGATCTTTTCATATTTATTAATATTTTAAAAAGTACTCTCTCAATACTACTTCCTATCTTTCTAGCTTTGTCCTTTTTCTTCCCCCAAAGCCACTACATCAAATATTTTTCTTTTTAGTCTTCTAAGTTGTTAATTCACTTTTATTATTCGAACTCTTCACTTATGCTTCCCTAGGTTTGTTCTCTTGTTTTTGATGAGATATAACTAAATTCCACATTATACCTAGGTTTCTGGGAGTAACAGAAGCACTTTTCTTTAAAAATGTCCTATTAATGCTTTTCCAAAAGAAAAAGTGATGATGCATACTAGCCATATTTAAATTTTAAAAAGTTTAATTAGTCTATAAAACTACTAGAAGAAAACTTTGGGGATGCTGCCTAGGACATTGATCTGGGCAAATAATTTTTTAGTAAGACCCGAAAAGCACAGGTAACAAAGACAAAAATAGAAAAATGGGATTACATCAAGCTAAGAAGCTGCTTCACAGAAAAGGAAACAATCAATGGAGTGAAGAGACAACCTGCAGAGTGGGAGAAAATACTTGAAAACTATTCATCTGAAAGAGATTAACAACAACCAGAGTATAAAAAAATCCATACAACTCAATAGCAAAAAAAAAAAAATCCAATTTAAAAATGGGAAGAATACCTGAATAGACATTTCTTAAAAGAAGACATACAAATGGCCAACAGGTATATGAATATATGTTCAACATCATTAGTCATCAGGGAAATGCAAATAAAACCACAATACAATATAATTTCACCCCAGTTAAAATGTCTTTTATAAAAAAGGCAGGGACTAATGGATGGTGGTGAGGATGTGGAGAAAAGGGAACCCTCACACAGTGTTGGTGGGAAAATAAATTATTACAGTCACTATGGAAAACTATGGGAGCTTTCTCAAAAAACTACAAATAGATGTACCATATGACCCAGCAATTCCACTACTGAGTATATATTCAAAAGGAAGGAAGTCAGTGTATCAAAGACAAGTCTGCACTCCCATGTTTATTGCAGCACCTTTCACAATAGTCAAAATATGGAATCAAACTAAGTACCCATCAGTGGATAAATGGATAAAGAAAATGTGGTATATATACACAGTATAATATTATTCAGCTATAAAAGGAATGAAATCCTGTCATTTGCAGCAGCATGGATGAAACTGGATGTCCCTATCTTAAATGAAATAAGCCAAGCACAGAAAAGCAAATGTCACATGCTCTCACTCACATGTGGGAGTTTATAAAGTGGATCTCATGAAACTACTGAATAGATCGTCAGTCACCAGAGGCCTGGAAAGGTAGAGGTGGGGATGAAGAGAGGTTGATTAATGGGTACAAATATGCAGTTTGATAGAAGAAATAAGACCTAGTATTTGATAGATCAGTAGGATGACTGTAGTTTACAATAATCTGTTATATATATTTTAAAATAGCTAGAAAAGAATAATTTGAATGTTTCTAACATTAAAAAGACAAAGTGATGGATATCCCAATTACATTGATTTGATCTTTACAAATTATATGAATGTATTAAATCATCATATGTACCTCCAAATAAATACATGAATAAATAAAATATCAAATGTGTCTCCCAAATATGTACAACTATTATATACCTATTTTTAAAATTTTTAAAAAATTAGTGATAATAATTTGAAAACATGAGATCACTCTATATTCAATGGAGGGAAATCACACACACACACACACACACACACACACACACACACACACACACGTTTTCCTCTTATTACATCAAGCAAGCATATAGTTAAACCTGGTCTTACGGATACATTTTTTGACTGATTAATGTTTTTTGAAGGTGTTTGATTATTTTCAGTTTCCTTATTAGCTTAAAAGAAGGCATTTTATATTATAGGAACATAAAAAAAAATTATCCATGGGTCTAGGGGTAGGAGTCTTTGTCTTACTTCTTTCCCAGTAATCCAAACTAGGTAAAAGTATTCCATGCTTTACTTTAACCAGAAAAATTCTATTTTTAAATTCTACAATCTCATGCTCACTTATACATTTAATGTTTACCTTTAAAAAATATTCATTCCCTTTGATTTATTAGTCAATGTTTAAAAGGCTGTATTTTTCCCATTAGTATAACGTTAGTCACAATCCATGTGTTTTGATGTTTAGTATTCTTCTTATAATTATTATCTAAATATTTAGAAATTGAGGTCTTATATTCCTCTTAGCCCCAATATTACTTGAAGAAAAGACATTTCTAAGTGGTTGCATTTTGGTTGTTAATATAGTTTCTTATTTGTAGATTAATTACACTGTCATCAGAGATGTACTTTGCATTTCACTTTAGGGAATTACTTGACATTTTCTTTATAGCCTAATGCAGGGTCAATGTTTGAAATTTTTATAAGCAGTTTTAAAAAGGATATTCTTTATGTAATATAAAATTTTCCTTTATAGAACTATTTGAACAATCATCTATTTAGATATCTATTGCCTCTTGAGTTATCTTTGCTTACTTGTTTTATCAAAGACTGAAAGACATGTCTTAAATTATCTTTCTAGTAGTATGTTTTTCTGCTTCTTTTATTTTCAGTAGGCTTCACTCATATATTTCAGCTGCAAAGTAATTTTTATCTACCTCAATTACTAGATTTTCCTCACTTTGGGATAAAAATAGAACTATTTCTACCACAAGCCCATGGGCACTTTCAGGAGAAACACTAAGCCTTACTTTATTTGTTCTTTAATCTTTAGTGGCATCATGTCTGGAAAACAATAGACAAGAAAAGTTTAAATACTTGGGAATGGCAATATTCTAGCAAATAATGTTATGTAGGGTGGACAACACTACCCTTAGAGTTTACACTCCGATAAGGAAATAAGGCACAAAGCACATTTGCCAAGTGATTAATTTTCTTCTTACATGAAGAACCAGTATTCAGGGTCCAAGTATCTTTCATTTATACCTTCTGTCTAGAACTCCTTTTTTTAAATGATGTGCACAAAAAGTCTTATTTCATGAAAGTAAGTATGTAGACTTATAGTAAACTTTATTTTAAGTAAACTCACAATAATATTTTCCAATTTTAAAAGAGTAAAATCTTCACCCTCTAAAATACAACGATGTCTTATTTGAGGAAATGCAACATCAGAATCTATCATTTATCCAGCCTACTTTTATCTAGAGTATAAATTATTCTTTTGGAAATTGTTCAAAACCATTGATATATTGCCACAATTTTACTCATTATTCAATATTTACCCACTATGTGCCAGAATCTGTTAAAAATTATGTATCTTGAGCATATTAAACAGAAGATACAGCAGAGCTCAGCTTAATATTAACTGCTATTTCCCTTTCCTTGGACTCTTACCAAGACTTTGGGAAAAGTCGTAATTTGTTTTTAGCAATATATCTGCACTGTTTAACTAACACATACCTAACTTATTTATGAGGTACAGCCAATACGTTAGGTTCTTGGCAATTAACCATAAAACTTTGTAACTGGATGAACATAACATACAATAAATAGTTTGGACTTGAAATCTAGCAAAAGCTTTTTTACACATCTTTTGCAAGGTATGGAAAAGATGGACACATCAATTAAGAGTGCTTCCGGCTGCATGGGACAGTAACAAGTGCACAGTGGCTTAACAAAATTGGTTTATTTTTTACACGTAACAAGCAGTGGGAAGTTTGTCTTTGAATTGTCTTCTTTATGATGCTGTTAATGTCCTGGATCCTTTTACCTTTCTGATGTGCCATCTTTAGTGAGAGTTTTTCTTCAAGTTGTCATTTAATCACAAAATGGCTGAGGCATTCTCAGCATACTGTCTGCTTTGCAAACAAACAAACAAAAGGCAAGAAAGCAGAAAGGACTGGCACCTGTATCAGAAAGAGCAAAGCTTTCCCGGAAAGTCTCAGCTTATATCTCATGGCCAAAATCAACTAGCGAGTGCACTTCTAGCTGTAATCATCTAGCAAGTGCACTCCTAGCTGTACAGGATTCTAATGAGCTGAAGGTTTTTAGGTGGGTATGTTGCCATCGTGAACAATATCAGATTTTCTTAGGAAGAAGGAGAAAGGTCTATTTGGTAATCGTTAGTTTTCCACAGGGACTTTTCTTTCATATGGGATAGATCACTGCCTAGCATTAGGTAAATATTTCTATCTATGCCCTGATAGAAACAGACAGGCAAAGCTTCTGTGACCCTGCAGAGTATTTTTATGAGAATTCAAAAATGTGCATGCTGAATGAATGCAGCCCCATATTAGAGCATATAGCTTGGCAAATGGAGCCTGACAATTATCGCAGCCCCTACTTACCTCTTGAAGATACCTTCGTGCAGTGAACATCCTGCACAGCTGTAAACAGAAGCACTAGGGACAGGACAGAGGTAAAGTAGAAGGAGATGATTAGTGATTGCATTTGGTTTCTTTGACATAGATTCTGTTGTTCCTAACTGCTTTGCCGTTGTTCTTTTGGAAGCAAGGGTTACCATGCTCAAAAACTACTAAGTGTTAGCAGTGACTGCAAAGTGCATGTGAGACATATTTAGAATTCTTAAGGAAATTTTCCTGATTCCTACTAAATTTTTGACAGCCGATGAAAAAAAGGAAAGCAAACAAATCTACTTCTTAAAGATATGTAAACAAAACTGCAAGATATCAAAAGAGTTGTCAATAAATGGGTTATTAAATTAATGTAAGTAGTTATAATAATTATTATGGGAGTATGCAAAAGGCATATCCAAAGAAGACAATATTGTTCTGTGCAACTGGAAGGATGTAGTTAACGCTGCTGAAAAGGAGAATACAGAGGCTATTTTCATCCATCCTACTGTCTTTCTGCTGGATTTAGGATAGTTTTTTTCCTCATTGTGGAATAATTTAACAATCCCAAAAGAAAGCGCACATGATATCTCTCAGCTATGATTCTATTTACTCCATCTCTCCTATTTCATCATGATAAAGGCTCTGTCGCCGTCATTCTAAACGTGATGGTGTTTGCAGACCGTGAGATATGATCTCTCTTTAAATAGAATGCTTGCCAATCATCCTTAACTGTTTTCTCTTAAGGTATTTTGTCTTTTAGGCAGGGTTATCAAAAGTAAGCTCTGCTCTTTCTTTGAAGGTGCCAGATCTTATATTACCTCATTACTCCTCATTCTGTCTCCACTTCAGCTCTGGATGTTTTGCCCTATTTTTTTGAAAGGCAAGTTTAACAACTGGAATACATTCTGAGTAAGGAAATAGCCTTCAAGATGCACACTTTATTAAAACATCCTATCAAGCATCATAGAAGAGACTTGAAGTCATCTGGTTAAGTTTTTATCTCACTTTGATCATTTGTCAAACCATTGATGGTCATTTTTCTTGTTAATATTTTAACACAGTTTATACAATTATTCTTTTTTATTTTATTTTCAAACTTTTATTTTAGGTTCGGGGTACATATGCAGGTTTGTTCTATAGGTAAATTCATGTCACAAGGGTTTGATATACAGATTATTCTTTCACCCAGGTACTAAGCCTAGTACTCAATAATTATTCTTTCTATTCCTCTCCCTCCTCCCAACTTCCACCCTCAAGTAGGCAACTGTATTAGTCTGTTTTCACACTGCTATAAAGAACTACTGGATACTTTGCAATTTATGAAGAGAAGAGCTTTAATTGACTCACAGTTCTGTAAGCTTAACAGGAAGCACAACTGGGAGGCCTCAGGAAACTTACAATCATGACAGAAGGAGAAGAGGAAGCAAGGCACATCTTCCCATGGCAGAACAGGAGACAGCACTAGTAAAAGGGGAAGTGCCAAACACTTTCTATTATTATTATTATTATTATTATTATTATTATTATTATACTTTAAGTTCTAGGATACATGTGCCAAACATGCAGGTTTGTTACATAGATATACATGTGCTATGGTGGTTTATTGCACCCATCAACCCATCATCTACATTAGGTATTGCTTCTAATGCTATCCCTCCCCTTGGCCCCACCCCCCAACAGGCCCCAGTGTGTGATGTTTCCCTCCCTGTGGCCATATGTTCTCATTGTTCAACTCCCACTTATGAGTGAGAACATGCGGTGTTTGGTTTTTTGTTGCTATGTTAGTTTGCTGAGAATGATAGTTTCCAGCTTCATCCATGTCCCTGCAAAGGACGTGAACTCATTCTATTTTATGGTTGCATAGTATTCCATGGTATATATGTGCCACATTTTCTTTATCCAGTCTATCACTGATGGGCATTTGGGTTGGTTCCAAGTCTTTGCTATTGTGAATAGTGCTGCAATAAACATATGATATGTGCACATGTGTCTTTATAGTAGAATGATTTATAATCCTTTGGGTATATGCCCAGTAATGGGATTGCTGGGTCAAATGGTATTTCTGGTTCTAGATCCTTGAGGAGTCACCACACTGTCTTCCACAATGGTTAAACTAATTTACACTCCCACCAACAGGTGCCACACAATTTCAAACAACCACATCTTTTGAGAACTCACTCACTATCATGACAGCAGCAAGGGAAAAGTCCGCCTCACATTGTTCAGTCACCTCCCACCAGGTCCCTATCCCAACACATGGGGATTGCAACTTGAGATGATTTGGGTGGGGAAACAGAGGCAAACCATATCAGCCACAGTGTCTGTTTTTCCCTTCTTTGTGTCTCTGTATTCTCATCATTTAGTTCCCACTTATAAGTAAGAACAGGCGGCATTTGTTTTTCTGTTCCTGTGTTGCTTTGTTAAGGATAGTGGCCTCCAGCTCTACCATGTTCCTGAAAAGGACATGATCTCATTCTTTTTTATGGATGCATAGTATTCCATGCTGTATATGTACCACATTTTCTTTATCCAGCCTGTCATTGATGGCCATTTAGGTTAATTCCATGTCTTTGCTATTGTAATAACGCTGCAAAGAACATACATATGCATGTGCCTTTATGACACAATGATTTATATTCCTTCGGGTATATACCCAGTAATGGGATTGCTGGGTCAAATGGTAGTTCTGTTGTTAGGTCTTTGAGGAATCACCACACTGCTTTTTACAATGATGGAACTAATTTACACTCCCAAAAACAGTGTATAAGTGTTCCCTTTTCTCTGCAACTTCACCAGCATCTCTTGTTTTTTTACTTAAGTAATAGCCATTTAATAATAGGTTTTCATTTGCATTTGCATTTCTCTAATGATCAGTGATATTGAGTTTTTTTCATATGCATATTGGCTGTATGTATGTGTTCTTTTGAAAAGTGTCTGCTCATGTCCTTTGCCCACTTTGTAATGAGGTTTGTTTTTTTTTCTGTACATTTGTTTAAGTTCCGTATAGATGCTGGATATTAGATCTTTGTCAGATGCATAGTTTGCAAATATTTTCTTCCATTCTGTAAGTTGTCTGTTTATTCTGTTAATAGTTTCTTTTGCTGTGCAGAAGCTCTTTAGTTTAATTAGATCTCATTTGTCAATTTTTGCTTTTGTTGCACTTGCTTTTGGCATCTTTATCATGAAATTTTTGCCCATGCCTATGTCCAGAATGGTATTGCCCAGGCTGTCTTCTAGGATGTTTATAGTTTTTGCTTTTACGTTTAAGGCTTTAATCCATCTTGAGTTAATGTTTGTATATGGTGTAAGGAAAAGGTCTAATTTCAATCTTCTGCATATGGCTAGCCAGTTATCACAGCCCCATTTATTGAACAGGGAGTTCTTTCCCTACTGCTTGTTTTTATCAGCTTTGTCAAAAATCAGATCACTGTAGGTGTGCAGCCTTATTTCTGGGCTCTCTATTCTGTTCCATTTGTCTATGTGTCGTTTTGTACCACTACCATGCTGTTTTGGTTACTGTAGCCCTATAGTATAGTTTGAAGTTGAGCAGCTTTGTCCTGCTTTGTTCTTTTTGCTTAAGATTTCCTTGGCTAGTCAGGTTCTTTTGTGGTTCCAGATGATTTTTCAAATAGTTTTCTTCTATTTCTATGAAGAATATCATTGGTAGTTTGAGAGGAATAGCATTGTATCTATAAATTGCTTTGGGCAGTATGGTATTTTAAGGCTATTGATTCTTTATATCCATAAGCATGGAATTTTTTTTCCATTTGTTTGTGTCATTTCTGATTTCTTTGATTAGTGTTTTGTAATTTCCATTGTAGAGATCTTTCACCTCCTTTGTTGGCTGTTTCCTAGGTATTTTATTCTTTTTGTGGCAACTGTGAATGGGATTGCATTCCTGATTTGGCGCTCAGCTTGACTGTTGTTGGTGTATAGGAATGCTAGTGATTTTTGCATATTTATTTTGTATCCTGACACTTGGCTGAAATTGTTTATCAGTTTGGCTTTTGGGCCAAGGCTGGAGTTTTCTAGATATAGAATCATGTCATCTGAAAACAGGGATAATTTTACTTCATCTCTTCCTACTTGGATGTCCTTTATTTCTTTCTCTTGCCTGATTGCTCTGGCCAGGACATTGTTAAATAGGAGTGACGAGAGAGGGCATCCATCCTTGTCTTGTGTTGGTTTTCAAGGGGAATGCGTCTAGCTTTTGCCCATTCAGTATGATGTTGGCTGTGGGTTTGTCATAGATGGCTCTTATGATTTTGAGGAATGTTCCTTCAATACCTCGTTTGCTGAGAGTTTGTAACATGAAGGGGTGTTGAATTTTATCATAAGCCTTTTCTGCGTGTATTGAGATGATCATGTGATTTTTGTCTTTATTTCTGTTTATGCGATGAATCATGTTTATTGATTTGCTTATGTTGAACCAACCTTGCATCCCAGGGATAAAACCTACTTGTTCAAAGTGGATATACTTTTTGATGTACTAATGGATTTTGCTGATGTGCTGTTGACATTTGTTACTCAATATTGAATAATTATTCAATAATTAAACTTGAATAATTTATTCAAGATGTATTTTGTGCTGTGCATTTGTCAAGGCACTGGTGAATAACTAAGGAGTAACAAGTCATTTTTATGCCTGGAGGCAGATTATGTAAATTTAGCTATCTTTTACTGTGGTTGATTATGGATTAGTTAACGGGAATAGAAATGGCAAAATAAAAGAAACGTCAACAAGAATGGAACTTAGCCTGAAGTTGTTTTGTTTTACCTACAAATTTAACTTAGCTTCAAACTGGGCTTGGTCCAAGAAATTGGCATAAGGCTGAGCCAACAGTCAGGAGATCAAGCATTGAAAAGTAGAGAGACAGAGAATCTAGGACATATAGAAGACATTCTTTTCATTTCTGCAACTGTACTTATAAACATAAGCTGAATTCATGTTTCCACCACTTTCAGTTCCACACTCCTTATCACCCACCTACATGTATCTTTACTTCTCCCACTCATCAGTGAGTCATTCAATCAGTATTTCATAATGTCTATGCTGTGTATATCATTGTGCTTGGACCTAATGGATATATTAATATAAAGGGTTGTATGAAAAGGAATACATTTCTGTGTACCAGGTGATCTTTCAGATCCATAGAAACATAAGAAATGTATGTAAAAAAGTAAATATGGCATAAGAAGTAACTCTTAAGAATCCAGAAGAGGAAAAATCCTTTGTCTAAAGTCATCAGGTCATTTTGAGGAGAAGGTGGCATTTGACTTCGGTTTTTCAATAACAAGTAGCAAAGAAAGTTGTTACGTGTATCATGTGGTGTAAGAGAGATCTAAGGTAGAAATTAGAACTGGAAAGATATCAAAGAGGAAAGCACCAGGCTTGTTATGAAGAATGGCAAGTTGTCTAATTGGGTTGAAACATAGCATATGTTGAGGGAGTAATGAGAATTTCAAAAGTTAAATTTCCTCAAGATTATAAGGTGTTGTAAATGCCAAAATATAGAATTTATAATTTATGTTTTGGAAGCAGTAAGAATCCATTAATGATTCAAGAACAGAAAAATAATATAATTAAAATGTATTAATAGGACAAAAATTGTCATTGATGCAAGATGGAACAAAAGTTAGGAGACTGTTGTCACAGTACATACATGTACTAAAATGTTGACAATGGGAACAAAGAAAAGGACAGATGTGAAACTTGTTTAAAAAAACAGAAGTATTTTGTAAGTGAGCAGATGTGAGAGATAATGAAGAATTGAGTCAGGGGCATACTCAGAAAGTGAAAACATCATGAAAGGAAGAGAGAAGGAGAGAATTAAAAGGAAACCTTGGGGAAGCAAAGAGGCAGAGAAAGTGACAGCAGAAAAGGAAGAGAATAACTAAGTCAGTATTATGAAATGAAAGATGAAGAAAGGGAAGTTCTCAATAAGAAGGGATATTTGCTGTGTCAACTCCGACTGAGATGTCAAGTAAAATCAAGTTTAAGAATAAATCGTGTTGGTGATTTGCAGGTGATTTATCAAACATACAGTTGGATAGAACAAATAAGCCCCAGTATTCAATAACAGAGTACGATAACTATACTTAGCAAGATTGTACTGTATATTTTAAAGTAGCTAGAAGAGAGGACTTGAAATGTTACCAGCACATAGAAACAATAAATACTCAGGGTGATAGAGACCTCACATACCCTGACTTGATTATTATACATTCTGTGCATGTAACAAATCACTCGCGTGTGCTCCATAAATATGTAAAATGTTTTGTATCAATAAAAAATAGTTTTAATAGATTGGTAGGGACAGAAAAGAGGAAGCAAGAGTTTTAAGAGTGAATCCACCAAGAGTACAAGCACTGAGCATCAACTACTATTTTATGAAGGTGCTAAATAAGAAGGGTTTTAAAAAGAGTTTGAGAAACAAGCTAGGTTGAAGTAAATTTTGCTTTATTTTTGATAAAGCATATTTGTAGACTGAGATGAAGGAACCACTGGAGAAGAAGATGCTGAAGAATCAAAACAGAATCATAGTCCTAAGCAAAGTTCATTATGAGGCAGGAAGGTGAAGAATTTAGCCTCAGACATGAGGAGGGGTGCCTGTTCCTCTGAAATCTACAGAAATGGGACACAGAAATCTGGATATAGAGAGAAAGATATGATGAAAATAACCTGGAGATAAGAGACGATACAGGGAAAGGCCTTTGATTGGATGGCTTTGGTCTTCAGTAATGTAGAAGAATGAGATAGACTAGAGGGAGCATAAGAATGTCTTTCAGTAATCATTGTGATGGACATGTTCAGAAGATTGCAGAGCATCATTAGACAAATAATGTTTATTCACTATTACAGCATGCCAAACATATACCCAGTATTTTACATACATTATGCTGTTGAATACTTTCCATAAACCTACAGGATATGCATTATTGTCTGCATTTTAATTTATTTTCATTCCTTCATTTTTATTGATATAAATATTTATGGTTCTGAATTTTTCTCCTATATTTGCTTTTAACTTGTAAAGTTTCTATATCATGATTTTAAAGAACTTATATAATTTAAATCTTAATAGTAATTTATTTAAAAAAAACCCTAGTGGAAAATCTTGGCTTTTTGTTATTAATTTTTAGTTTTTTCTTATTTTATTCAGAAAGTGCTGTTTGTAGCAATTCTACTTTATACTTTATGCAACTTATCAATGCTTTCTTTACAATCTAAGATTGATTTTGTGACTATTTCTTAAGGTCTTAAGATAAAGTTATGCTCTTTATTACTAGAGGGCAACACAGTGTGACTTTGTGTTTGCAAGAAAAAAAACGAGCCCGGTGTGGTGGCATGCACCCGTAGTCCCAGCTACTCAGGAGGCTGAAAGGGGAGGATCATTTGAGGCCTGGAGGTCAAGGCTGTAGTGAGCCGAGATTGTGCCACTGCACTCCAGCCTGGGTGACAGAGTGAGACCCTGTCTCAAACAAAAAACAATCAAAAGCAGTGTATAAATTTCAATATATACTAATAAAATATACCTTATTGATTATGTTATTAATACCCATATCTTTAATTATTTTTGACCCACTTGGTCTTTTACTGAAATTAGAATTTAAAATCTCTTACAATAAGCTTTTCTCTCTATCTCCTTTACTCTCTTGTAGTTTCTGCTTTCAAAGATGATTGCCATATTATTTTGTACATAGATATTAGAGTCTATCATGTATTTATTATGAATTGTAGCTTTCACGTTAAAAAGCTTCTTTCTTTTTCAGGTTCCTTTTCAAGCTTTCTGGCTTCTAATTTGACTTACGTGATATAAATATTACAACCCTGGTTTTCTTATTGTTTCCATTTGACTGGTATAACTTTGATTTTTACTTTATTTTCAGCCTCTTTGAATCACTTCATTTTAGGTGTGTCTCTTATACACAACATATAAGGGATAATTGCTTTGTGAACCAAATAGAGATATTTTTCATTAACTCTGTAAGTTAAATCTATTCTCATTTATTGGTATGACTAATATTTTTAAATTTAACTGTCATAATTGCTATATGTATTATTTTATATTTTCTGTGTTTCTTTAAATAATGTGTTTTCTTTGCTATTTTTAAAAATATTTTTATATTTAGGAAGTTTTATATTTTTGTTTCAGATGTTACCTTTATAATTGCATACAGTTTAGCTATTGTGAATAATGTTGCTATAAATGTTAGTGTATAACTATCTGTTAAAGACCCTTCAATTCTTCTAGGCATATATTCAAGAGTGGAATTGCTGGATCATAGGGTAATTTTTTTTATTTTTTGAGGAACTACCATGCAGCTTCCACAGTGGTTGTATCATTTTACATTCCCACCAACATTGCTCAAGGATTCCAATTTTTCCACATCTTTGCCAGTACTTATTTTTGGTGTTTCTGATAGTAATCATCCCAAAAGATGCAATAATATTTCCTTGTGGTTTTGATTTGCATTTTTCTAATGATTATTGATGTTAATTATCTTTTCATGTACTTATTGTCCTGGCCATTCATGTATCTTCTTCTTTGGAGAAGGTCTATTCAAGCCCTTCGCCCACTTTTAAATCAAGTTGTTTTATTTTTGTTGTTGAGTTTTAGGAGTTTTGTATGTTTTCTTGATATTGCATTGTTTTCTCTCTTTTATGAGCATTTCTTCCTTTCTCCACCCTTAAATTAATATTTCTGTAAGTGTGGTCTGCAAACTATGTAATCAGAATTACTTGGGATATATGTTCAGAGTGTAAAATCTCTAAACTCACCACTCTACCTACTAAATCAGAGTCATAGATTAAAGATCTTGGACAGTGCGTTTTTACACACATTCTGGGTAGAACCTACAAGCCTTCAAATTTGAGAACTGTTTCTTTAAATGTTGGCTTTTCCAGGGTCCTCTCATGGTTTAAATCCCACCTGCTGATATGCTGACAACTTTCAAAAGTATTGTTTTCCATCCTGATTTCTATTTTCACATGTCCAGCAGGTCTAGACATCTCAAAGTCAAAATTTTATGGAAATAAACTTATTATCTTTCCCCATAAATTTCTCCTTCCATCTTTAGTCTCTATTAGCACTATAATCCATCTAGTTACTGGAATTAAAAACTTGAAAATTAGAAAACTGGAAATAATTCTTGACTTTCCCCTCTCCTTTGCCTCTCTTCCCAGCCAATTAATACATTCAACTGATTTTACCTTCAAGCACTTATTCATTTTTTCACTTCTCAGCCTCCAGTATCATTGATCCAGTAATATGGATGTCTTTGCTGGGCCATCTCTTCTCTCTTTTTTTTTAAAGCACTCTCATTACAGCCTCTAGTTTGGTTTATCTATATGCAACATATATCAGTTCAGGTTCCAACAGGAAACAATGAGCATTTTAAAGTAGGACAATTCATGGAAGCTTTTTTCATACAGAGACAATTTCCAGAGGTTTGCATGTAGGGCAACCGCAACAGACAGTGTGATAGTCCGACCAAGGTATTATGACCTCTTGGCTTTATGGGATGAGGTGAGGAAATTGATTACTGGAATATGGGAAAATTAAATGGGTACGGCTGACTGCTTTGAAAGAAGCAAAGATATTTGAATAATCAAGAAATGCACCAACTCAAGATGCCCTCTTGAGCTGGTGTGTTTGATGCCCTCTTAAGCTGGGTGGAAGCCAGATAAATACTCTGACCTCACTCCCGACCTCATTCTGATCTTCCAACTAGGATTCCCATTGCCCAAACCCAACTGGAAATCAGAAGGCATGAGAACCCGCGATGTAGTCTGTACAGGTCACTCTTCCAGGGCAGAGCACAGAGTTGAGATGGGTGAAGAATGGATCTGGAAGGGCAGTGGAACAATGAGCACACAGATCTTAACAGTGTAGCTCCAATGCTTGTAAACATTTCGATTCTTTAATATCTTATTAGGAAAAAATTTTTTCTTTAAAATGGAACACAAAGTATACCTCATTGCCTCATTGCTTTTTTCAGCCTGGCAGTCTCTGCCTGGTTTACCAGGTTACAGAATGCAAACTGCTTATAGCTCCATATTCACCCCTTAGTCTGTCTTGCCTCCATGATTTTGCTCAGGACTTTACTTTTAGAGGAAATGCTATCTTTGTCATTCCAATTTCTCCCAAGAAACATCTCAGTTATATCCCTGACTAATATCCCTCTCCCTATCTTTTACAAACATTCTGACTTGGCTAGTTACTCCCACTCATTACTATGTAAATCTCTCAATCATTGCATTTACCACATTGTTTCATTATTATCTATGTGTATTTCTCCCTAACCAGACTCTGAATTCTTTCAATAAGACTAATCATCTTATGTGTGTTTATAGTCACAAGGCTGAGCCTAGTGCCTCTTTGTTGAAAGAAAAAAAAATGAGCTAGTAATTTCTCTCTGTCTCATCTCTCTTGCTATGCATGTGCTAATAGTCAAAAGAATCACTTTCAGATTTCTAACAAATGGTGTGCGTCTAAGTACCTCTCAGAGGGGCTGAAGGCAGCATTAATATTGAAGTGGTAAGTAATGGCCAATTTTGTTTCCCCTGTAATGGAAATTGATGGAAGGAAAGTTCACTGTGGATAATTAGATTGATTTTAGTTTTACCACTTTAATATCCAGACAGTTCTTGAAAGTGATTGTTGTAATTACAGAATGACAAGCTGATGCAGAAAGCCATTCTTTATTTTTCTCTCCGCAATCTAGATTCATTGTGCTGGTAAAAAGACTTTCTTAAATCTCCTTACTCCTCATTTTCTGCATACCTTCCCCAAAAGTGTTGTTTTTTTATTTGTAATTAACATCTTATCAGTATATATTGAAACATGGGAGATTGAGGCTATAATAAGGGCACACAGAGTCAATCATTGTACCAAACAATTTTCATTTAATGTCTATAGGGTATATACCTTGAGTATAATCTGATATACTAAGAAGCATAAGGCAAATTTCTAGTCTACATTCTAGAAACTCACACTAAAGTTGCCTCTGTAAAAAGAAGTGGGTATTAGAGGGGAGATACATTTTCACAAATCCTGTTTTATTCTGGAATACTTTTTTTCCAAAGCTTGCTTTTTTTCCTGATGACTGATTTTTTTCTATTCTTTCTGCCCTTGGGGAACAGGTGGTACACCAAGTGTCATGTAGACACTGTTAATTTGGAGAGAGAGCTGTGCATATCTCAGAAAGGTTTTAGAATATAGGGGAATATTTGCCAGCCATTAATGATATTTAGAATGGCTAGAGCATCTCATTCATTATAATGCTCTTCCTGTCAAATAAAGTACCAAGGAAATAAATGCTGGCATCAATACCACGATCAATTATTTTTTATGATGACAGTGTTCTAGGT
Source organism: Homo sapiens (assembly GCF_000001405.40). NCBI lineage: Eukaryota > Metazoa > Chordata > Mammalia > Primates > Hominidae > Homo > Homo sapiens. Next base: position 44,557,325 of record NC_000004.12, on the reverse strand, counting down.
GCTATTAAAATTTTAGTTCAAAACAGAAAATTCTTATTCACCTGCCATTTCTCTTTGCCATGGTGCAAGGCAATAAAAATATGGTTTATGAAGGATCTCATCTCTCATTTATACTGGGCAGCAAAACAAATGGAGGAAGGAAAACAGGAAGATCACTTAGGAAATAATAAAATAACTTCTGTGAATAGAAATGAGAATAAGAAATCACAATATAAGACATTGTGATATCCTTGAAGATTGAATTTGTATTCTCCATTGTTTCTGGCACAATACGTTGCACATTGCTAATGCTTAGTAAATTTTTGTTGAATCAAACTTAATTAATTCCAAGCATATATTTCTGCACTTCAAAAATTGTTCATGAGGAAGTCCCAGGAAGGAGTATATTGATTTAAGCATCAAATTGTATGCTGACATTTGTGCAAATATATTTCCTAAATTATGCAATACCTCATTAAAGGTAATTATGTTTGGGTTTTAGTGAATTAAAAAGAAAATACATATATATATATATACATATATATATACACACACACACACACACACACACACATATATATATATATATATATATAACATTTTCTCCACACAAAGACCACACAAATTTTATTCTACATCAAAGGGTCTGATAATTTAACCAGTTTGTCAGTGTAAGGAATTGGATGCACTACAGTGCCTTTTTCTTGCTGATGTCCTATAGAAGCTTGTTCACATGGTTTTGCTATAATTAAAGTTTAAAATGGGTAATCCAATACTTAGAAATAACATTAGCTTTTAAGAAAGTAAACTATACTTTTTAGGAGTATAGACACTGGAGTTAAAATAATGCAAGTGGTTTCCACCCAGGCTGTGCTGCTTACTAACTATGTGACCTAAGGATATGTCACTTGGTCTCCTAAGCATTAATTTCTTCATTTGACTATGCAGATAGTAACACTATTCAAATTACAGTTTTATAAGTATCAAATGAGATCATGTATACAAAATTCTTTCCATGCTCTTTGACAGATAGTAAGTAATCTATAATTGATAGCTATTAATATTAATAATAATCATGGAAAATTAACTTGCAAAAGGGCAATAATTTAAATGGATTACTGAAAGCTTTTCTCTAACAAAAAGTGAGGCTGTAACTTAAGATAAAAACTGACTATTCCAATATGTCTAAAGACCTTGAAGAGTCAAATGTAATTAATAGAGTCTAAAACGAACATTTGTCAACAAAGATAATGGGAAGTAAAAAGCGCCATAAGCAGTGCTCATCCAGAAACAGGAGAGGAAGAGCCACTGTGTCCTGGACTCCCCTCCTCTCTCTTTTAGTGGTCAGCTTATATCCAAGCATCATTTCCTTCAGTAGGCTTTTCCTGTCTCTCTAGATTAAATCCCTCATATGTGTGTTTTCTGCATTATAGCTATTTGAGGTTCAGGTTATCCAACAATTAAATCTCTACTTCCCCACTTGAGTTCTGAATCAAATGAGAATTAGATAAAAGATTATAGCAGGTGGAGGCAAAAGTACCACCCCCATTACTAATAAAGTGAATTTTGGAGAATGTAGCTTATATTTGCTAGTAAATGGACTTTCTATCCTGAACTGCAAAATTGGGGCTATCAATAGTTACACAGAGTGATGGATGCTTGAGCAGTCTTGTCCCAATGCATGGCAGAGGAGAGCAAATGGGGGAGAATAAGTAGGAATTGGGGGTTATGCATACCCAATTTTCTTATTCTAAACTAACCTCTGAGAAAATGTACTCCTCCTCCCTAGGAGACAAGTGAGTGAGAAGACAGGAACAATCCAGCTTTTGTTCATGGAAAATCCAGGTTAAGCTCCCTCCACAGGGAAGGAAATATTAGAAATAGGAAGTAAGTGCTCCCTAGCCAGGTTTCTCCAGAGTAACAGAGCCAATAGGATGTGTGTGTATAAACTAAACATATGTATAAAGAAATTCATTACAAGGAATTGGCTCACGTGATTATGGAAGTAGGCAAGTCCCAAGATCAGCAGGGTGAGCCAGCAAGTGGGAGATCCAGGAAAGTTGAAGGCTTAGTTCTCATCAAAGTTCAAAGGCCTCAGTATTAGGAGAGCCAATTGTGTAGTTTTCATCCAAAGGCGAGCACACTGAGAACCAGGAAGAGCTTATGTTGCCGTTCAAGTTCAAAGGCAGAAAAAAAGCCAGTGTCCTGGTATAAAGGATATCAGGCAGGAGAAATTGTTTCTTACTCAGGGGGAGTTCAACCTTTTTGCTCTATTAGCTCTTCAACTGACTGTTTGAGGTCCATCCATACTAGGAAGGGCAAACTGCTTTATTTAGTCTACTGATTTAAATGTTAATGTCATGCAAAAATTCCCTCTCAGAAACACCCAGAATGTTTGACCAGACAGCTGGTTACTGCACAGCTCAGTTGCATTGACACATACAATTAACCATCACAACCCACCCGACTCCAAGCGATAACAGCCGTCATATATTATCATAGTTATTTGATACATTTCTTATTATAATTTAAGCATTGTTAGGGGAAAACGTCGATTTGACTGATTTATTACTATATTACCAGCACCAAGCAAAAGAATGACTTATGTTAGGTGCTCAATAGATATTGAGAAATAATTAAATGAATGAAAAATACATTCACCAGCTCAGATTTCTTGACTGCTACAACTCTACCATGGTATTGTATACATTAAGCTGTTACAAACCATATTATTAAATGTTTAAATAATATTATGTTATCATTGTGCATACAATGTGCAAGAAACTGTGTAAGCATTATACAGTTTCAATTAACTCATTCAAATAACTCATTCAATTATCACACAACAATCCTAGGGGTAGGTATTATCATTATCACTATTTTACAGAATTGTGAATTAAGACATAAAGTGGTTAGTTTTCCAAAGGTGAATAATGGTAATCACAGAGCAAATCACTCTGATTCAATACTTGCCACAAATCTGGAGGGAATGAGTGGGTCACAGATATGATCACTTTGTTTTACTTGTAAATTAACATACTCATAACAAGGACATCCTTGGTGGACTTCTGTCCCTAAGACTAAGGGTTCTTTTTTTCTGACTTGTCTATATCAAATTTCTGAGACAGCCAGATAAGAAGTTTATTGGTCTTGTTTACCTAGCTGATATGTCTCTATGAGACCTCTAGATGTCCAACTAGACAGCTTTTCTGTGACACAGAAAACAGTGACGTAGCTGTTTCTTTCCAGGTCCCAATAAAACATTAAACTCTCTGAATAGTTTATCTGTCTCTACAAATCTGTCTCTTCTACTGTAGGACTGAATTCATTAAAGGAAAGACTGCATCTGATTAATCTCTATAGCAGCAGTGCCTTATGTGGAACCCAAGACAGGGAAGTTATTCTCTGTCTTATTCAATTAAACTCTGCTTCAGTGAGTGAGGCATCCATATTCCCCAGTCTGAAATTGGTGTCTGGAGTTTGGGAATAGTATCCAGAGTTGGAACAGAATTTAGTTTTGTGCAAAACGTACTGGTTTGGCAGGATTATGTGCATACCCTGGATTCCTTGCTCTAACAAATAAACTAATTAACATATACATAATTTAAAAGGCATATTTGATATGACGACTTATTCATCAAATAACTGACTTATTTCTAGCATTTGCTATGCATTGAAAGCTTACTGTCGAGAGACCAAAGCTGTTTACAGTTTAGATAAGTAAATAGATAAAAATACCATACAGTTTATTATCAAGAGCTAAGATCTGGGTAGAGACCATAAACAAAATGCTATTATTTGGTTCAAATATGTGGCAAAAGCGCCCTAGAAGAAATTAGACTGTAATTGTTTCTTAAAAGTTGATGCGATTGGATAGATTAAAGGGAGAATAAAAATTCCAAGGTGATTAGAAAACATAAAGAAGGGCAAAGAACCAGGATTCAGACTAGTGCATGAGGAGAGGTTGGCTCAAGATAAAGTATCACACACGTCACTCACACTCACACATCAGTCATACACTCTCCTATAGGCAACCACATTCCACCAAGTGTTCTCATAGCTTGTGCTATTCATTGTCCTCATTATTTATGTAATTTTCTTACATTCACACCATTTGAAGAAAAATACCCCTTGACTTACTATTTTAATACTATTTAGAAACAAAGTATTCTGTAAGCTGAAGTTACTAAAACATACTTTTTTGTAAGGCAGAAGAGTGGGAATTGTAGCAAAAAGGGAGCATACATGGGTATAGAGAGCTGTCCTAAGTATGAATTCTGAACTGGATACTTACTGTATAACCCTGGTTAAGCTTATTAACCTCTCTGGGCTTCAGTTTTCTCACAAGTGTAATGAAGGAAAATTCTGGTATCTATGTATAGAGTTATAGAGATGAAATGAGATAAAGTTTGTGAAAAGCACCACTGGCTGTTATCTAGAAATTGTCACTTGATGACTCATGGCAATTAATATCATTATATTGTTTAATAACCAGTATCTCATTGCCTTCTGCTAGTAGGTGCATCCTCAGAAGGCAAATGCTAATTCACATGGCTCCAGTTCTCTACTTGCCCAGCTGTTTATCCCTTTCCCCACACTTGAGCTCTTTAAGATGTTCAGTCATTCTTCATATAAACCAAAGGTGCTTTTCCAAATCCAAAACATGAAAGCAAGTAAACATCACCCTGCAACGAATTACCCAGACTATTTTTTCCTTTCAGATTTTAAGTCATAAAAAACAATAACAACAAAAAATGTTATGTGGAATCATAAATTGCATAACATTCTTATCCTGTGCAGCAAGGAATTAGGAAAAAAAAAGTATTCTAAAAGATCTAGACTCAAGTGTTGTTACTTAATTGCTATTGGACTTTGGATGAAAGTATTCAAATTTAAAAATAATAAGAATATCAAAGATTAAGGAAGGTTGTTGGACATCTCAATGAAAGGGAACTCAGATATTTAATTTTATTCATTACACTATATTTTTAGAGCAAGATTACTATGGAAATATATTATATATATATATAAAATGTGTGTGTGTATATATATATATATAATGTATATAGATATATATAATGTACAATGTGTGTTCCAAGAGTACTATTACATTCTGAATGTTTGTGACCACCCAAAATTTATATGCTGAAATTTAATCACCAATGTAATGTTACTAAGGGGTGGGGCCTTTGGGAGGTGATTAGGTCACCTCACAACAGGTGGATCCTTATGAATGGAATTAGTGCCTTTACAAAAGAGGCCCTAGAGAGCTGCCTTATGTCTTCCACCATGTGACGACACACTGAAGAGCCATCTATGAGTCAGGAAGCAGGTCCTCACCAGGCATTAAATCTGCTGGTGCCTTGATCTTGAACTCCCCAGGCTTCAGAACCATGATAGATACATTTCTATTGCTTACAAAACATCAGTCTATGATATTTTGTTACAGCATCCTGAACGGGGTAAGACAGATGCATTGACTGCTCTCTATTAGGAAGCTATTGGTGAAATTATTTTGCAATTAAGGAGTATCACTTTAGATTGTTATTATTTCCAGAGTATTCCAAAGGACCACCTGTGGTATAAAAGAATCCACCTCATATCTTTCCTACCTCATTAATAGGGTAAAAAACAGGAAGATCTAAGCTCACATTGTATTTTTCTGTAATAATTTTAAATTTAAATTTCTGTAATAATTTTGAAACTGTTTATTCATATCTTACACAGTGAATTGTGTTCCCCCCAAATTCATACGTTGAAGCCCTGACTGCATTTGGAGATAAACTTTTAGAAGTTAATTAAGATGAAATGAGGTCGTAAGGGTAGGACCCTAATCCAATAGGACTGGTGTTTTCATAGGAAGAGGAAGAGACACCAGAGCTCTCTCTCAGTGCACACAGAGGAAAGGACTTGTGAGGAAACAGCGAGAAGGCAATCGTCTGCAAGCCAGCATGGGAAGCCTCACCAGAAAACTGCTCTTCTGACACCTTGTTCTTCCATGTCTATTCTCTAGAATTGTGAGAAAGGAAATTCCTATTTAAGCCACCCAGTTTATGGTATTTTGTTATGGCAGCCCAAGCAGACTAATACATGTATTAAAATATCTCTTAGTATAATTTTAGTTGGTATATATAATGAATATCAAATGTGTTTCTGTAATGTCTACTCTGACAGTATACTCTAAAATAATGCACACTTTTATTCCACAAAGTCTAAATACCTTTATACTGCTAAAAGTTAAAAAACAGTATTTCTGGGGGAGAGGGTACAGAATTTGATATGCTTAAGGGTTAATATGCTTTATTAATTGTTCATGGAATTACTTCATTTCAATTGTGAATCTATCTAATGGTGAATTAAATGTCCATTATCATAATTGCTGTTATGTTCTGTTGATTTTAAATTTTGTCTAGAGCCAGTACGTGACTAAAACACAGTAGATGTCTTCCTAATTATACATGATTATAATTTTAATAACATCAATTTGACACATTATCTTTTCATGAATTCATTGCATAATATTTATGTTATCTTTTTTATAGAGTTTAGGGAATAAATTCCAATGCAGTACATGGACCAATTTGCTTTCAGGAATTTTGTCTTTGTCTTTTTAAAGGCAAATGAACTGGCAGCCTTCCTAGTAATGTCCAGGAGACAAATGCCAACCATTCTAAGTAGATTTCCCGCATGCTTTTTCAGTACATGCTTTGTCCTGGATAAGACTTAACCTTTTAAAGAACAGCATTAGAGTCAATAGTTGGTATTAGACACATGTGGTAACGGAATTATACCATAAGCATAACCTGAACCCTAATCAGACCTTGCACAATGGGATCCTCTGGTCTTAACCGTGAAACTTGCTAAGGTTACTCCATTTCTAAGTACTCTAGGACTCATTGGATGGGGAATTGTGGAGTGAGAAATCCGCAGTCAATCTTGTTGTCCTTCATTCTGTATTTCAACTTCATTGCTGTAGGTGCCTCTGGAGACTTCATGTACTTGTATCAAAACATACTGAAAGAACACGTAAATTCCCAAATGAAAATTCACATTATTTTAGATATTTCTAAGGTATAAAATGAAAGCATTATAGATTCTGCCTAGTTTGTCAATGTTCTATTGTGTCTCTTTCAGGGCAGCCCAATAACGTCAGGAGCTGAAAATGAAGGTGTACTTGCTGTCCTTTAGATAGCCCCATGTATCCCAATAGTTTCTCTAACGGTTCTCGTCTCTATTCAGATTCAGTTCATGTTTCAACTCCAGAATCTGACAGTTGATTTTCTGGACCTATAAAGACCACAGGAACATGTATTAAGGAAAAGACCTACTATGAAGTCATTCTGCAGGAACACAGAATAAGGCAGTGGTTGAAGTTCAGTTTAAACCTGTTTCCAGAGAAAATACATGAACAAAGTATACGAGCATCGGTTTAGGCTGGCAAAAACAAAAATGATTTTTATAAAAGGACAAAAATCAGTTCTTTAGCATTGGTCATCTTCGGCTTTTTTTTTTTTTTGAGACTGAGTCTTGCTCTGTCGCCCAGGCTGGAGTGTGGTGGCGCCATCTCGGCTCACTGCAAGCTCCGTCTCCCGGGTTCACGCCATTCTCCTGCCTCAGCCTCCCAAGTAGCTGAGACTACAGGCACCTGCCACCACGCCTGGCTAATTTTTTGTATTTTTAGTAGAGACGGGGTTTCACCGTGTTAGCCAGGATGGTCTGGATCTCCTGACCTCGTGATCTGCTCGCCTCGGCCTCCCAAAGTTCTGGGATTACAGGCGTGAGCCACCGCGCCTGGCCATCTTGGGCTATTTATAGAGAACTCTGACCTTGAAACTCTGGGTCCTAAAAATAGGAGTGAAAGCTTTGCTGTGACCTACCTACTCCCTCATGAGCAGCCCAAATTCACCTGACTTTTTCGGAATTTCCACTTGGCACTGGTACCCTCCAACAAGAAAAGGAACATGAATCTTGCTTTTGGCGTTCAATGCTCAATCAAGGTTGGAAGCAACAGGTAGTGTGAAGGATAAGACACTAGCTGAAAAGAAATCAAACAAATAAAGGGTGGAGCATGGGGCATGTAAAGACTGTCTGGGAATTGTAATAACCTATAAACTTTGCAAACCATTCTTTCCAACTCTTAGGAAAAGGTGCATTAAAAAGTGCTGTATAGCAGGGATAAAAAACATTTTTTGTAAAAGGCCAAATGGTAAATATTTTAGGTTTTCTGGATCATATGCTGTCTATTGCAACTACTCAACTCTACCACTGTAATGCAAAAGCAGCCATAATGTGTCAATGAATGAGTGTGGCTATGTTTCAGTAAAACTCTTTGGAGACTGAAATTTGAATTTCATATAATTTATACACACATGAAATATTCATCTACTTCGACTTTTTCCCAACCATTAAAATATATTAAAAACAGGCCAGGCGTGGTGGCTCACACCTGTAATCCCAGCACTTTGGGAGGCCAAGGTGGGTGGATCACAAGGTCAAGAGATCAAGAACATTCTGGCCAACATGGTAAAACACTGTCTGTATTAAAAATACAAAGATTAGCTGGGTGTGATGGCACTGTGCTTGTAGTCCCAGCTACTTGGGAGGTTGAGGCAGGAGAATAGCTTGAATCTGGGAAGCGGAGGTTGCAGTGAGCTGAGATCGCGCCAGTGCACTCCAGCCTGGCAACAGAATAAGACTGTCTCAAAAAAAACCACAAAAAACAAAACAAAAAAAAACCACCAACAAAAAAATACATTAAAAACACTTTTGGCTTGCAGACCACATAAATGGTGGTGGGTAGGATTTGTCCTAGGGTCACAGTTTGCTGACCCTGGTTTATAGGCTCATTTGATGCATATGTAGCATGGCTTACAGTCTTCCAACTCCACTTGGTTATGGAGGTCTGGATAAGTGCGTAATGCTTTGAGCTTATTGTGTGAGTGGAGAAGAAAGTGGTAGGGGGCCTTTCAATTCTAGCAAGTAGAAGTCTTTGGTCTCCAACCCACAACATACAGCTGCTCACCTGTACTGCATCATTGTTGAAACTAGAAAAGGCCATCCTCTCTGAGCAGACAAGATAGAAAAAGGCACAATCTCTGGACATATAAAATAGAAAAATGAGTCTCCGCTAGACTAATAAAAGTAGAAAAGATGCCTGGGTAGATTCACTGTGCCCCTTCTTCCCATGGTTGACCTTCATGACAGGACTGCAATTTTATGACAAGCAAGGAAGAAGAAAATTTCAGCTCTCACTTAGCTGTGCCACCATACTCAGGAGATCTCCCTCAAGGCTCATAAAAACTGATATGTTCAATTTTTTCTCAATAAAAAAAATTAATTTTATTCCCTAGAGTAAAAGCACCTGCCTGCCTAGTGTTTGTGGCACTGGGATAGGGAAGAGGGATGAAGGAATCTATGGATGTATGAAAAGACTTGCATTTATATCCTGTTTAAAATAAACTACATCTCACTCTAAACCTCCATTGAAAGTGGAATTTCTGGGTTTCAATGAAAGACAGACTACCTTCTCTGCTGGAGGCTCTTTTCTTATGTTACTCTGACAAGCTTTACGAATATCCATTAGCAGTTCACCTGCTCATCTTTCCTATCTGTTTAGATCTCTTTTGGGATGGCAGCTTCCCCCACTTCGGTCTTCATTGTTTATAGGAAGAGAAGCTTCTTTTTTTCCTTTCCTCCCATTTTAGAGAGAGTGAGGAGGAAAGAAGATAAATCCATGGGTTCAGTTTGTCATCTTGAACAGAGGAATAAGATTTTTTCTTAAAAAATGTAATCACAATGACTGTAATGTAGGTAGATTGGACCACTTTGAGAAACCTTGCTTAAGCTAACCTCTGTCTTTTTGTGTCCCTCTCCCACCTACAGCATAGGGTTAGGATTCAGACAGGGAGTCAGACTGTCAAGTAAACCATTCATTAGCTGTGGGAAGTTGAACACTGTTCAAAGTAGTAGACAGATAGATAGATAGATAGATAGATAGATAGATAGATAGATAGATAGATATATCTTTTATATAATATTATATATACATAATCTTATTTGCACTTCACACATGAAGCAGGTAATGTTGATGGTTTTCCCCACTTGTAGATGGGGAAATTAAATTCTAGCAAGTTTGGCAAGGTTAAATATACTCATGGTCATAATACCATATTACAATCAATATCCTATACCATATCATTACACTATACAATGATATTATCTCATTGGTTTACTGTGAGTATCAAATGGCAAATAAAGGTAGGATGCCTGGCACATAGTGCTCAATAAATATGTTAGCTATCTTTTTTGTAAAGGTTGTTCTAGCTCGTCTAATTATTTTTATTTCTTCATTCCCACAATGATCATATTTTGTAAAACAAATTTATCATAGACATTTGGCAACGTTCACCATTAATTTTTTAAACTGTGTTTAAGTTTTATTGACACATTTTTTGATGGTAGAGTCATATTACATTTTTATGTTCTTCTAAGAAAACACAGATAAGACCTGGGCAGAGAGTATGAACTATTTGATGAAGTATAAAGATCATGAGACTCCCATCTGTAATTCTGTAGGTGGTCTAGAGTGCCAATGGATGTGTCTCATATGGTGTAAGTTTTCCATATGTGTCTTAATATTAACCTGAAAAAAAACAGGATATATAAGTATATATGTGTATAAAATATATATTACATAAAAGTATATACACATATATATGGGGACATAAATATATATACACTTAATATATGGGTACACATTTTATATACACACACTATATATACACACACACATTATATGTATATGTATTCATAATGCTAATGTTCTGAGGGCAGATAAATACTGAGCTTATTTATTATTGTTTTGTACAGAGCTAAGTCCAGTACCAACAAGGTAGTAAATAGTCTGTACCATTAGTTAATGACTGTAACAGAAAAAGGGTTCAATTGTTTAGTATGCTACTCTAAAAGTAGAAAAGTTATTTTTAAATACTGAGAATTAAGCTTCATAGTTACCACTTGCTGTTTCCCACTCTTCATTCTCCACTTTCCTCTTCCATAAATACCTTCCAAATTCTATTTTCTGCAGTATCATGGGAAGAGAAAGAGACAGAGGTTATACTTGCTACTTTTGAAACATTTGCTCTTTTACTGATACCCAGGGTCAACTTTGACAATTGGCTCCATTTTTCCATGCTCGCCAAAGAAAAAAATGAATAAATAAGAAATTTTGCACAATTTAAAACTTTACTGAGAGCAGTGTAAAAGAAAGTTTAGTAAGGGACAGCACTACTAAACACTTGAAACTAAATACTGTCAGAGAGAACATTAATTAATGCTGATCAATGAATTTCTTTGAATGCCTCATTTTTACACAAAGATCAAAGTCAATTTCCCTTATTCAGCAGAACCAGATTCATCTAATTTCTCACCTTAATTAATGGATCTCTCTAAAAGAAGCCAAAAAAAGAAAAGATTGAATGGTAATTAAACGGTAATTTTGTAGTTAAAATTATTGCAAATTACATGCAAATTGGAAAATATCATCAGTAAAGATCTTTCTGTGTGAAATTCCTAGTGCCATTATCTGAATTTATTTTACGTTGTATTCTGGGAGCATATTCAACGCTCTGGGCAGACAGCAGCCTGTCATTTCAGAGACCTGGAGTTGACTGCTATCAGGGCCAGTAGGAACCTTGGTTGATAATAGCTTGAACCAAAGCAGCAGTAGTGGGAAAGGAAGGAAGGAAATAGATATACCGATGGTAAGAGGTAGAAAAAATAACCTTTGCTTGCCATATGAAAAAAAAAACTCTTCTCTAAAATGGAGGTTATGAGAAGTAGGTTCTGTAGATGGAAATAAGTCACCTTGGTTTAAAAATTTTCAAATCAGTAATTAGTACTACAGAGAATCAGGACTAGAAGTGACATGAATTTTGTATTTAAAAACCTTTACGCAAGATCTCTACAACTTCCATTTCATGTTGCAGATTTTGGTAATTAGGTAGCTCTTCTAGAAAAGTCTTCATTTTGCCCATTTGCTATTGTTTCCTGTTTTCTTTAGAGGTGATGAATAACCAAGTACTGTTTTTGAGCAATAACTGGCTGTTGGTTGCTCTCTGCTTTTCCAGATCCAGTCTCTTTCCTTCATACCCTGCTCTAGGTACCAGGAACCTGACTTCTGTGGACTGCATCACCTGTACTCTCTTGCCCTCTGGTTGGCCAATGGAGGCACTAGTAGGAGCTTGATGGATAGGAGGAGAACGAAATCCGAGTTTTATTTTCCCCAGGTGTTGGTCTGTGTTCAGACAGTGGCTGTGTTTCTCTACTTAAAGCCACAGCTCCTTTTGCAGCAGAGCCTTTCCCACCATTACAGCAATTGTCAGGTTTCAGGGACAACAGCATCTCTTTGCCGATTACCAGGATCTCACCCCAGATTACAGACGGTAAAAACTCCCCAGATTACAGACAGTAAAAACTTCTAGCTTCTAGAGTTAATAATTCTTCTCCTGCCCTAGTTGGTGTTTTTAACTCTCTTCACAACTCTGTAAATAGTCCCATTATTAAATGGTTTTACTTGTCACTTCTATGTGTCCTGCAAGGACCCTGACTCAAAATGATTCATATTCTCGAAACGTGGCATCATTAATTTTTCCTTGAGGTAAGTAAAGGTAATGAGTTTGTTTTTTGAAATTCACTTTGTTAACTATATTGGGGATTCCGTCTATTTTCTCCCCCTCAGATATCCCTCCTCTCTTCCATCCCTCCAAGGAGGCTTCTCTACCAAGTATAGTCCCATTTATGCTCCTGCAGCCCTTTCTATATGCCCTAGGCTGGCAGTTAGTCCATCGTATTGTAATTAATCATTTATTTGCTTCTTTCTTTTTCTTAAAAGTCCCTCTGCCTTACTTATCATTGTATTCCCAGACCTTGACGGTGCCTAGAAAAACTGGTGCTCAGTAAATGCTTAGTGAATGAGTTAATATCTTGGGGTAGGTCTTATGATGCTTTGTAATAGTTGAGTCATCCCATGGTATAGTACAGTATAATGGTTATGAACATGGTCTTTTGGCCAGACTATCAAGCTTGGATTCTGGCTCTACCATTTAACCTAGTAAGTGACCTTGAAGATATTTAACCTCAGTGCCACAGTATCTTTATGTCTTAAATGGTGATAATAACAGTACTTATTTAATACAGTTGTGTGGATTCAATGAGTTAAAATACATGAAGTGCTTAGGTCTGTGCTTGGCACATAACAAGGCTATATCATATGTTTATGGTTCTTATATAAGATACTAGTATGGAGAGAGTTAAAATATCAAATTGATGGTAAGCAGGAGATTTCAGAGCTAATTGCAAGCTAGACATAAATGCATCATCAGAATCTCAATGCCTCCATTAAGAGTTTTAAAAATGAATAAAATTGATAATGTGGAATTGTTGGTCAAAAGCCTGGTCTATTGTTAGGCTCTTAGAACCCCATGGAAGACCTTATCTTTTGCTTGGGCAGGGCTCACAAGCCACAAGGCAATAGTCATAAAATGACTTCAGTACGCATTCATTTTCAGACAGCATTGTGTTGTGTTTACTGGTAGAATTTTTACAGGATATAGGATAAATTTTTTTATTTTTTGTTTTTTAGTATTTGAGAGACATTTCACTTTGCTTTCCTAAATACAGATGATACTCACTGACCTTCCAGGGACTTCTGAAAATTAAAATAGAAATGTGAACAAGGCTTCTGGATGCTAAGTCCTTCAATTGTAGTTATTTTATTCTGACAATCTTCCCTATCAATAGTTAGAAGCAAAATTTCTGAAGTCAGACTTTTTAGGTTTAACTCTCTGCTCCACTCACTCCCATTAGCCGAGATATGACCTTAGGCTGATTACTTAAATTTTGTCTTAGTTATTTTAACTGTAAAATGAGAGTAATAACAGAATCTGCTTCATAGGGTCATTATGGGGATTACATGAGGTAATCGCATAAAGCTCTCAGAAAAGGGCCTGGCACAGATTAAGTGCTCAAATTGTTAATATTAGTGTTCTTTATTTAAAACAAAAATACTCTAAGTTTCACACCAACTGTTTATATGAAAAGGTAGAGGCAGATTATTAACGCAACATAAATTTAGTCATTTTGTTGTTGTTATTTAAATATAGGTTTTAGGCAAGAAGAGAGGCCTACTTATTTTCCCTTTCAGGATGACAATTTATACATGTAATTTAGATCTACACAATCGATCCAAATTCTTTCTAACAATACCTGAAGGGGTTATTTTAACTCTGGACATAAAGATTACGAATGGGTTAATGGCGAAGAAATTAGTCTTCTCAAAAAAAGTTCTATAGTTATTTGATGGCAAGAAATTTCCCTTTTTAATTTGGTTAACTGATGTGTGTGTGTGTGTGTGTGTGTGTGTGTAAAACCTAGCCAAGAGCGCCTTGGATAATGCTATGGATTCAGTTTCTGCTCGTTCATTGAACTATTTCTACATTGCCCTCTAATCCACCATTCAGACTTGTGGATCCCTGTATTAGTCAAGATAATTTATTGGTTTCCGTGTTACAGCTAATAGATTGTTAGTATGGAGTTCTCCATCTGTGACAACACAAATTTCAGTCTAAACTGTAGAATTTCACCAGTTGTTCTTCGAGGCTGCTGTGATTCTACAGACTACAACTATTATTGTGCAAAGCTCAGCCACTTAATAGCCTCGTGTACTTGGGCAAGTGCCTCTCCATCCTTTACCACCAAAATAAGTGAAATAATAGTACTCAGATTATGAGGACTGAAAAAATTAATATTTATAAAATCTTTAGAACATTACTCGGCACATAGTAAGTGCTATGGTTTGAATATGTCCTCTCCAAAATCTAAGTATTGATGCTGAATGGCCGATGTGATGTTATTAAGAGACGGGGCCTTTAAGAGGTGATTAGATCATGAGGACTCCTCTCTTGTGAATGGGATCAAGGTCCTTATAGAAGAAACTTCCTACAGAATTTTACCCTTTTTGTTTTTCCATCTTCTGGTCTCCTGTTACGGAGAGGCAACAAGAAGGCCCTCGCCAAATGCCAAATTCCAGTGCCTTGCTCTTGGACTTCCCAGCCTTCCCAACTGTGAGAAATGAATTTCTATCATTTATAAATTATCCAGTCTGTGGTATTTTGTTGTACCAGCCCAGTGGACAAAGACAGTAAGCCTCACATTGATATCTGTAAACTCAAATGACACAAAACCAAAATAAATAAGACACATTACAGACCCTAAGCATTTGATGGCAGGAAAGTGTGCGCCTTTCAAGTTTGGGGGTGATTTTAGGTTCTTTTGATTTGTGAGGTACTGAACTGATAGGATTACATTGTAGAAAGATCTGTTCTCATTGATTGAAGGGACATAAAAGTGACCTTAACCTATATTTATAAGAAAGTGGACACTGAGCTACTTGCATAGCCAAAGTAAACACCTAAGACTTGATGTAGGTGGTGTTCTAAAGGAAGTGGTCCTAAGTATTTGCAGGGCTAAAAGGTCAACAACAATGCCAGGGATTATAAGAAAGGAATCGGAAACAAAACAACAAACCTGGAAAAGTGTTCTGGACATGCAATCAGAAGATTCGTGTTTGTCTAAGCTCCAGTGCCATGTTGCTGGGCAAATTGTTTAACCTCATTGAGTCTCAGTTGCCTCATTTGCAAAACATATGCATTTTAGTACATATTTACATTGTAAGATTGTTGTGAGGATTGCGGGAGTTTTGGAGTTTGTGTACTGTGTTCATTGTAAAATAAGCTAATATACTGTTGCTATTATTCTTATTGTTGATGAGGTTCTTATATTAGTATTTTATAGAACCATGATGGTTCATTTTCTCTAATTCTTAGTGTACTGTGACAACCCTAGAGAAAAATTAAACTAAAATATGGAGAGTATTGTATATTCCCACTACTACTGAGGAGAACAGAAAGACCTTGTCTTTTTCTACTGCATCCCCTACCCCATTATTAACTTCTGAAACAAGCAAAAGAAAATATTTTAAAAAATCAAATTTATAAGCTTAGCTTAAGGAGATAAAAATGTAAGGAAAAATTTAGAAAATATCTCCAAGCTTTTGTTTTTACCTGCTACTACAGTGATAAGTCATGATGATTGATTTAAACTCCTAAAATTTTAAAACTTTTCCTACTCTACATCACTACAATACTTAGGTATAGTTTGTTTAAATTACATAAAAGCATACTTTTGTCTAAAAGCAATCTTTCAATATTCTATCCATTAAAAAATAGATTAAAAAATAAATTCCACATCCCTGCTCAATTTTGTAAATTGTAACCAATTTCCGTTGTTAAAGAAATGAAGCAATTTATAAGATTTGGTTATGGAAAAAGCAATTCTTATGCAAAATTTGAGCAAGGACAGACAAAACATGGCTTGTCAAAAAGAAGGGGTTTGGAAAACATTCCATCCCCAGAAGGTGGTCCTTGTAAAATATCAACCCTTCTAAGAACTAACAGGTATTGCAGAAACCTTCAAGCACTGGCCAAACATTCTTCCACCAGCTTCAAAAGTTTAATTCATTGAATTTGCCTACCAACCTTGTGAAGTTCATTTGTTATTATGCCTATGTTATACATGAGGAATTCAAAGTAGAGAGAGCTTTAGTGATTTGCCCAAGATTGAACAGCTAGTAAATTCTGGAGATGGCAATACATAGAATACAAACTTGTGTTATAAAAAGTGAGGTCAATTTAAGAAAGAAATTCTCTTTAATTATATCACAACCTTAAAATATATATGAGAAGCATTTATATATGTGTGTGTATAAATTATATAAGCATTTATATATAAATTATATAGCATATGTGCGTGTATATACATATATATGTATATATTGTATTTATAAAAGTGTGTGTGTGTGTGTTTAATATAAACATCTATGGTGCAAGACACTATGATTTAAATTTAATAGATAAAGAAACTTAACATCAACTGAAATTAAATGGCTCATGATTGCAAGGCAGAAAGCTTAAATGTGATTACTTAACCAGAACTGTGGAGAGGTATACTTGGCTGCCAAGTTATAGGGTGAGGGACTAAAAATAAATGTGTTCAGCACTTACCTCTTCTAGTTCAATGCTGTCTAACTGAGTTTTGATGTTTGGATGATGGTAGACATACCTTCAGAAGCTCTCAAGTTACCTAACCCAATTTTTGAGAAATTGTTTTCAGTTTGATGATAATAATAAAATATTAGCACAAACATACCCCAGATCATCTGAATGACCACATTATAATCAAATAATGCTGATAGCTCTTGTATATGTGATTGCCATTTATAATTGCCATATAGTATAAATCTAATTACTGTGTACCAATTAGAAATAAACAATCGTGAACTTAATATTGAATTGACTACACAGAAAATAGAAATAATGTCATGATGCATTGGAAAAGCGAAATAGGTCAGCAAAGAAAATAGTGGAAGATTTGAGCCAATACAAGAGACATGGTAGTGCAGGCTTGCTGAACTCCAAAAACAAATGCAATAGTCATCAGGACATTTAGACATGGACATCTAATTTTAACACAGCAACTCAACCCTTCCCCAAGGAGCAGTGTAGCCTAGAGGACACGTATGTGGACTATGGAACCAGACAGTCTGGCATAAGCCCTCAGCTGTATTACTGGAAGTGTGACTTTCAGGAAATTTAATTCACTTCTCCAGATCATTTTTATCATCCGGAAAACAGGGATTATAAAACATCGGCCTCTACTAAAAATACAAAAAAGTTAGCCAACGTGGTGGCGGGTGCCTATAATCCCAGGTACTCGGGAGGCTGAGACATGAGAATCGCTTGAGGCCGGGAGTTGGATACTGCGAATTGTTTTGTCCTTACTTCATGGGGTTATTATAAGGCTTACATTAATATACATCAAGGACAGAGAAAAATTTCTGCAATATAGCAAACCCTAAGTAAGCTTAAGTTGCTATTATTAAAAGCAATTAAATTAGACTTATATTTTAAACTGATTTATTGAGGTATAATTGACATAGAATAAAATTCATACACAAACAATTTGATAAGATTTGACATATGAATATGCCCATGAAACCATCATTGAAATTAAAATAATGAACATAGGTATCACCCCTAAAAGTTTCTTCATGATTTTTATTATATATCCCTCTTCCTCCTTGCTGCTCCATTCCCAGGTAAGCACTACCCTGCATTCTATCTATAAATCAGTTTGCATTTTCTAGGACTTTTAATAAATAGAATAATATAGTATGTACTATTTTCTGGCTTCTGTCACTTAGCATAATTATTTTGGATTATACATGTTGTTATATGTATCAATAGTCCACTCTGTTTTATTGCTAGGCACTTTCCAATTGAATGGATTTACCACAATTTGTTTATCCATTCACTTGATAACATATGAACCTTTTCCTGTTTTTTGGTTATTACAAATAAAGCTGCTATGAACACTTACATAAAAGACTTTGCATGGACATGTGCTTTCATTTTTTGAGGGAGTACAATAGCTGTATTATATAATAAGCGCATGTTTAGCACATTACACAACTAAAAAACTGTTTTCCAAAGTGGTTTTATTAGTTCACTTTCTTGCTAACACGTATGAGAGTTTCAGTTCCTCTACATCCTGACCACCTTGATATAGTCTCTTTTGTTTTAACCATCCTAATAAGTATGTACTAATAAATCACTGTGGTTTTAATTTTCATCTTACTAATGATGAATTATGTTCAGCATCTTTTCATGTACTTAATTGTCATCCATATATCTTCTTTGTTCAAGTGCCTGTTAAAATCATTTGACCATATTTATTTTTTTTGCATTTTTCTTTGGAGTTTTGGAAGTTTTTAAAAATATATTATGGGGCCGGGCGCAGTGGCTCTCGCATGCAATCGTAGCACTTTGGGAGGCCGAGGCAGGTGGATCACCTGAGGTCAGGAATTGGAGACCAGTTTGGCCAACATGGTGAAACCCCGCCTCTACTAAAAAAACAAAAAAGTTAGCTGGCTTGGTGGTGGATGCCTATAATCCCAGCTACTCGGGAGGCTGAGGCATGAGAATCACTTGAGGCCGGGGGTTGGATATTGCAGTGAGCCGAATTCATGCCACTTCACTCCAGTCTGGGTGAAAGAGCGAAACTCTGTCTCAAAATACATATTCTCTTGTTGCCCTGGCTGGAGTGCAATGGCACGATCTCAGCTCACCGCAACTTCCACCTCCTGGGTTCAAGCGGTTCTCCTGCCTCAGCCTCCCAAGTAGCTGGGATTACAGGCATGTGCTAGTATGCCCAGCTAATTTTTTTGTATTTTTAGTAGAGACGGGGTTTCTCCATGTTGGTCAGGCTGGTCTCAAACTCCCGACCTCAGGTAATCCGCCCACCTCGGCCTCCCAAAGTGCTGGGATTACAGGTATGAATCACTGCGCCTGGCCATATGATATATATATTATATAGATGTAGATATGTTATTTTATATATAATCTAATAATATAACATAATCTATATAATTATATAATTATTGTATATACTTATATATGACAACATAAATAATGCTGACAGCTCTTGTGTATGTGATTGCCATTTATAATTGCCATATAGTACAAATCTAATTACTGTGTACCAATTAGAAATATGTATTTATATACATAAATATAATTATATTTATATTATATATAAATATATATTATATAATATATAAATATATCATATATATTATGGATAAAAGACTTCTATCAGAAACAAAATTGGCAAAATTTTTTAGTCCGTATCTTGTTTTTTCATTCTCCTAACAATGTCTTTCAAAGTACAGAAATTCTTAATTTTCATGAAGTTGAATGCTTCAATTTTTCATTTATGGATCATGCTTTTGGTGTTATATCTAAGAAAAGACACAAAGATTTGCTCCTAAGTTTAGTTCCAGAAGTTTTATAATTTCAGGTTTTGTATTATATGGTATGAGGTAGGATAAAAGTTCATTCTGTATTTGGCTATCCAATTGTTTCAGCAGTGTTCATTGATGAGACTTTTCTTTCCTATTGAATTGCCTTTACACTGTTGTTAAAAATTAATCATAGATATGTGGGTATATTTCTGAAGTCTCTGTTCTATTGCACTGATGTGTTTATTTATCTTTAACCCAACATGCAATACTTCATTGTCTTATCTACTGTAGCTTTATAGGAAGTCTTTAAGTTAGGTAACATTTGTTCTCCAACTTTGATTTTTTTTTTTTTTCAAAGTTGTTTGGGCTACTTTATGTCTTCTGCATTTTTCTATGAATTTTAGAAGCAGTTAATTTCTACAACAAGGTTACTAGAATTTTACTAGAATTGCATTAAATCTACAGGTCATTTTAAGGAGAAATTACATTTTAACAATATGGAGTCTTTCAATTCATGAATACAGTACATCTCTCTGTTTCTTTTGGTTTTCTATCTCTTTCAGTATATTTTGCAAGTTTAAATGTAGTGGTATTTCTCATATTTTGTCCTATTTCATTCCTAAGTATTTCTTATTTTTTAATCTAGTTTAGTTTTTTTTTTTTTAATTTCAGCTTCCAGTTATTCGGGAACACAATTCACTGTTGTATACTGACCTCGTATATCGTCGTCTTGCCAAAGTTTCTTTATTCTAGTAGCATTTGTATAGATTCTATTAGATTTTCTACTTTGATGATATCATCTGTGAATAGAGTTTTAATTATTCTTTTCCAATCTGCTTTTTATTTCTTTTTCTTATTTTACTTTCCTAGCCAGAATTTCCAGTATAAAGCCAAATAGAAATGGTGAGAGCTGACATCTGTGCCTTGTTCCTGATCCCAGGGGGAAAGCATTCAGTCTTTCAATACTAAGTATGATATTAGCTATAGGCTTTTACATGTTCAGGACATTTTATCATGCTGAATACTTATTTTTGTAGTTGTTCCTAGTTTGCTGAGACTTTCTAACAGAAATCAATGTTCAATATGTTCAATTTTGTCAAATTCTTCTTTCTGTATATATTGAGATGATCATGGGTTTTTTTTGTTTGTTTCTTAATCTCAGTGTGGTGAATGTATTAGTCAGAGTTCAATCAGTGAAGCAGAGTCACTATGCAGTCTCATAAGGGATTAATCATAAAAATTTGACCTTATGATACTTGGGTATCTAATTAAGTAGTTTCTGTGAGTCTTCATGCCTAATGTTGAAGCTTAAAGTCTTCCAGGCAAGCAGTTAAGAAGGAAATGTGGGCCGGGCACGGTGGCTCACCCCTGTAATCCCAGCAATTTGGGAGTCCAAAGTGGGCGAATCACAAGGTCAGGAGATTGAGACCAGCCTGGCCAATATGGCGAAACCCCATCTCTACTAAAATTACAAAAATTAGCCAGATGTGGTGGTGCACACCTGTAGTCCCAGCTACTCAGGAGGCTGAGGCACAAGAATTGCTTGAACTCCGGAGGCAGAGGTTGCAGTCAGCAGAGATTGGGCCACTGCACTCCAGCCTGGGTGACAGAGTGAGACTCTGTATAAAAAAAAAAAAAAAAAAAAAAAAAAAAAAAAAAGAAGGAAAGAAGCAAATGTGGATTTCAGAAGGGTTAGGTGGAACCCACAATCCTGAGCTGGAAGCCGTGAAGAGAGACTGAAACTCATGTCACTTGTGGTTGTATCTAAGCTGAAAGCATAGGTTTCCTGCCTGAGAGGCTGGCATCCTTCATCATGGAGCTAAACACACAGTTGCCCCAAGACTAAGAGATGCTGAAGGAGGGTCCAGGTGAAGTGGAGAAGTTGCAGGCCCCCCTGCTGCCCCAGACCAGGTTGGTGAATCAGCAGATAAATAGCAATGTGAGCTACAAAATGGCTGCTGCTTCAGTTACCTGTCCTCTAATGTTCACGAGTCCCCTTGGTGGCCCACTTTCACAAAAAACATACCAAGACAGGATTCTTGGAAACATTTCAGACTAGACAACTTGACATGTGGCAAACACTCTGCAGTGGTTTACACTGATTGATTTTTCAAATATTATACCAACTTTGTATTCCTAGGACAGACCCAATTTGATCATGATGTATTAACTAATATCTTGTTAGATTCAATTTGCTAAAAATATTTAAAATAAAAAGTGTTCTGCAGGTTTTTTTTCCTTGTACTATATTTGTCTGGTTTTGATATTAGAGTAATGCTGGCCTCAGAAAATGAGTTAGTAAGTATTCCTTCCTCTTCAATTTCCAAGGAGGGTTTTTTAATTTTAAGAATTAGTATATAACCTTGTTCAAATGTGTTTCTTTAAAAAAATGCTTTATTTAATATATGTTGTTTATTTATTAACATTGAAGTCATGGTCAATAGTTGTATAACTCACGCCTGAATGAAGCTTATCTCAAATACTTATCGTCATCGTAAGGCACAGCCTTCTTGTGCTTAGGGATACTAGACAGTGTTTCAGCACTATGCATGGACGTGCACTTTAAATAGCAAAATCGCCAACATAAAGTATAAAATGCAAAAATGTGCATTAAAGAGACCATAAAGGTGATGTTTGCTTACACTATGACAACTAAACATATATATATATTTGCATTATATATATATGTATTCTTATCTATGCATTTCATTTCACTCTCTTCTCTGTTTTAGAAAAAAATTGGGGAGTAATAGGGATAGAAAGAAAATTTTTAGTTGACCTATGGAAATTGTTAGTTTATAGGAAGATTAAGAACATAGTTAGAGTACCTACTTCAAAATTATCAAAGGAATATGGAAAACCAGTTTCTGTGGCTACAAAATGCCCAGTAAGTCAGAATTTTCTCATTTGGAACTGCTACTGATTCTCTTGCACCCCATAATTCAGCCAGTGCCATTGACTGCCTGGTTCCTAGTATGGCTTCTGCTACAGAAAATCTGTTCAATGTGTTTTGGCTCTTGCTATACAAGAACCCTAGGGAAACCTAGAAGTAAAGCAGGAAAATAGCTATAGTAGTCAGGGACAGCTGTGATGCTTGCAGTAAAATGGTTAAAGGTTGGAGTTGGGTGTTAGACCTGGTACAAATCCATGTTTTGCTGCTGTTTCATAGCTTGTGACCTTGGGCACGTTACTTAAGTTCCAAATTTCTCATCTGCAAAATATGGATAGCATCTACCTCATAAGATTTTTGTAAGGTTTATATAATATGTACATGCAAATTGCTTAGTAAAAATCTCTTGCACTTAATAAATGCTCAGTGGTTGTTTTTAACTTTTATTGCCACTCTTATGGAAAAGGACAGTAAAAGCAAAATAGAGAAAATAGACAATGGTAGTCCTTTCAGTAATTAGGGTCAATGTGCTAATTTTTTAGAACTCTCAGTTTGTTCGAAATAAAAAAACTACTTATGAAATGATTTATGATTTATTATTTCCACTATGTAAGATGATGCTGCTATATAAAAGGCTTGCCAGTTGTTTTTCAAGTTTTTAAAACTCATCTCAAATTCTAAATAAAGCATACCTGTATTAACTGTGTGCTGTCTTACAGAGGGAGCTCTCAGGTGGACTGCTAGCTAAATCTCGGACTTCCTGTCCTGAGGCTTTATTGGTTGGGTCAGGCCCACAACGGAATGCTCTGTGCATATTTTCTAGAATGCAAGTTACATGCAATCTGCTTAAGTTTCCAGGTTAAATCCATCCCTGAAGTTACTAAACACATACATATGCCTAAAGCTATCAATAGTTGTTATTGGAACCTGGAAAGAAAAAATAGTGAGTGAGATATTTTGAAATGAAATGAAAGTTTGAGATCACACTGTGAGGTTGCTTTTTTTTTTTTTTTTTTTTTTTTGGTGGAAGGAACAAAGCTTGACATCTAGCTGTAAACAAGGTCAGCTAGAGTTGAGGGTAGCTCCAAATACAATCATGTACCAATGTGTCATGTAATGAATGACATTTCAGTCAACAGATCACATATATGACAGTAGTCCCGTAATATTCTAATGGAGCTGAAAACTATTGCCTAGTGACATCATAGCCCTCATAATATAATGTCATAACGCAACGCATTACTCATGTGTTTGTGGTGATGCTGCTGTGAACAAACCTACCACAATGTCTGTTGTATAAAAGTATAACACATATGGTTATGTATAATACATAATACTTGATAATAAACAACTATGTTACTGGTTTATGTATTTACTATTGTGAGACAAAGTAGCAAATGTAAGGAGTCATGTTTGCTCATTCTGCTTGTCAGGAGAATTTCACAAAGGCCCTGACTCGGTGACTGAGCACAGCCCTCTGAAAAATGCCCTGAAGATGATAAGCAGGATAGAGCACAGATTCCCATGTCTCTTGCCTGAATCACCATGTTTTTAGAAAAGATAAGTTCAGTAATCCTAGCCCTTGCCTCTTCCTATACATAAGATAATGTCTGACAGGATTAATGATTGTGCCTCTATAATCTGTAACCAGATGTACCCTTGCACCCACATTTTGATGAGATTTTGCCCTAATGTAAGTTCTGAGCACATTTAATGTAACTTCTGAGCACATGCAGAGCTGCTTTCACCTGTATGTAAGCTGCGGGCTGCAACACTGCCTTAAAGAAGTCTAACAGAAGCTCCCTGAAAGATTCTCAGAGGTTGCAATCCTCAGTAAGACATCTGAATAAAACTCACTTTAATTCTTTAAAAGCCTGATTTTCCTTTAGCTGACAATATACTAGACTCTTAATCACTATTTTTGAGTGTACTTCTTCTACCTTTTATTTTAAGTTAACTGTAAAACAGCCTCAGGGCCTCAGACAGGTCCTTCAGGAGGAATTCCAGAAGAAGACATTGTTATCATAGGCAATGATAGTTCCATCGAGTTACTGCCCCTGAACAAAGTCCAGTGGGACAAGATATGGAGGTGGAAGACAGTAAGACTGATGATCCAGACCCTGTGTGGTCCTAGCCAGTGTGTGTGTTTGTGTCTTAGTTTTTAACAAAAATGTTTGAAAAGTAAAAATAAAATGTTGAAAAGAGAAAAAATTTATAGAATAAGGTTATAAGGAAAATATTTTTGTACATTGTGCAAAACGCAATGAGCTTGGATTTTAAGCTTATAAATTACTATAAAATCATCAAAAAGATTTTTAAAAGTTTATAAAGTAAAAATGTTACAGTAAACAAAGGTTGATTTATTATTGAAGAAAGAGAAATTTTTTTTTGAGATTTAGTGTAGCCTAAGTATACAGTGTTTATAAAGACTACAGTAGTATACAGCAACATCCTAGGTTCACATTCACTCACTGCTCTCTCACTGACTTATTCAGAGCAACTTCCAATCCAGTAGGCTCCATTCTTGGTAAGTGCCCTATAGAGTTGTGCTATTTTTATATTTTATACCATATTTTTACTGTACCTTTTCTGTATTCAGGCACACAAATACTTACCATTATGTTACACTGGCTACAATATCCAGCATAGTAACATATTATACATGTTTGTAGTCTAGGAGCAAGAGGGTGTGCCATATAGCCTAGGTATGTAGTAGGCTATACCATCTAAGTTTGTGTATGTTCACACAATGACAAAATTGCCTAATGATGCATTTCTCAGAATGTATCTCTGTTGTTAAGCAATGTACGACTGTATCTGGAGAGGCTGAAGAGGGACTGAGAATGTTCCTCCATGGGATATATCTGCCCTCCCTGTACTCTTTGAAGAATAATTACCTTAGCTGAGGAAGAAAATTTTAACTTGACCTACTGAAATTTTTAGATTATAGGTAGATTAAGAACACAGTTATAGGAGGCAAAAGCAAAATTAAAAGTGGGCAAAGGATATGAACAGACACATCTCAAAAGAAGGCATACATGCAGCCAACAAGCCTATGAACAAATGATCATCATCACTAATCATTAGAGAAATTCAAGTCAAAACCACAATGAGATACCATCTCACATAAGTCATAATGCCTATTATTAAAAAGTCAAAAAACAACAGATGCTGGTGAGGCTGCAGAGAAAAGGGAATGCTTATACACTTCTGGGAATGTAAATTGATTCAGCCACTGTGGAAAGCAGTTTGGCAATTTCTCAAATAACTTAATACAGAAGTACCATTCAACTACACTAAATACTAAAGGTCTGTCTCCACCAGAAGAACACTGCAAAGGTCAGAAGAGCTGGCTGTCTCCTTAAATGTGCAGGCATCATTGTAAGGTCACAATCCCATTATTAGGTATTTACCCAAAGAAATATAAATTGTTCTACCATAAAGACACATTCACACGGATGTTCATTGCACCACTATTCACAATAGCAAAGACATGGAATCAACCTAAATGCCCATCAATAGTAGACTGGATAAAGAAAATGTGGTATATATACAAAGGGAATAAAAAAGAATGAGATCATGTGCTTTGCAGCAACATGCATGGAGCTGGAGGCTATAATATTCCTAAGCAAACTAACGCAGTAATAGAAAACCAAACACTGCATGTTCTCACTCTAACTGGGAGCTAAACATTGAGTACACATGGACACAAAGAAGGGAATAACAGACACCAGGGCCTACTTGAGGGCGGAAGTGAGAGGAGGGGGAGGATCAAAAAACTACCTGTTGGGTACTATGCTTATTACTTGGATGACAAAATAATATGTACACCAAACCCCCACAACACACAATTTATCTATAGAACAAACCTGTACATGTACTCCCGAAACTAAAATAAAAGTTTTAAAAATATATTATTGTAGGGACTACCAGAATGTCTGTGTCATCACAAAATTAATATGTTGAAACCCTAATCCCCAATATGATGATATTTGGAGGTGGCACCTTTGGGAAGTAATTAGATCATGAGAGTGGAGCCCTCAAGCCAAGATCAGTGTCCTTACAAGAAGAGACACAAGAGATATGATCTCCATACCATGTGAGGACAAAGCAAGAAGGTGTACCTCTGCAAACCAGAAAAAGTTTCATTACCAGAAACTAAATCTGCCAGCACCTTGATCTTGAACTTCACAGCCTTCAAAATTGTGAGAAATAATTATTTGCTGTTTAAGCCATCCAGTATATAGTATTTTTGGTATAGCATCCTAAACTAAGTACCACAAGTATTTATGTGGTACTTTTAGGTGACAGACACTGTTCTAGGCACTTGAATTCATAAGTGAAGAAACAGACAAAAATCTCTGTTTTCAAGGAACTTACATCCTTATATTCTAGGTGGGGAAAGCAGATAATGAATAACATAAACAATAAGTAGACTATCTAATAAAAACAGTAAAATATAGTAGCTACTGACTACATGTGAATATTTAAATTAATTAAAAGTAAAAATTAAGTTCCTGGGACGCGTTAGTCACATTTTCATTGTTCGTTAGCCATGTATGGCTAGGGGCTATCACATTGGACAGAATAGAACTAATACGTTAAAGGTGGTTAAGTGGAATAAAATATCCTATGTT
The DNA here is from genome assembly GCF_000001405.40 of Homo sapiens. NCBI lineage: Eukaryota > Metazoa > Chordata > Mammalia > Primates > Hominidae > Homo > Homo sapiens. The sequence goes on along the minus strand of NC_000004.12, from coordinate 44,529,901 downwards.
AAATATAGTCACTATCTGTTGCTGTATGATAAATTATTGCAAAACTTGCATCTTAAAATAACATAGATCTATTATCTCACACAGTTTCAAAAGGTCAGAAATCTGGGAGTAGCTTTCCTGGGTGGTTCTGGCTCAGAGTCCCTCAAGAGGTTATAGCCAAGTTACAAGTCAGGTCTGTAGTCACCTAAAGCTCATTCACGTGACTATTGGCAGGGGGTTTTATTATCTTATCACATGAGCCTTTCCATAGGGATGGTCAGGACATATCAGGGGGCATCACCCAGAGCAAATGACATGAGAGGAAGGGAAAGCAACACTCCTTTTGTAACCCAGTCTCAAAAGAGACATTTCATCGTTTCTGCCACATTCTATTCACTCGAAGAGAATCACTAAGTCCAGCCACACTCATGGAAGGTGAATGAAGCTCCTGTTCTTGAGGAGAAGAGTACTAAAGAATGTAGAGAGATATCTTTGAGATAATCTCAACCAGAGTAAGGAGAACTGAGAGTACCGGGTCCAGGAGCTTAGAGGGAAGGAGGAAGCAGGATGAAGGACTATTATAAATACGGTGATTATAGGATATCTCACTGAGAGATGAGAGTTGAACAAAGACTTGAAGTGACAGACCAGAGATAACCTACTGAGTCCTTTCCACTACTACCCCTCATTTCCTGAGAAACTCACAAGGATATGGGGACTTCCATTTTAAACATTAAAAATAACTTATGACTAAGACTGAGACATAATATTCCTTTTGTGAAGATTCCCTCTAAGTGGAATTTTTTGATGGTTCCTTATGATTATTTGCATATGAGACAAGTACCTACCCAATGCTTTTGGAGAGTCCCTAAATGCAGTTTAAAAAAAAAAAAGAAAGAAAGAAAGAAGAAAAGTAAAGAAAGAAAAAAAAAAACACCTAAATCAAATAGCTTCAGCTTGAGGTATGAGATGTTTCATTTAGTCTCTTGAATTAAGCATACTTAGAGACGTCTGCATATATTTTTTCTAAGTATGGGTTTAGATTGCCCTATATCAGAAAGTTATCTCAGGAAATAATGATTTATTGATGAAGCATTTGCTCAGAGGAGATATAGACGAGCAAAGAAGTATAGCAAGCAGGGTATGCCGGTCTCATTTTCCCTTCACCTTATTCTGGAAGAAAGCTTGTGAAAAAGGAAAGGGCTTGATGCAGCATAATCTGAATTGAAAATCAAATGATCCAGACTCAGGAAATGTCTTCTTAGAAATACGTATTCTAAGATAAGATGCCAGAGCATACCCTTTCATTAGCTCATCGCATGAGCCGCTCCATAGGGCTGCTCGTGACCTGCTAAGTGGCATTGATAGGCATCATTGTAAGGACACAAGAATTATAAAAAACCAGGAAAATGAGAGGGAGAAAGAAATAAGTGACCTGAAAACAACCAGAAAGCAAATTACAAAATGGCAGTAGCAAGTCTATATCTATCAAAAATTACCTTGAATATAAATGGATTAAAGTCTTCAATCAAAAGACAGACTGGCTAAATGGATTAAAAAAAAAGATCCAACTATAAGATGCCTACAAAAGATGTATTTTACTAGTAAAGTCACAGATTGAAAGTGAAAAGATGGAAAAAAAGTATTTCACACAAATGTAAACTGAGAAAGAACAGAAGTAGCTATACTTATATCAGACCAAGTAGACTTTAAGCCAAAAACTAGAAAAAGAGAAAAGGTCATTACATAATGATAAAAGGGGTTAATTCATGAAGAAGATGTAACAGTTGTAAATATATATTTGTCTAAGATTGGAGAACCCAAATAAATAAAGCAATTCTGAAATAATCTGAAAAGAGAGATAGACCCCAATGCTATCATAGTAAGGTACCTCCACACCCCACCATCAATAATAGATCATTTAGACCAAAAAAAGTCAACAAAGAAACATTGGATTTCAATATACTTTAGATCAAATGGACCTAACAGACATTTATAGTACATTTCATCCAACAGCAGCAGAAAACATATTCTTCTCAAGTGTATGCAAAACATTCTCCAGGATAGATCATATGTTAAGTCACAAAACAGATCATAACCAATTTAAGATAATGAAATTATATCACGTATCTTTTCAGATCACCATGGCATAAAACTAGAAATCAGTAACAAGACAAATTCTGGAAAACTCACAAAGATGTGGAAATCAAATGGCATCCTCCTAAACAAACAATGTGTCACAGAGGAAATAAAAAAGAAAATCAAGAAACACCATAAAACAAACAAAAATAGAAGCACAACATACTAAAATTTATGAGATGTAACAAAAGCAGTCCTAAGAGGTGAATTATAGCAATAAATGCCTGTATCAAAAAAGAAGAAAGATCACAAATAATCTAATGGTACACCACAAGGAACCAGAAGGAAAAAAGAAGCAACTAAGCCTAAAGTTAGCAAAAGGAAGAAAATAACAAATATCAGAGCAGAAATAAATGAAACAGACACTAGAAAAATCATGGAAAAAATTTATAAAGCTAATGTTTGGATTTTTAGGAAGATAAAATTGACAAACCTTTAGCTAAACAACAACAACAACAAAAGACTACTCAAATTAGATCAGAAATGAAAGAGAAGACATCACAATGGAAACTACCAAAATACAAAGGGCTATAAAAAACTACTGTGAACAATTATATGCTAATAAATTGAATAACCTATAAGAAATGGATATATTTTTAGAAACAGAACTTACCAAGACTGAAGCATGAAGGAATAGAAAATTTGAACAGACCAATAACAAATAAGGAGATTGAGTGAGTAATAAAAAAAGTCTCTCACCAAAGAAAAGCCCAGGACTGGATGGCTTCACTGTTGAATTCTACCAAACATGTAAAGAAGAACTAATACCAATTCTTCTCCAATCCTCCACAAGTATTAAAGTAGAGGAAATACTTCCAAACTCATTTTATGAGGCTAGCATTACCCTGACACCAAAGCCAGACTACAAGAAAGGAATATTAGAGGCCAATACTTCTGGTGAACATAGGTGCAAAATTTTTCAACAAAATATTAGCAAACTCAATTCAAGAACACAATAAAAGCATCATTCACCAAGATCAAATGGAATTTATCCCTGGGATGCAACGATGGTTCAACATATGCAAATCAATCAATGTGATACTCCATATCAGCAAATGAAGGATAAAAATACAATGATCACTTCAATAGATGCAGAAAAAACATTTGACAACCTTCAACACCTTTTTAGGGTAAAAATTCTCAACAGATTAATTGTAGAATGAATGTATCTCAACCCAATAAAGGCCATATACGATAAACCTATAGATAACATTCTCAATGATAAAAATTGGATAGCTTTTCTTCTAAGATCAGGGACAAGAGAAGAATGTCCACTCTTACCACTTCTTTTTAACATAGTGCTGTAAGTCCTATTCAGAGCAATTAGGCAAGGGAAAAATAAAAATAAAATTTATCCTAATAGGAAAGAAAGAGGTGAAATTATCCCTATTTACCAACATCATGATCTCATATATGAAAAAACTCTAAAGACCACAAGAAACTGTTAGAACCGATAAATGAATTCAGTAAAATTACAGGATGCAAAATAAACATTAAAAAACCAGCAGCATTTCCATATACTAATAACGAACTATCTGAAAAAGATATTAAGAAAACAACAACATTTACAATAGCAACAAAAAAATTAAACACTTAGGTGCAAATTTAACCAAGGAGGTAAAATACCTGTATACCACAAACTACAAAACACTGATAGAATAAACTGAAGAAAGCACAAGAAAAGGAAATATATTCCATGCTCATGAATTACAAGAATTAATATTGTAAAAATGTCCATACTATGTAAAACAATCTATAGATTCAATGCAACCTCTATCAAAATTTCAATCTCATTTTTCACAGAAACAGAAAAAATATTCTTAAATATATATGTAACCATAAAAAATAGCCAAAACAATCTTGAGCAAAAAGTACAAATTTGTAGGCATCACATTTTCTGATTACAATGAAATTATTATAATAAAGATAGCATGGTGCTGGCATAAAAACAAACACATTGACTAGGGGGACAGGATAGAAAACCCAGAATTAAACCCATGCATTTATGGTCAGCTGATTTTTATTGTTTATTTATTTATTTGCTTACTTATTAGAGGCAGGGTCTCACTATGTTGCCCAGGCTGGCCTGAAACTCCTGGGTTCAAGCAATTGTCAGCCCCTCAAGTAGCTGGGATTACAGGCATGTACCACCATGCCTGGTGCTGGTCAGCTGATTTTTGACAAGGGTGCCAGGAACACACAATGAGGAAAGCACAATCTCTTTAATAAATGGTGTTAGGAGAACTGGCTATTTATTCAGAAGAATGAAACTAGATACTTACATTACACCATATACAATAATCAACTAAAATGGATAAAAGATTTAGCTACAAGACCAGAAACTATAGAACAACTAGAAGAAAAAATGGGAGGAAAGCTTCAGGACACTGGTTTGGCTAATGACTTTTTGGATATGACCCCAAAAGCACAAGCAACAAAAGCAAAAATAGACAAATTGGATGGCATTAAACAAAGAAGCTTCTGTACAGCAAAGGAAACAATTAACAAAGTAAAGAGACATCCTACAGAATGGGAGAACATATTTGCAAACCATATATCTAACAAGGAGTTAATATCCAAAAAATATAGGGAACACAAACAACTTAAGATCAAGACAACAAACAACCTGATTGAAAAATGGGTAAGGACCTGAACAGACATTTTTCAAAAGAAGACATACGAAGAGCCAATAGGTACATGAAAAAATGCTCAGCATTACTAATCATTAGGGAAATGCAAATTAAACCCCAATGAGATATCACCTCGCACCTGTTAGAATAGCCTTCATCAAAAAGATGAAAGATAACAAGTTTTGGAGAGGATATGAGAAAAAAGAACTCATTGTTGGTGGGAATGTAAATAAGTACAGCAATTATGGAAAATGGCAGTGGTTCCTCGAAAAACTAAAAATAAGAAAGTCAATGTGTTTGCTTTTATGCTAGCACCATGCTGTCTTGATTACAATACAACCCAGTAATCCAATTTCTGGGTTTATATCCAAAGGGTCATTTTAAAAAATGGAAAAAATGGCATACAACAAACAACAAATACAAAAGGTAGAAGACGTGGTGCCACAATTATTACCAAATCTTGATAGGGTGAGACAGATATGGATAGGGATCTGCAAGCCTGTGCCTTCGATAATGACAAAAAGCTGGATGCATCAGATCTGTCTGTATCCCACACATATCCCCTCTAGAGGCACTCTGCAACATGGGCCCAAGTTCTACCGTTAGCACTGTGATTCTTTGCCTCAGGGGCTTCTCTTATCACTGGAGTTTGCTCTGCCTAGGAGCAGGGCAGTCCAGAACTGCCAGGGAATTATCACCTCCCCTCACACTCAGAGAATAGCCATCAAGCAAATGACTGGTGAGAGCTGATAAATATGCCAACTCCCTTACTCCTTTAGGGAAAACTATGAGGCATATGTTCTGCATGGTTATCAAGAGTTCACCAGCAGGATGAAGATCCAGTGGCTCACAGTACACAAGAGGTTTTACCAGCTTCCTTCCCTTCCTGTCTCACTTCTTTACCGTGTTACCCGTGTATTCCAGGATCACACTCCAAATAAACTGCTTACATTTGGATTCTTATCTCAGATTCTACTTCTGGGGAAGTCAAACAAAGATGACAAGGAATGCTATAATGTGCATAGGTCAGGATAAATTCTGTGTCTTGTTTAAAAAATGTAATGGCAGGAAAATAAGGTGAGAAAAATCTTAATAATAGTTTTTGACACAAAACATGGAGGTTGTATCAATTTCCTATCATTCCTGTAACAAACGACCACAAACCAAGTGGCTTAAAACAACACAAATTTACTTCTTATAATTATGGAGGTCAGAAATCTAAAATGGGACAGTTTATTTTGAAGGTTCTAGGAAGGGAATTTGTTTCCTTGCCTTTCCCAGCTTCTAGAAGGGCCCATATTCCTTGGTTGATGGCCCCACATTACTTCAACCATCGCATTTCCTTACCTGACCCTGGTCAACCTTTCTCTTAAAAGGACCCTTGTGATTACATCAGGCTCAACCAAGTAATCCAGGATAATCTCCTCATTTTTACATCCTTAACTAATCTTATCTGCAAGTCCCTTCTGTGTGTAAGGTAACATTCACAGGTTCTGAGAATTAAGATGCAGACATCTTTGGGAGGGTCATTATCCAGACTACCACAGAGGACTTATAAATGGAAGATATGGCATACAACAATACAAAATAAAGAATAACAAGTGTTATTAGCACTTGTTACTCTTGAACTCTTATTATTCTTTGGAGTTGGTTAACTCCAAATTTAACAAAAGCAAATAAAACAATATAGCTGTTTGAAAAGATCATAGTCACAGAAATTAATAATTTTTAAGGCCACAATTCTCTCATGTAACCAAATCATTCTCTTTCTTCGTGCACAGCTCTAATATCAATTCAAACAAATGCTCTTCTATTTAATGTATTCTTTTTGTTTATTACACTCCTTTCTCAGGAATTCGGCATTAATTACCAGATGTACCTAGTCACGACACTGATTGATACACTCAGGAATGCACATAGCTTCCTACTGACTCTGCCTATCCTTCTTGATATTTATTTCAGGTTGCCAGTCTTTGTGACCTTGCTTGTTGCTATCGAGGACACAACATGAGAGATTAAAGGATTGTTCCAATTTGCTTGAAAGTCTTGTCTTTGTTATTTAGTCACCAAATCCAATGTGTTTGGTCAGTTTTTCTCTCCCATGAGGCTCCTTATATTCTACCAAAAAAAAAAAGTGTATAATCCATATTCCTTGCATGCACCAACACACCTTAGCATTCCTGAGTATGCAGTAGATACTTATACAGCTTAGCCCTTCATTCACTGGGATCAGCAGAGAGAGGAAACAGTTTTGAGCCTGGGTTTTGAAAGCAGATAGAATTTTGATGGGTTTAGTTAAGGGGAATGAAACCTAAGACCAAATTCAAAGTCGCAAAAGTTTGGATCATATTTATAAAATAGCAAGAAATTCACTTGGATTAGAACCTTATTCACATTTTCAGAGTTTCTGAGATGAAATTACACAATATCACAAGGGAATCTTAGCTAATAGGCTATGATTTTGTCATTGTGGCTTTTGTGTATTTATGGACTTAACTTGTCTGAAACATAAAGCTGCTAAAACTATTCTTTATGCAGATAGAAGCATAATATCATTATTGTTGGAAAACTTACCTGCTGTGCTTATAAATGCTCTTGTTGACTGCCACTGGGAGGTTCATTATGATAAATTGATTAAGTTTGCAAACTCTTTGGTGCATAAGTGAGAATCACTGCTGAATAAAGATACTTTCTACTTTCTTTCATAAAGAAGCTTTTTTTTTTTTTTTTTTTTGCTTACACAATGGTAACCCAGTCATTAAAGAGAAGCCTATGACTTCCACAAAGAAAGCCTATTCTTCTTTCTCTTCTATCAGGTTTGAAGGTTGCTCCTTCGCTTAGGTAACGTCTCTAAATTAAAAAACAAATTAAAAGATGTCTATAATTATATCAAGTAGATCATATTTCTCAAGCCGTTTACAAAATGTTTTTAAAGGGTGTCTGGTTTTAAACAAAAATGATAATTAAGACCCTTGTTACAGATTTAAATGTATGTCTACCATAAGAGGAAAACTGGAGGGCAATGGGCCTAACCCAGCTAGCCGATATGCTTGGTTTTGTCAATAGAACGTTTAATATGTCTAAATTTGACAAAGGTTTAGGTAATCTGTCTTCTTAGATAATGGGAGGAACTCAAATTCCTGCATGGCATTAACTGGATGAAATGAATGAGTGGCACCCCAGTGTACCCACCCACATGCTTCCCTGTCTTCTCTCCAGCCCTCTTCATGCCTTTAAGTTTTGTTCCTGGCTGCTGGAGGCATTTGACTTTGTTATCTGATTTCTATACCTGATACTTACGTTGGAATTTTATTGTTTAACGTTTTTGTAACTTAAAGCACTCATAGTAAGTGCCATATCTCATGTTTTGCAAGAAAAGACATTTCAAGCCATAGACACATCCTTTTGTAGACTTCTCAAAAATCTATAAGGGTCTCTTCCATCCTACTCCCCACACTGCTCTTCATTTGAACCTTCCTCTCAGACTTCTTACAGAGTGGTAAGGAAATATTAGAGACAAGATTTCCAAGACTATGTATTCGTTCGCTGATTGTATAAAGTTGATGAGAGAACATATGTTTCACTCAATTTCATAATGCCACTGGAGAAAAAAAATTGTCCAATGAAAGTCAATAGATATTTTTTGCTTTTAATCAAAAAAAGAAAAAAATAATAATTTGACTCTTGGAATTATAATTTACTTAAGGTTTACCGAACCCTCTTTATATTCAGTTTTCATCAGTAAAATGGAGCTAAGTCCATTTTACTTAGACTTAATATCTAAGACCTAATGTTGTGAGGCTTCTAGAAAGTCTATTGCAAAAGTGGAGCATAGAAAATGTGAATAATTGGCACCATGTTATTATAACAGAGGCTAGATATTTGCCTCTAACCTCTAACTTTTATAAACAGAAACAGTTGCCAAGAGCTAAACTTAGACACATTGCAATGTTAAAAAATTATTTTTGATTACTAACCCCAACCTTACATGAACTCAACCATCTGCTTTCTTTACACCTGTACCCATAAACTCCAGCACAGCTAGAAAAAAAAAAAATCATGTATCTGGCCAGATTTCACTACAAATTCTGATTGCTGAATTTAAATAAGAGCTGAACGCTATCTAGCAATCCCACCAACGTTTTCCATTTGGCTTGTTCTTCCATTTTCTGCAGAGATTATTTCATAATTTCTCAGTTTTCAAAATCACCACCCCTGAGTCCTGCTTGCTTACAGCTGATGTTCATGCCTCATGCTTCATTGACAAAAGACAATTAGTGTGCCAGAAGATGCTCATATTCCCGTCAATAAATCTATAGGACACACATTTTTTCTACCCTCCCTCTTGTTCCAGTCCCCATCACAGGCTAATTTTGTCATATCATTACCTTGTTCTTCACTCTAAAGAACTCTGATTCTTGAATATTCCCTCTATATTCACATAACAACCCTGCCTCTCATCTAGGTGTTACCTTTATGCATACAAGTACACATCATTCATTTTAAACAACTACTCTTGTGACGTTATATTCCCTTTCAGCTACTGACCCATCCTCTGGTCTCATCCCATTCCAAATTACATTTCTGTAAAGAGTTATTTCCACATGCTGTGATGTGGTTTGGCTGTGTCTCCCCCAAAATATCATCTTGAATTGTAGTTCCTATAATACTCATATGTCGTGGGAGGGACCTGGTGGGAGGTAATTGAACCATGGTGGCAGTTACCTCCATGCTATTCTGGTGATAGTGAGTTCTCATGAGATTTGACAGTTTTATAAGGGGATTTTCCCCACCTTCTCTCATTCTTCTCCTTCTTGCCATCATGTGAAGAAGGATGTGTTTGCTTCCCCTTGCCATGATTATAAGTTGCCTAAGGCCTCCCTAGCCATGCTTAACTGTGAGTCAATTAAACCTCTTTCCTTTATAAATTATCCAGTCTTGGCTATGTCTTTATTAGCAGCATGAAAATGGTCTAATACATGCCACGTTCACTCCTAATATCCCAATCATTCAACTCATTCTTTGGTGCCCACTCCCTCCATTGGAATAGCTTTTGTCAACCCAACCAAAGATTTCCATGTGGCCTAATTAAAAAGATAATTATATGTCTGTTTCCAAATGTAATATGCTTATGAATCACCTGGGGATATTTTTTAAATGGAGGTTCAGATTCAGTAGATGTGAAGTGGTGCCCAAGAGTCTGCATTGCTAACAATGTCCCAGCTGTTCATCTGTGGGCCAATCTTTGAGCAGCAAGTACAAGACCTCATGTTTTTGTTGTTGCTGTTGTTAGTCTTTCAGAGTTTTTTGTTTTCCTGGTTCCTTTTCAACAAAAATTTTTCTTCTTTGTATTTTGCATGTGACAGCCTTCATATCTTTCAGGTCTTATTTAAAAATTGGCGTCCTCAAAAAGCCCTTTTTAGACAATCCATCTAGAATGGATACTTGATACATTTTTCTGATAGCATTCTCTTTTTTTAATTATACTCTTTTTGTTTTCTTGTTTTTCGTTGACTTCCCCACTAGACTGTAAGCTCCAGGGAATGAGGACCATTTCTTAATTATTCACCACTCTAGCATAAAGTTAGGCATGTGGTGGGAGCTTAGTAAATACCGACATATGAATATCCATATAGGTCATTCTACAAGCTTATGCTCCTTGAGTTCAAATTGAAGGTTGGAAACCTTCAAAAGTACATTTGTTGATCTTGGTGATTTTTTCACCTGAACTCATTACTACGCTAGACTTCTTGCTCTGGTAAATTTCAAACATTTGCCTCCCATGACTCTCCTGTTTCACTTCCAACTTAGTGATGCTTTAAAGTTAAAGGAGAGGTAACCCTCAACTCTTCCTGGAAGACTTCTCAACTAATACAGCCCAGTGGCTTCTTCTCACTCAAACTTTCGTACTGTTTCTACCACTTGTGGGAGTTCAGCATATAACACCACAAATAGGCCAGTGTTTTCCTTGTATTAGGAAATGAAGAGGATTAGGTTGGTGGAAAAGTAATTGTGATTTTTACCTCTACTTTTAATAACTATTAGGTTGGTGCAAAAGTAATTGTGGTGCAATTTGGTTGGTGCAAAAGTAATTGCACCAACCTAATAGTTATTAAAAGTAGTGGAAAAATCACAATTACTTTTCACCAACCTAATTCTCTTCTTCCTTAATTTCCTGAAGTTTAAAGACAATATTATAATAACGGTGACAATTTGCTAAATACCAATCACCTGCCAATGTTTTACATAAAGAGCTTTTAATCCTCAGAACAATTTTTCTTGTAACTTATTGTGCTGATTTTAAAAACAATGAAAATATGGTTCAAGATATTAACTCCCCAAGGTCACCTGGCAAAAAGTGGGAGACTGTGAGCGCAAAACCAGTGCTCCTTCCACCATGATGCATGTTCCAGTTAACCCAGGCCACCTTTCTCCTACATAGCTATCTCCAGCAACTAGCATGACTTCCTCACACTATAAAGGTTCAGTGACTTAGCAAAAATCTTGCCTCATGTCCTTTCTGGAGCATGAACCAGAAGGAAACTAAAATAACTAGAAACTCCCTGGGCCGGGTGCGATGGCTGACTCCTGTAATCCCAGCACTTTTGGGGGCCGAGGCGGGCGGATCACGAGGACAGGGGTTTGAGACCAGCCTGACCAACATGGTGAAACCCCGTCTCTACTAAAATACAAAAAAATTAGCCGGTTGTGGTGGCGGGCGCCTGTAATCCCAACTACTAGAGAGGCTGAGGCAGGAGAATCGCTTGAACCTGGGAGGTGGAGGTTTCAGTGAGCCGAGATTGCACCACTGCACGCCAGCCTGGGCGACAGAGCAAGACTCCGTCTCAAAAAAGAAAGAAAGAATGAAAGAGAGAAAGAGAAAGAAAGAAAGGAAGGAAGGAAGGAAAGAAAGAAAGAAAGAAAGAAAGAAAGAAAGAAAGAAAGAAAGAAAGAAAGAAACTTCCATAGCCCATTTCTTTATCCCAGAGGTATCTATGCTAAACAATGTGTGCCATCAAGAACCCACTGATATTCTTATGTTGTCATTTTTGTAATCCCACATCTTAGGCAGTGAGAGGAAACTTATGAAATCTTTTTTTGAAAGACATATAGTAAAAGTTGTCTCATTTTTATGGCAGTTTTTGGAGAATATTTATCTTGTTTGATAGTTAAATCTTAGAGGAATTTAGGAATAAATACACAATAATCATTTTCTTCCTTAGAATTTCATGAATTTTGCCTCTGGGAATAAAAAGAAACACTCTTGAAATAAGGGCCATAATGAGAAAAAATGTATTTCTTCTCAGAGGAGAGCAGGGAATCAATTTAGTCCCGAAGTGGAAAGGGAGGTGGAAGCAGGGCTCCCTATGCTTTCTAATCCCGTCTGAGTATTGTAAGGTTTTCTTTAGTGGAGCAGCCAAACCCTCAAACTTTTCAGTAAACTTTGAAATTAAGCACATAGTTGGGAAGTATATTCTACCCAGCCATAAAAAAGAAAACAGGCCTGTCTTAAAAGTCAGCATACTCTAGTAAAGACATGGGAATTACCTGCTAAAATCATACTGAATTGAAAAACAAAAAAATAAAAAATAAATAAATTCATGAAAACCTCAAAGTGATAAATCAGAACCCAGGCAAGTCCCTAAGCAGGAAGCTGTCTTAACAACTAGAACTAAAGAGACATCAACTCCTGGTAAACGGGCCTTCACTCCCAGAGCAGATATAGATAGCTCAGAGAGGGCCCTCAGAAGAAACCACCAAATAGATTCTTGTTTCTTTCAGAGTCTGTCTTTGCTTTATAGGAGCAATTTGCCCTGACATAAATAACTCCAGGATTAATACTCAAGGGATTTTAGTGGGTATCTCTGTTTTGTTTTGTGTTCTGTTTATTTTTCCTTCTTTTTGAATTTACCCTGCCAATTCCCTTTGTCTAAAATGACTTATAAAATGAAGCTGTGTTCTTTAACATTGTTGACCAACACTATCGGGGCCCAGATAGCAAAGGTAGCTTGTCCCACAGTTAGACACTCTAATGGGGTGAGAAAGGAAGATAATTGTCTAGAGACTCCTTCATTAAATAGTAGAATATATAAAAATATTTTTAAAAAATTGAATATGCTCAATAACTTAGTAAATCCTTTGCGTTTGTGTTCCATGTAACAGTTCTAAAGTTTTCATGTAAACAATCTGAAGGTCTCAATGTTTGTTTCTAGTTTTAGTTTTTAGTCTCCCAAGCCTCTGACCAGATTTGATTCTTTTTCATATCCTTTCCCTTTTTCTGTTCAGTCTTTTTCCAGAACCATTGTCAAAAGGGCAGCAGCAGTGCATAGGAAAGTAACAAATTGAATAATCCAGAAATGAAACAGTTTTCCTTTAACACATTTCTACTTATGTTACTAAAAAGAGGCAATGTCAGAAATATATTTTGAATTACTTGATGATTGTTTTAACCAGAAATTGTTTTCTCATTCATTTGGGCCATTATTTTAGAGTATTGAAAGGCCCCAGGATAGGGCCAAGGAGGTAAAGAGAAAGGTGGAGGACGGGAAAGAGAAAGAAATGTGGACAACTGAGGGGGGAATTTTTTGATTGTCTTACTATATCCGTGAGTGGCAGGAATCTTGAATATCTATTCACCTTTTTTCCTTATCCTGACACCATCATGTAAATGTATCCTCCTGCGCTCTCATCACTCCTACCTGGCATCCCATCTAGAATGCCTCAGGCCAGCTTTTCCAATTCACATAGGTGTGATGTTCCTGATTAATGTGTGACTAACCCTAGTCTTTGCTTGTAGAAACAAAGTACTCATCTGTAATTTGCCAAGATGTTTGCCAGCCACTTGAGAAATAAATGAAGAAATAATGTTTGAAACATGAAGATTATTTAGTCGACTGACTAAATAATCAAGTGAGTTCTTGGTCAAGACAACACTAATTAACTTAGGAAAATAGCCAATGACAGCATTGCATTTCTCACTGCATCTCTAAGTGTTAAACTTACATAAACGTTCTATATCCTTTTGGACTAAATGGACACATGAAACACCTCTAAATAAGAAGCAGTAATTATCACTTTCTTTAACTGACTAAATTCTGAGCTGAAAAAAGTGTTCCATAGACAGCTGTAGTTTGAACAACAAATAGTTGATGCTGATTTAATATCAAGCTTTGGAGATTTGACTTGCTTTTGCTTTGATAAATATTGAGATACTCAGGCAGGTCTTAAAGAATCAATGTCTTCTACTTGCACCCAAAGTAGTATTAAGTCAAGTCTTAAAAATAAACCTATCTTTGAATAAGACAAAAGGACTGGAATCTGTCTTTTTTTCATAGATGCTATTTCCTGTGACAGCTCAAATCCCCACTTTTTACTATTATTAATATTCCAATCATTTTGAATAACTTCCAATCATTTTGGATTTGTATTTAATTGATATATTTTAATTTGTTTAACACTGTTCTTTGAATATTGTGCCTAAAAAGTGTCAGAGGCGTTTGAACAAGAGTGACTCCATTTGAGTGAGGGCTTGAAAAATGAGGCTGGGATTTGCTGAGCTGCCTACCCAGAAAGTCAGGCATTCTTTGCCTCCAGGTGTTTACAGTTAAGGAAACTAATAATGTTTACTAAACAGACCCAGACTTGGGAGTGTCCAGATATCCTGATATCTGGAGAACAAAGGCATTCCTAATTTTGCTTTAAAGATAATGATATTGATTCTTGCAAACTATATAACTAAGAAAATTAATCCTTTATCACAAACCTTTGTAGCAGAGCACATCTCCCCATGATCTCTTTTTATCATATATACACAAGCGTTGTACCTAGGGTGGATGCATTCCTCCTCTTACTTTCGAGAATGTCCTACTCTATGGAGCAGCTGTACTTTTACCACTTTACTTTCTTAATAACAGCCTTGCTTTTGCTTTGCACTGTGGACTCGCTTTGAATTCTTTCTTGAGCGAGATCCAAGAACCCTCTCTTGGGGTCTGGATTGGGATCACTTTCCTGCAACTAAAGCTTTGAGGGTTGACAGGAGATCAAGAGAGAAGTGTAACATCTCAAAGTCATCTTAGTCATCATTTTCAGATCTTAATTAATGTGCAAAATATCTAAGAAACCAGAGAACACTAACTTGGAAAATACTATAAAAAACAATTCTTCCTCCTGGAGAGAAATACATGACGCTCAAGTAGTTTGATTTTATAATTCCTTAGATAGTTAGGTAATTACTTACAAATGATCATCAGAAATTTGAAATAAAGTTTTGGGGTATAGGCTTATCTAACAGGGTCGCTTGATCATGACTTTTCATCTCTGAAGATCTTGGGTCAGGAATACTACATGTGTCAGCAAAGCAAGAGAAAGTGTCCATGTGCCTCTAGCAGGGGTTCAGCCCTTTGCAGGGTTCTGCATCTATAAGAAGGTCACATCACAGCTGGAGAGGCAGAATCAGCACAGTTTTTCACAGGAATGACTAATGTCTTTTAAGAAGGGTTACTGCCTCACTGAAATTAGCAGGCAGTCATCTTTCATATTTGATACTTTCTTGTATTTTTTTTAAGTATAATAAAACAAATTACTGTCACAAGTCCAGCCATAAAGAAGCAGAGTAGTGGATAGTGGAGCTTTCGGATAATGAGTTGGTCGCTTCCCACTCCCATCCTGATCAAACCACAGAACAAAACGCTAATAATAAATAATGTAGTATAGCCAGCATCATTAATTATAATATAGATATCAACTGAAGTCACCTTATCTTTTGGAGTGCAAATAAAATTAGACTGAGTTCCTTACCTTGTATTTTAGGGAGACTCTAATAGCTTCTAAAAGATTTTTGTGACTTTGTCATGGAGGCATATATATGTATAGTTTTCTGTTTAGTTAGGGTTCTCCAGAGAGACAGAACCAACAGGAGATAAATAAATAGATAGATAGAGCGATAGATAGATGACAGGGAATTTATTAGAGGAATTGGCTTACACAGTTATGGAGACTGAGAAGTCCCATCATAGGCCACCTGCAAGCTGGAGGAGACTCTGGGATGCTGGTCGCATGGTTCAGTCCAAGTCTGAAAGCCTCAGAACAAGAGAAGCCAATGGTGTATTTCTCAGTTTGAGGCCAAACACCTGAGAACCTGGGGGATTTCTGGTCTTAAGTCCTGGAGTTCAAAGGTCAGAGAGCCTGGAGTTCAAATATCAAAGACCAGGAGCAAAAAAATGTCTCAGTGCCATAAGAGAGAGAGACAAAATTTTTGTTTTGTCTCTTTTTTGTTCTCTTTTTTGGTCTATCTGGGCTCTCATTGGATTGGATGGTGCCTGCCCACACTGAGGGCAGCTCCTCCCCATTCAGCCTGCTAACTCACACCCCAGTCTCCTTTGGAAACACCCACAGACACACACAGAAGTAATACTTTACCAGTTCTTTAGGTATTCCTTAGTCCATCCAAGCTGACAACTAAAATTAACCATCATCTCATCTCCAGCTACAAATTCCAATATTAATGAAAATCTTGAAAAAGTCTAGCACAGAAGCATGAGGGAGGAACATGATTGGCCTGTCCAAGGAACCAGCAGGAAGCCACTGAGGCTGGAGAGAAGTAGCCAAGGAAGAGAAAGAATTCAGATAGATAGAGGTGTCAACATCATGCTGGGTTGGAATTTTGGTTTGGAAAAACAGTGAATATTGTCTGTGGGGCAGAGACTTCTGAGAACACTTGAAACTACAGGAATCTGACTTTTTCTGATAGCCACATTTTGATAACTAGAATGGCTCCAGAGTGCCACACTGTTTTCTCTCTTCAACATTCTGCATGCTCCTTTTGTCTCCTCAGTCCTCTGTGGTGAGGCCCATACAGGCTTTGGAGCAGACGCTTGCAGTGCAGAAGGCTGGCCAGTCTTCATTTGGTTCACCGTTGTTAGCCTCAACTGATCTGTGCAATTTTGCACTGGTCTTAAATACCTGAAAATGCTTTGGGGTATTTGGCTCAAGGGCAAAACAAAAAGGTATATTTTAGCATTATTTCAACTAATAGGTGTCTGCATGTCTGTGTCTTTTGTAAACAGTGTCTTTTTGTTTTGTTTTGTTTTTTCTTACTAGAGATGGTTGTTTACATTTGCTGTAGAGATACTGGGTCTGTGTATCAGTATCTCAATGACCCTGAAGTGAAGCTATTAAAAATGAGTGGCTTTATCTGAACCAAGGTTTAGTTCCAAACTCTCTCTCTCAGACTGAGTAGCAAACAGTTATCACTTCACAAAGACTTTTTAAAAATATGAACAGCAAATGTACATTGTTTTCACTTTGTACTTCCAACTTTTTAAAGTTGTTTTTTAAGATTCTTAAAAGGACTGCTATGAAAGCTTTTTTAAGATTGGAAAATTCAAGGTACTCATGGGTACATTTGTGAAATTATTGTTCTTCATGCTAAAATCTAAAGTCATATGAATTTTGTTTTGTTTTTCTGCCATAAAGGATGTGTTATAGTCTAGCAGGTATCAAAAAAGCAGCTGGAAGACAGTCAAGGTGAGTTTTATCAAAGATGGTAGGAACAGAGAAACTAGGGAAGTTCCAAAGGACAGAAGGGGAAGGTACCTACTTATGCTGATAGTTGAAAAGTGGTTAGGAAAGGGGTACAAAAGATAATAGAATATAGGCAGAAATCCTACTAGGGAATTTGGCTACATGGACAGGAATATAATCGGAGAGCCTAAAGTTAGCACGTAGGATGCTTTCTCTTAAAAACAATGAAGAGACACATACAAACTTTAATACCAGAGGAATCTGAGCTAATAAGTAGACAAGATCAAGGTAGGAATTCTGGCACTGTAAGAAGATAAATCTGTTACTTGAGTGTATTGAAACACTATATGCCTGGCATTGTGCTAAGTTCTATGAATAGAACTATGAAGAAGATGAAGTTTCTTTTGTTTGAGCTCTTGGATTGAATTGGAAAACATATTTGTTTAAAAAATATTTATTTAATGGATGGTTGCATACAAAAGACTTATTTGTTATAAAAAGTGATAATGTTATGGTAAAAATATGCCCCGGGTCATTATGGGACTATTTATAAGGAAAAGATTGTCTTTGCCAAGGGAAATTGAGAAAGTCTTCCTGGTAAATATTGAAGTCTTGTATCTAAAGTCACATAACAATTTAAAACATGTAAGCTATTCTCCAGTCTGTCAAAATTAGTAACCACTGAGTGAAGCTGTTAAAGCCAGTATGTATGGCTTGGGAAAAAAATAACTTTTTATGGTAAAAAGAGCACAGACTATTACACCAGGTAAACACTGAGAGAGTTGCAACATCTCTTGGACTCAGAGGTTTGTGTATTTGTAAATCACATAGAGTTCCACTGCATTCAGTAAATGGCATTACCCATCTTCCAGATTGTTAGGAAATTGGAGTATCAGCTTTTCATCCTGTTATGGTATGTTGATAATATATTTACATGTGTACATATAGATTCAGGAAAAAATTGAGCTCAAATTTAAAACTGTACTTTCTGGAGAATATAGTAGTAGGACTGCTATGTAATTATAATAGCTACCTTTCTAGGAGTGGCAAAGAATGCACTTAGCATATATATATATATATATATATATATATATATAACTTCCTTATATATATATAACTTCCTATATATTATATATATATATATAAAGGATGTTTTATATATATATATGTATATATGTGGTATATATGGTAAGTTAAAACTTTGGACTTTACAGAAGGCTCTTTACAAATCAATGTGAATATATTTTTATTACTATAATAGCCAAAGATTAATGCCTAGTCAAAAGTTTTTGTAGGAAAGCCAAATGCAAAGAAAAAAAAACCTAGTCAACTTGTTTCTAAATAAAAAACTATACTGCTTAGCACTATAATCATTTCTATTTTATGTATTGTTTTTCAAAGAAATATATTAATGTCCTAATAAGGAATAACTAAGAAATATTAGAAAATCCTGTCCTCTGAAAATAAACATTTGATGGATTAAAGGCTCCAATGAAAGAAATACAGGTACTTTCCAGGTAGAACATAGGGTTAGTTATGTGAATCAGCTCCATATGCCTCAAATGTTATTCAGAAATAAAACAAAGCAAAAACACAGAGAATTTTGGGTTCTGTTGATAACTCCATGACACCCAGTTACTCATACATAATAAAGAGAGGCTTCTCATTACGGAGAGAAATGTAAGCTATTGAGAGAGACATTTGAATTATTCCAAAGATATTTATTGAGCTTCTATGATATGCCAGACAATTTGGTATGTCACAGAAACACAATGGTGAGAATGGCAGATTATGTATTCCAAAACTAGCTCCCACTGCATGCTCTTGTTAAAATGTAAGTTTTACATTCTCCTCAGAGAGAGGCGGGGCCCACGTTTTCTCTCTTTGAATCTGAAGCGTGTGACTGCGGTGAAAGTGAGGCTATATAACTTGTATGGTTAGATTATAGAAGATGACAGAGCTTTTGACTGAATCTCTTGGAAAGCTTGTTCTTGGAATCAAGTAACCCCATGGAGAGGCTCACGTGGAGTGGAAGTGACAGGTATCCCCTATTTGCAAGCCACATGCATGAGTCATTTTAAGCTGGATCCTTGAGTCTAGCTCAAGTCAAGCCATCCCAGCTCATACCACATGAAGCATAAATAAACTTTACCCACTGAGACTACCTATATTGTAGATTTGTGAGCAAAATAAGTAATTATTGTTGTATTAAGACCCTATGTTTCTGATGATGTGTTACACAGCTAACTTGTACATTTAAAAAACGAGCCAGATTTGATTCCTACTGAAGTTTACAGTGAATGGTGAGTGAAATTAAATGTGCAATTATGATATAATGTGGAAAATGTCCTAATAACAAAAGCATCTTAACATATGGGTATATTTAGGGAATGTATTATAGTGTTCAACAAAATAGCTTCCTTGAAGAAGTAACAGCAAAGGTAAATGAGCAATAAATGAGATGAATGAGAAAAGGGGGCTACATATTTTAGAAACGGAAAGATAGTATATCTAATATGTTAGGTATTATTTGACTAATGGTGTGATGATAAGGGTAGGAAGCATGGGAGGAAAAAGAACAGGGAGAGACAAAATATAAAAAATGAAATCAGGTCAAGGAGTTTGGACTTTATCCTAAAAGAGATGATGATCTAATGAATATTTTTAATTAGCTTAGGACTCAGTCAGGTTTTCTGTTTAAAAAGTTGAGAGTTGAAAGGGGGCAAAACTAGAGATGGGCAGATAATTTAGATAGTAACAATAATCTAACTTTTCTCTATCTGCAGCGTTTCTCCTCTTGGTTAATGGCAACTCCATCCCTATAGATGCTCAGATCAATAACCTTGGAATCATCTCTGACGCTCTTTACAGCCTCTACCTAATCTATTAATATTTGCCAATTCTGCCATAAAGGCTAATAACCTTTAATAACCTTTAAAATATATCTGCAATCTAATGATTTTTTAACATCCGCATTGCTACCAGTCTGGCCCAAACCATTGCATCTCACATGAATTACTGCAAAAGCTTTCTAAAAGATGTACTTGCTTTTACTTTTGCCCCACCTACTGCATGGTCATTCTCAACACTACAGTCTGAGTAAATTTTCAAAAGCCAAAATCAGATCAGCTCACTCCTCTGCTCAACTACATGCATTGTTGCTCATTCTGTGTAGGGTAAAAGCCACAATCAATGACCTAAAAGGCTGCCCATAATATGTCCTCCTGTTTTCTCTCTAACTCTGTCTTCAATTCTTGTCCCTGTTAATCATTCTGTGTAACTCTCACTGGGACATAAAAATGCAATGGGGGCATTCCAGGCTTGGACTTTGGTTTTAGCTGTTGTTTCAACCTAGCAGGCCTACCCGCAGACATCTGTGTGGCTACCTTCCTCGGTTTCCTTAAGTCTTTGATCAAATCTAACCTACTAAAACTGCACTCAGCAGATCTCTCATTTACCATCCTTTAAACTATTTTACTGGGCTCCACTATTTTTCTTTTTCTCAAAGCATGTATCACTGTATAAAATTGTACTACGTAACTTATTTATTATGCCTACTGCTCATTTTCTGTCTTCACTTCTATCTGTCCCCATTCCTGATAAAATGTAAGGAGGAACAATGACAGCTGGAATTGTTTGGTCACTGATGTGACAAGTTACCTTGAAAAGTACCTGGCACAGAGCAGAAATTCAAGTATTTGTTGAATCAATAAGTTAATGAATTAGTAAATGGTAATAGAGATGGAGGAGCTGCTCCTATTCTTTCCAAAATATCTTTTATAATTTAACATAATTTATGACTTGTCATTTTCTGTCCTGAAATTCTACTGCTGCACTGTTTGCATTCCTTTTTCCTTCTCCTCACTGTGACTGTCACTGGAATTTAATCAACTATCAAAGCCATTTTGGCTTTTTGGCCAGACCAAATGCCAGCAAGAGCATCTCAAATAATAATACTCATACAATCCTAGTAAGCAAAATAGGAGAGGCCTACATAAGGTATCAAAAATTTAAGTGGCTTATTCAAGGTCACTTTTTCAATCACTATAGAGAATAACCAGCACTTTAAAGGGCAGAATTTAAATTAAATATATTTCAAGGAATGTATAGGATGATGAAAAGCGTACTGGATAAAGTTAAATAAAAACAAGCGTTGGGTTAGATAAACACTACCTATGTAAATGATAAAATGGTTCTCTCCCCTGTTATACCACAACTCTATTTGGCTCCAAACATCCTATGTCTGATTTCCATTCTAGACTGTCCTACTTGAATCTCTCTGATACCTCGCACTAAAGGACAGCTTCCTCAGCCACCCTACAGAATGAGTGACAGTTCATTGCCATCTCATATTTTACATAATAACTTCTTTTTCATTGCTGTTGAGTGTGTATTATGTCTGTGTTGTACATGTGCTAGGCTCTAAGAATGTAATAAGAAATAAACACAGACGATTTATTTGCTCCTGGAAGTTCTAGTCTATGTCTTCCAATAATTAATGTAAGCAACCGTAGTGAATTAGAGTTCAGTTACTACATCTGCCAGTTACTGTGCTTTACAGATACCGATATCTTGATCTTCCACCTCTTACCCTCATACGCTGAATATACTAGAAATAATGAGGTAAATAAATACAGTCTTTACTGAGCAATTGTTCTGGTCATTGTTCTTAGTGTTGGAATCAACTGTAAACAAGGTATATGTGGTTACTGCCCTCATGGGTATTCCAAACTAATTGAAGTAGATAATATCCTGTCTTAAGCCTGAATCAGTAAAGCAAACTTTCACACAAGTTTTATAAACTTTGATGATTAAATATTTTATCTGTCTTTCTTCATTTTCATCACCTGAAGGTGCCATGAAAACTACCAAGGGTGAGGAGCAGGAATAAAAAAATTAAGTGTGAGGTCTTCACTGGGGCTTCCCTGCTTTCCTGATATTGATGTTTTTTCTTTTTTTTTTTTTTTTTTTTTTGAGACGGAGTTTCGCTCTGTCGCCCAGGCTGGAGTGCAGTGGCGCGATCTCGACTCACTGCAAGCTCCGCCTCCCGGGTTCACGCCATTCTCCTGCCTCAGCCTCCCGTGTAGCTGGGACTACAGGCGCGCGCCACCATGCCCGGCTAATTTTTGTATTTTTAGTAGAGACGGGGTTTCACCGTGTTAGCCAGGATGGTCTCCATCTCCTGACCTCGTGATCCGCCCGTCTCGGCCTCCCAAAGTGCTGGGATTACAGGCGTGAGCCACCGCGCCCGGCCATATTGATGTTTTTTCTACACATCCAAGTTCTTCTGGTTCTGAATATCATCAATCATCCCAGAATTTTCACTATCTATTAAATCTGGTGTGTACTCTTAATGCCCAGCCTCTATGAGTAAAAAATCCTAGGATTTATAGATGGTATATACCAGAGAGAGAAAAGTCCATGTCTGTATCATGAGAGCCACAAAAGTAAAATATTGTAGGAAGGTATTCCAAGGTAAATAGCAAAGACGAAAAGAAAAAGAGTCATTTTAAAAACAAAAGGTCATGCAAGGCTAAAACACACTGAGACCATATTCTGCTTCAAACTAGAACAGTGCTGCACAATTTGAGTAATATATAGACACCTTTTAAGGAACAACAATACCTTCCTCCCCTGACTCCTATCCTGTGGGTAACTTTAGTTATTGTATTAGGTTTGTCAAAAACATTAAAGCATTGATACATTCCTTATGCTCATAGGCATTACATAACCATATAATTAAAATCACAAATTAGATACAAACAGGCCATAAAACCAATAAAATGAAAACATTAATATCGAAGTACTGTTGTTTCTAGCCAAGAAGAAGTAATAGGGAAAGCATTTAGTCTCCCACCTGAATGTGTCTCGAGACATTGGAAATCAGACAGTGAAAGAGAGTGATCTCAGCGCAAGGGGAAGCAAACACGATCAACTTCGCAACTGCCCAGTCTTGCCACATGCAGAAAGTTTGCAGGCTGCAATGTAGGGAGGGAGAAGCTAAGCAGATCCTAGCCATCTCTCTCAGTTGACAAGACAGAGCTGGGATTCTGAGTGAGCCAGAGTGGGCAGGCATTTGTAGGAAAAGGAAAAGAGAGCAAAAAGCTAGCAGAGAAAGAACTCTAGCCATCCAGAGACAGTCCACCACCAGCCTTTAGATGTATACTGATAAACACAAGCATGTGAGAAAATGATCCAAGGCTGGGGAAAAGAACCATCCAAAGGATTAGAGTAAAAATCTCTGGAACATGAACTAATAGTCCCTGTTTCTATCAGCTAGAGTGAGAGATGGCATAATTCACAGGCCATCAGAGGGCATGTGAAACAGGCTTTTGCGACATTTTGTTCCAGTCCAGTGCAAATAGTTTAAAAGCAAGATACACAGGGATCAAACTGTTTCCAAGTTAATCAACTATGTTCCAGAACAAACTCAAAAATATTTCTAGTAATACAAATGTATCTTACACTCAATAAGAAAAAATTGCAATGTCTGGCATCCCATCAAGCATTTTCAGGTATGCAAATAAGCAGAAAAATACAGCAAAATGGTGAAAAATTATTAAAGCAATCCAGAAAGCAAACAAATGATAGAATATTTGCACCCATTAGCAAAACCAGAATGACGCTTTTTGTCAGATTATAAACACCTGAAGGCCTGGAATTACATTTTGTATTTAATTTATAAATCTCAAAGGGAGAGAGACCTGTAGTATACTTGACCCATCACTGAGAGTGACATGAGTGCTAATTTATTAATAACCTGCATGTATTATACAATAATAAATTTTTAAAAAATTGACCTCCCATTTTACAAAGTACATTTATATGTGTTACATTATTTGTTCATAATATAAAACTGGAGAATAGAGCCATTTACACAGAATCTGATGCTAGGAGAGGTTAAACAACTTACTTAAGAACCCAAATGTCCAACAATGATAGACTGGATTAAGAAAATGTGGCACATATACACCATGGAATACTATGCAGCCATAAAAAATGATGAGTTCATATCCTTTGTAGGGACATGGATGAAATTGGAAACCATCATTCTCAGTAAACTATCGCAAGAACAAAAAACCAAACACCGCATATTCTCACTCATAGGTGGGAATTGAACAATGAGATCACATGGACACAGGAAGGGGAATATCACACTCTGGGGACTGTGGTGGGGTCGGGGGAGGGGGGAGGGATAGCATTGGGAGATATACCTAATGCTAGATGACACATTAGTGGGTGCAGCGCACCAGCATGGCACATGTATACATATGTAACTAACCTGCACAATGTGCACATGTACCCTAAAACTTAGAGTATAATAAAAAAAAAAAAAAAAAGTTTTAAATTTAAAAAAAAAAAAAAAAAAAAGATTATAGAATTTTACTTAAATACTCTAGTTTTCTTAGTTCTTTCCATACATTATAGTGCCTTTCTGTTTTATTCTGTAATGAAAGGTCAACTAAAAGAGAAGAGTTTATACTGAATAACATAGCTTTATAAATTCAATGTGATATAAATTTAATATGACATTAACATTAAAATTTAGAGTTGTCATTTTTATATGGATTATAATTCTAATATCTTGAATACTCTGTCTGTTACGCTATGACTTTATGTTCCCGTTAACAAATATTTTAAACAATGTTGATTTGTGTTAGGTGTTGGACATCCTGGAACTCTTAATGGAGTAGTAACACCATCTAAGGCTAGCCAATGTAAATTGTGGTCTGAAAAGCCTTTAAGCACTAGCCAGTATACCTTGTGGTGCTATTG
This sequence comes from Homo sapiens, assembly GCF_000001405.40. Classification (NCBI taxonomy): domain Eukaryota; kingdom Metazoa; phylum Chordata; class Mammalia; order Primates; family Hominidae; genus Homo; species Homo sapiens. The sequence goes on along the minus strand of NC_000004.12, from coordinate 44,504,855 downwards.
CATCAAGTTTTAGATGATAAACTAGTTCTAGAATATTGCTTCTTTCCTTTTTAAAAAAGATACATAATTCACATACCAAAAATTCACTCCTTTAGAATATACAATTCAGTAGGTTTTAATATATTCATATGTTGTACAACTAGCACCACTATCTAATCTGAGAACATATTCATCACCTGAAAAAGAACTATTTCTATGTCTGTAGATTTGTCTATTCTGTACATTTATTTATTTATTGAGACAGAGTTTCACTTTTGTAGCCCAGGCTGGAGTGCAATGGTGTGATATCAGCTCATCGCAACCTCCGCTTCCTGGGTTCAAGTGATTCTCCTGCCTCAGCCTCCCAAGTAGCTGGGACTACAGACATGCACCACCACTCATGGCTAATTTTGTATTTTTAGTAGAGATGGTTTCTCCATGTTGGTCAGGCTGGTCTTGAACTCCTGAACTCAGGTGACAAACCTACCTCAGCCTCCCAAAATCCTGGGATTACATGCATAAGCCACTGTGTCCAGCCCTATTCTGCACATTTCATATAAGTAAAATTATACAAAATATCTGGCTTCTTTCACTAAGCATAATGTTTTCAAGGTTTATTCATCATGTAGTATGTATCAGTACTTTATTTTTTATAACTGAATAATATCCCATTATATGTATCTACCACATTTTGTTCATTCATTCATCAGCTGATAGATGTTCTGTTTTTTTTTCATATTTGAAATATGAAATAATGCTGTTCTGTTTCAATAATTATTTCCAATACGAAATAATGCTCTTCTGTTCCAATAATGCTCTTCTGGACGTGTTCATTGTGCACCTGAAAAGAATGTGAATTCTACTGTTGTTGGTTGGAATATTCTATATGTGTCTATTAGGTCTAGTTGGTTTATAGTATAGTTCAAATCTATTTCTCTACTGATCTTTCTAGTTGTTCTAGCCATTACTGAAAGTGCAGTACTGAATTCTCCAACTGTTATTTTTAAATTTCTATTTCTTTTGTCTTTTGAGGCTATGCTGTTCGATGCATATACATTTATAATTGGTATAAATTCTTAGCGTATTGACTGTTTTATCTATATAAAATATCCTTTTTATCTCTACTAACAACTTTTTTCTTAAAGTCTATTTTGTCTTCTATTAGTCTAGGCACTCCAACTTTCTTTTGGTTATGATTTGTATAGACTATATTTTTCCATTATTTTATTTTAAATGTTTTTATGTCTTTTAATCTTTTTTTTAATTTTTTTTTTTTGACAGTCTCACTCTGTCATCCAGGCTGGAGTGCAGTGGTGCGATCTGGGCTCACTGCAAGCTCTGCCTCCCAGGTTCATGCAATTCTCCTGCCTCAGCCTCCCAAGCAGCTGGGACTACAGGGGCCCGCCACCACACCCAGCTAATTTTTTGTATATTTTTTAGTAGAGACGGGGTTTCACCGTGTTAGTCAGGCTGGTCTTGGTCTCCTGACCTCGTGATCCACTCGCCTTGGTCTTCCAAAGTGCTGGGATTACAGGCATGAGCCACCACACTCGGCCTGTGTCTTTTTAATTATAAGTATGTCTTTTATATGTAGCATATAGTTGGAGAACGTTGTGTTTTTTTATTCAGCCAATCACTGCATTTTATTAATAATTAGTTTAATCGATTTATATTTAATATAATAATTGATTAGTTAAGACTTGTGTCTGCAATTTTACCATTTGTCCTGCATGATTTTTGTTTCTCAATTCTTCCATTACTGCCCCTTTTTATATTAAATATTTTTCACTATACCACTACACCATTTTTAATTGCTTTGCCATTTCCTTTACTCTAGTTTTTGAATTTCCTTCGTAGTGATTGCCCTGGGAATAACCATTAATCTCTTTATTTATAAAAATCTAGTTCTTATTAACAGTAACTTAAGTAACATAAAAATTCTGCTTCTCTATAATTTTATTTTCCTGCCTCCTTTAATGTTATTATTTTCACAAATTATATGTTTATATGTTGTGTTCTCATCAACTTAGAGTTATAATGGTTGCCTTATACAATTGTCTTTTAAGTAATGTAAGACCAAAAAAAGACATTAAATAATATAGTACAAAAAAGTACAAAAAATAAGTTTACATTGTCTGTTATATTTACCTATGTACTTGCCTTTACCAGTACTCTTTGTTTCTTCATGTAAATATGAGTTACTTCCTAGTGTTCTTCATTTCAGCTTAGAGGATTTCTTTCAGCATTTCTTGTAAGGCAGGTCCTACATCAAAAAATTATCTCAATTTTTGTTTATCTGAAAATAGTTTCTTTTACATTTCTCAAAAAATGTTTTGGCAGAAACCCTCCAAGGCGGCCAAAAAGGAACAGCTCCAGTATACAGCTCCCAGCATGAGCGATGCAGAGGACGATTTCTGCATTTCCAACTGAGGTACTGGGTTCATCTCACTGGGGCTTGTTAGTCACCGAATGTGAGCTGAAGCAGGGCGGGGCATCGCCTCACCCAGGAAGCACAAGGGGTCGGGGAATTCCTTTTCCTAGCCAAGGGAAGCCGTGACAGATGGTACCTGGAAAATTGGGACACTCCCACCCTAATAATGCACTTTTCCAATGGTCTTAGCAAACGGTACACCAGAAGATTATATCCCATGCCTGGCTCAGAGAGTCCCAAGCCCACAGAGCCTCGCTCACTGCTAACACAGCAGTCTGAGATCAAACTGCAAGGTGGCAGCAAGGCTGGGGGAGAGGCATCCACCATTGCTGAGGTTTGAGTAGGTAAACAAAGAGGCCAGGAAGTTGGAACTGGGTGGAGCCCACCACAGCTCAAGGAGGCCTGCCTGCCTCTGTAGACTCCACATCTGGGGGGCAGGGCATAGCTGAACAAAACGCAGCAGAAACCTCTGCAAACTTAAACGTCCCTATCTGACACTTTGAAGAGAGTAGTGGTTCTCCAAGCATGGAGTTTGAGATCTGAGAACAGACAGATTGCCTCCTCAAGTGGGTCCCTGATCCCCAAGTAGCCTAACTGGGAGACACCTCCAAGTAGGGGCTGACCGACATTTCTCTCATACAGCTGGATGACCCTCTGAGACAAAGCTTCCAAAGGAAGGATCAGGCAGCAACATTTACCGTTCTGCAATAATTGCAGCTCTGCAGCCTCTGCTGGTGATACCCAGGCAAACAGGGTCTGGAGTGGACCTCCAGCAAACACCAACAGACCTGCAGCTGAGGGTCCTGACTGTTAGAAGGAAAACTAACAAACAGGACATCCACACCAAAACCCCAACTGTATGTTACCATCATCAAAGACCAAAGGTAGATAAAACCACAAAGATGGGGAGAAACCAGAGCAGAAAAGCTGAAAATTGTAAAAATCAGAGCACCTCTTCTCCTCCAAAGGAATGCAGCTCCTCACCAGCAAAGAAACAAAGCTGGAAGGAGAATGACTTTGATGAGTTGAGAGAAGAAGGCTTCCGACGATTGGTAATAATAAACTTATCTGAGCTAAAGGAGAATGTTCGAAACCATTGCAAAGAAGCTGAAAACCTTGAGAAAAGATTAGACAAATGGCTAACTAGAATAAACAGCAGAGAGAAGACCTTAAATGACTTGATGGAGCTGAAAACCATGGCATGAGAACTACGTGATGCATGCACAAGCTTCAGTAGCCAATTTGATCAAGTGGAAGAAAGGGTATCAGTGATTGAAGATTAAATTAATGAAATGAAGTGAGAAGAGAAGTTTAGAGAAAAAAGAGTAAAAAGAAATGAACAAAGCCTCCAAGAAATATGGGACTAAGTGAAAAGACCAAATTTATGTCAGATTGGTGTACCTGAAAGTGACAGGGAGAATGGAACCAAGTTGCAAAACACTCTTCAGGGTATTATCCAGGAGAACTTCCCCAACCTAGCAAGGCAGGCCAACATTCAAATTCAAGAAATACAGAGAATGCCACAAAGATACTCCTTGAGAAGAGCAACTACAAGACACGTAATTGTCAGATTCGCCAAAGTTGAAATGAAGGAAAAAATGTTAAGGGCAGCCAGAGAGAAAGGTCGGGTTACCCACAAAGGGAAGCACATCAGACTAACAGCAGATCTCTTGGCAGAAACTCTACAAGCCAGAAGAGAGTGGGGGCCAATATTCAACATTCTTAAAGAAAAGAATTTTCAACCCAGAATTTCATATCCAGCCAAACTAAGCTCATAAGTGAAGGAGAAATAAAATCCTTTACAGACAAGCAAATGCTGAGAGATTTTGTCACCACCAGGCCTGCCTTACAAGAGCTCTTGAAGGAAGCACTAAACATGGAAAGGAACAACCAGTAACAGCCACTGCAAAAACATGCCAAATTGTAAAGACCATTGAGGCTAGGAAGAAACTGCATCAACTAATGAGCAAAATAACCAGCTAACATCACAAGGACGGGATCACATTCACACATAACAATATTAACCTTAAATGTAAATAAGTGAAATGCTCCAATTAAAAGACACAGACTAGCAAATTGGATAAAGAGTCAAGACCCATCAGTGTGCTGTATTCGGGAGACCCATCTCATGTGCAGAGACACACATAGGCTCAAAATAAAGGAATGGAGGAAGATCTACCAAGCAAATGGAAAACAAAAAAAAGCAGGGGTTGCAATCCAAGTCTCTGATAAAACAGATTTTAAACAAACAAAGATCAAAAGAGACAACGAAGGCCATTACATAATGGTAAAGGGATCAATTCAACAAGAAGAGCTAACTATCCTAAATATATATGCACCCAATACAGGGCACCCAGATCCATAAAGCAAGTCCTTAGAGACCTACAAAGAGACTTACACTCCCACACAATAATAATGGGAGACTTTAGTACCCCACTGTCAACATTAGACAGATCAACGAGACAGAAAGTTAACAAGGATATCCAGGACTTGAACTCAGCTCTGCACCAAGCAGACCTAATAGACATCTATAGAACTCTCCACCCCAAATCAACAGAATATGCATTCTTCTCAGCATCACACTTATTCCAAAATTGACCACATAGTTGGAAGTAAAATACTCCTCAGCAAATGTAAAATAACAGAAATTATAACAAACTGTCTCTTAGACCACAGTGCAATCAAACTAGAACTCAGGATTAAGAAACTCACTCAAAACTGCTCAACTACATGGAAACTGAACAACCTGTTCCTAAATGACTACTGGATATATAATGAAATGAAGGCAGAAATAAAGATGTTCTTTGAAACCAATGAGAACAAAGACACAACATACCAGAATCTCTGGGACACATTTAAAGCAGTGCGTAGAGGTAAAATTTAAAGCACTAAATGCCACAAGAGAAAGCAGGAAAGATCTAAAATTTACACCCTAACATCACAATTAAAAGAAATAGAGAAGCAAGAGCAAACACATTCAAAAGCTAGCAGAAGGCAAGAAATAACTAAGATCAGAGCAGAACTGAAGGAGATAAAGACAGAAGAAACCCTTCAAAAAATCAATGATTCCAAGATCTGGTTTTTTGAAAAGATCAACAAAATTGATAGATCGCTAGCAAGACTAATAAAGAAGAAAGGAGACAAGAATCAAATAGATGCAATACAAAATAAATAAAAAATGATAAAGGGGATATCACCACTGATCCCACAGAAATACAAACTACCATCAGGGAATACTATAAACACCTTGAGGCAAATAAACTAGAAATCTAGAAGAAATGGATGAATTCCTGGACACATACACCCTCCCAAGACTAAACCAGGAAGAAGTTGAATCCCTGAATAGACCAATAAGAGGCTCTGAAATTGAGATGATAATTAAGAGCCTATCAACCAAAAAAAATCCAGGACCAGACAGATTCACAGCTGAATTCTACCACAGGTACAAACAGGAGCTGTTACCATTCCTTCTGAAGCTATCCCAATCAATAGAAAGAGGGAATCCTCCCTAACTCTTTCTATGAGGCCAGCATCATCCTGATACCAAAGCCTGGCAGAGACACAACAAAAAAAGAGAATTTTAGACCAATAACCCTGATGAACATCGATGCAAAAATCTTCAATAAAATACTGGCAAACCAAATCCAACAGCACATCAAAAAGCTTATCCACCACAATCAAGTGGGCTTCATCCCTGGGATGCAAGGCTGGTTCAACATATGCAAATCAATAAACGCAATCCAGCATATAAACAGAACCAAAGACAAAAACCACTTGATTATCTCAATAGATGCAGAAAAGACCTTTGACAAAATTCAACAGCCTTTCATGCAAAAACTCTCAATAAATTAGGTATTGATGGGACACATCTCAAAATAATAGGAGCTGTTTATGACAAACCCACAGCCAATATCATACTGAATGGGCAAAAACTGGAAGCATTTCCTTTGAAAACTGGCACAAGACAGGAATGCCCTCTCTCACCACTCCTATTCAACATAGTGTTGGAAGTTCTGGCCAGGGCAATCAGGCAAGAGAAAGAAATAAAGGGTATTCAATTAGGAAAAGAGGAAGTCAAATTGTCCCTGTTTGCAGATGACATGGTTGTAGATTTAGAAAACCCCATTGTCTCAGCCCAAAATCTCCTTAAGCTGATAAGCAACTTCAGCAAAGTCTCTGGATAGAAAATCAATGTACAAAAATCACAAGCATTCCTATACACCAGTAAGAGACAAACAGCCAAATCGTGAGTGAACTCCCATTCACAATTGCTTCAAAGAGAATAAAATACCTAGGAATCCAAATTACAAGGAATTTGAAGGACGTCTTTAAGGAGAACTACAAACCACTGCTCAACGAAATGAAAGAGGACACAAACAAATAGAAGAACATTCCATGCTCATGGATAGGAAGAATCAATATCGTGAAAATGGCCATACTGCCCAAGGTAATTTATAGATTCAATGCCATCCCCATCAAGCTACCAATGACTTTCTTCACAGAATTGGAAAAAACTATTTTAAAGTTCACAAGGAACCAAAAAAGAGCCCGCATAGCCAAGACAATCCTAAGCCAAAAGAACAAAGCTGGAGGCATCACACTACCTGACTTCAAACTATGTAACAAGGCTACAGTAATCAAAAGAGCATGGTACTGGTCCAAAAGAGACCAATGGACCAGAACCAATATAGACCAATGGAGCAGAACAGAGCCCTCAGAAATAATACCACACACCTACAACTATCTGATCTTTGACAAACCTGACAAAAACAAGAAATGGGGAAAGGATTCCCTATTTAATAAATGGTGCTGGGAAAACTGTCTAGCCATATGTAGAAAGCTGAAACTGGATCCCTTCCTTACACCTTACACAAAAATTAATTCAAGATGGATTAAAGACTTAAATATTAGACCTAATACCATAAAAGCCCTAGAAGAAAACCTAGGCAATACTATTCAGGACATAGGCATGGGCAAGGACTTCATGACTAAAACACCAAAAGCAACAGCAACAAAAGCCAAATTTGACAAACAGGATCTAATTAAACTAAAGGGCTTCTGCACAGCAAAAAAAACTACCATCAGAGTGACCAGGCAATCTACAGAATGGGAGAAAATTTTTACAATCTACCCATCTGACAAAGGGCTAATATCTAGAATCTTCAAAGAAGTTAAACAAATTTACAAGAAAAAAAATCAAACAACCCCATCAAAAAGTGGGTGAAGGATATGAACAGACACTTCTCAAAAGAAGATATTTTTGCAGCCAACAGACACATGAAAAAATGTTCATCATCACTGGCCATCAGATAAATGCAAATCAAAACCACAGTGAGATACCATCTCACACCAGTTAGAATGGTGACCATTAAAAAGTCAGGAAACAACAGGTGCTGGAGAGGATGTGGAGAAATAGGAAGACTTTTACACTGTTGGTGGGACTGTAAACTAGTTCAACCATTGTGGAAGACAGTGTGGTGATTCCTCAAGGATCTAGAACTAGAAATACCATTTGACCCAGCCATCCCATTACTTCGTATATACCCAAAGGATTATAAATCTTGCTGCTATAAAGACACGTGCACATGTATGTTTATTGTGGCACTATTCATAATAGCAAAGACTTGGAACCAACCCGAATGTCCACCAATGATAGACTGAATTAAGAAAATGTGGCACATATACACCACAGAGTACTATGCAGCCATAATAAAGGATGAATTCATGTCCTTTGTGCAGACATGGATGAAGCTAGAAACCATCATTCCAAGCAAACTATCACAAGGACAGAAAACCAAGCACCACATGTTCTCACTCATAGGTGGGAATTGAACAATGAGAACACTTGGACACAGGATGGGGAACATCACGCACTGGGGCCTGTCATGGGATGGGGGGAGGGATAGCATTAGGAGATATACCTAACATAAATGACGAGTTAATTGGCCCAGCACACCAACATAGCACATGTATACATATGTAAGAAACCTGCGTATTGTGCACATGTACCCTAGAACTTAAAGTATTATAATAATAATAATAACAACAATGTTTTGACTGATAGTTATTTGTCTTTTCTTTCAGCACTTTGAATACGTCATGCTACATCCTCCATGGTGTCTGGTAAGAAATCAGCTGTTCACGTTATTTAGGATGCTTTGTATACGATGAGTAACTTTTCTTACTACTTTCAATATTCTCTCATTGTCTCTGACATTCAAGTTTGCTTATAATGTATCTAGGAGAGGCTGTCTTTGAGTTTACCACACTCAGAGTTCATTGAGCTTTTTAGATGTGTAGACTAATTCTTAAAAATCAGATTTGGAATGTTTTTAGCTATTATTTAAATATTATTTCTGAGCTTTTCTTTCTTTACTTTCATTTTGGGACTCCTATTATTTGTATTTTTCCAGACTTAATGGTGTTCTACAAGTCTCTGATGCTCTGTTCATTTTTCTTCATTATTTATCTTTCTGTGTCACAGAGTGGATAATATCAAGTGACCTATCTTCAAGTTTGTTGATTATTTTTTCTGCCTGATAAAATCTGCTGTTAATCCTCTATTAAGTTTTTATTTAAGTTGTACTTTTCAAGTATAGAATTTCTATTTGGTTCTCCTTTATAGTTTCTATCTATTAATATTCTTTACTTAGTTTTCATAATTTTCTTTAGTTTTCTAGACATATTTGCCTTTAGGTCTTTGATATTTAAAGATATATTTTAAATAGCTAATTTAAGCTTTTGTCTAGTGTGATGGTTAATACTGAGTGTCAACTTGATTGGATGGAAGAATGCAAAATATTTTTCCTGGGTGTGTCAGTGAGGGTGCTGCCAAAGTAGATTAACATTTGAGTCAGTGAACTGAGGAAGGCAGACCCACCCTCAATCTGGGTAGGCACAATCTAATCAGCTGCTAGCACAGCCAAAATAGAAGCAGTCAGAAGAATGTCAAAAGGCTAGACTGCCTTAGCCTCTGAGCCTACATCTTTCTCTCATGCTGGATGCTTCCTGCCCTGGAACATTGGACTCCATGTTCTTCAGGTTTGGAACACAGACTTGACTTCCTTGCTCCTCAGCTTGCAGATGACCTATTGTGGGAGGTTCTGACTGTGTGAGTCAATACTCCTTAATGAACTCCCCTTTTTATGAACATGTATCATATTAATTTTGTCCCTCTAGAGAACTCTGACTAATACATCTAGTAATTTCATGTTCTGGGATTCATCAGGGACAATTTCTAGTCATTGATTTTTTTCTGTGTATGATCCATACTGTTAGGTTCCAGCCCAAGCTGAGGTCCAAGGGGAGTTGGTGGGCAAGTGGCAGGCAGCTGAAAGAACACTCCAGAGACCACAGATAGGTAGGACATGACTTTATTCAGCAACTCCCTCACACTGTCAGTGCTGCATTTATGCACCTCACAGACAATAGTGGCTCAGGGCCAGGTGATGTGCCCTCCCATATTATGGCTACGTAGTTGTGATTATATAATGCACAGGATTGTGTGCCTGTCCTCCAATCCCACTGTGTCATGCTGTGCCAGATGTGTACCTTGGCCTTAACCTGACTGCAGTGCAGCCATTGTCCTTACACATACTTTCTTGTTACTTTGCATGTTTTATAATTTTTTGTTGAAAACTAGACATTTACAATAACATAACTCAGATAATATGATTTTTCACATACCCTAGGATTTGTTGTTGTTGTTGCTGCTTGTTTTGGTGGTTGTTTAGTGACTTTTCTAAACTAATTCTGTTAATTCAATATCTTTATTATATGTTGCCACAAGTCTCTACTCAGTTAGCTTATTGGAGGCAGCTAATGAATGAACAGAGATTTCTTTAAACATCTGGAAGCAATGAATCTATAATTTCTCCCTCTAGGGGCTCTGTGTGTTTGTTGGAGCCCACCTTCTACACTTAAGTCAGTCAATTTACTACTCTTCTTTTGCCATCATTTTCTGCTTACAGAACCTCAAGATCAATCAGAGGTGAGAACTTAGAAACTTCTCAGGTTTTTTCTGAGTATGCATACACTACACATTGCACGTGGGTCTTCTATATTCCCAAAAATATTTTAGAGCTTTTCAAAACCCCTAGGGACATCTCATTTCACAACTTTTCATCTTAAACATTTTGGGTTAGTCTATTGTTTGTGTTAACTGTTATTTGGTGCTTCAGACTGCAGTGATCCTAAAACACTTGACAAATAACTCCTGGCGAGAAGCTTAGTCCAGGACAAGTTGAACAGAGGTCAAACTTTTGAGTGCAGTCTTCCAGGGAACCACTAGATGGGGCAAATAATGACTTTTCTTTTTTTTTTTTTTTTCTTTCTCTCTCTCTTTTTTTTTTTTTTTTTTTTTTTTTTTTCAAGAAAGAGTCTCCCTCTGTCGCCCAGGCTGGAGTGCAGTGGCAGGATCTTGTTTGACTGCAACCTCCGCCTCCCGGGCTCAAGTGATTCTCCTGGGATTACAAGCGCACACCACCATGCCTGGCTAATTTTTGTATTTTTAGTAGAGACGGGGTATTGCCATGTTGGCCAGGCTGGTCTCAAACTCCTGCCCTCAGGTGATCCACCCGCCTCAGCCTCCTAAAGTGCTGGGATTACAGGTGTGAGCCACCACGCTCTACCAAATAATAACTTTTCTTGGTGAATGAGACCTTGAAGTGTTCCATCCCTGTTCAGCTCCCTCTAACACTGGGGATGCTGGCTGTCACTTTTAAGGCTAATGTGATGCTAGGGAATGGGAGGTAGGGATAGGGATACAGTAAGAGAAAAATGCCACATGCTCATTCTTCTTACTAAGATTCGGCTGCTTTTTTTTCACTAGATGTTCCTCATTATTTGGATTACTGCAAGACTTTGGTTAATTTTCAGAGTCCTGGAAAAGTTTATTGTTATAAATTTTTGCCAGTTATTTTATTAGTTGTATAAGGAGGCAATCTTTCAAATATCCTTACTCCACCATTTTTGCTCTTGTCACTTCTTAAAACTTTGGTTCTTAAACTTTTCATTGATGGTGGTGCTGTTATTATTCTTGAATCTTTTTGTAGATAGCATAAAAACTATGGATGAAATTATGAGAAAAATCCATGTATGCACTCACACTATTTAGGATAACATTCTACTGGGTTCGTTAACACACTGAAGGCCTACCACAGATCCTACCATAAAATTCTGAAGTTAACAACGCCTGTTTTAGAAATGCCTCTTCTTGAACAGGCATCAAAACCTACTCTAAAGAATCTAAGAATAAATCACACCAGAATGACAGCCTAATAGAGAATTTAGTAGGTAAATTTAATAGGTAATTCATTCTTATTGTCCATTAGTTACCATACCTGGAAAATAATACAGATTGAGTATCCCTTATCTGAAATACTTGGGACCAGAAGTGTATTGAACTTTAAATTTTGGGAGATTTTGGAATACTTGCATAAACAAAATGAGATATTAGTATCTTGGAAATGGACCTAAGTCTAAATCAAATTAATTTATGTTTCATGTATACCACATACGCATGCCCAAAAGGCAATTTTATACAGAATTTTTAGTAATATACATGACCTGTCACATGAGGTCAGGCATAGAATTTTCTCCTTGTGCTGTCGTGTCAATGCTCAGAAAGTTTCAGGTTTTGGAACATTTCAGATTTCAGATTTTTGGCGCAGGGATATTCAACCTACACCTCATAAGATTGTTGTGATGATTACAAGGAGAAATGAATATAATATAGCTTATAATAATACTGGATACTTAGGTATATCAAAAACTCTAATCATTAACAACAGTATTGCCTTATCTTTCTTATCCTAATGTTACTTATTCTTTGGTTCCCTGGGGAAGTTCTTTTGAAGAGCACCACATTTGTGTTCACTCTTTTAGGATCTTTTGGAAATACATGCTTTAATAACATACAATATTTTCTGAAGGAGGTATTTGAACCCTAATTACCACTATAAGCAGGAAGAATTATTTAACCATAGGATATGCCTTCAGTTGGAAAGATACTAAACCTAACTATAAATACAGAAAAGCAGAACAGGGAAGAATTATGGATAAAATTATGGACAATGCTATACAACTGGAGGAAAGATTGTACAAGTCTGATTTTTATAAGGTTTTTCTTTAAATTGCCTCATTTTCTCAGATAATTTTTAGGTAAAACCCAGACCCAATTTTATTATGTAGAGCACATTTCCATTAAAAAAATCTTGTGAGAATTTAGTGATATTATTAAATCTTTTTTTCACTACAAAGTGAATAATTAGAGAAGTAGAAAGGAAACGATATAAATTAAAAATTAAAGCTCCAAATTCAATTTATGCTTTCGAAAACTAAGGATTCCCAAGTTCATTAATCACAATTGCTGCCAGGGCTTAGTTATAGCATAGGTGAATCTCCATGGATGACCTAGATTGGTATAAATCATAAAAATATAAATCCACAGTCAATTCTAAGTAATGTCTGTGAAATACCTACCCTGTTTACTATGATGCACTGATATTGCCCTCAGAGATCAAAATATTGAACCCTTTATAATCTGGGAAATGCTTAAAATGTACATCTCTCTTATTAATACTGTATGTGTTTTAGAATTTTAATAAAGCTATTTAAAGGAGACATGGGTTGGGGGAATGAAATACTTGGCAATTCTTCCTCATTTAGGACCTCTCTGCAGTCTGTGGGGTCCAGGATTGGTCTATTGGGAGGTCTCTGATACAAAATGAGTAGATACTGGGCAGCTAAGATGTTGGATAAAATCATGTAAACCGAGGATTACTTTATTTTCCAAGATTGATTTTTCATAAAAGGACAACCATGAACAACATACCACAGTGACAATGAAATTTTATGTCATAACTTTAAAAAATGTTAGAGAATGCCACAGAGACTTTACATGTAAATGTATTTCTCTCTTTATTATGAGAAACTTTATCATATTCAAATTTCTAGATTTTGTTTTCATATACTGTGTTTGCTAATTTTTTTTTTTTGAGACAGGATCTCACTATGTTGCCCAGGATGGAATGCAGTGGCATAATCACAGCTCACTGCAGCCTCGACCCCTCCGGCTCAGGTGATCCTCCTACCTCAGCCTCTTGAGTAGTTGGGACTACAGGTGTGCACCACCACACCTGGCTAATTTATTTTGTGTTTTTTGTAGAGATAGGGTTTCACCATGTTGCTCAGGCTGGTCTCAGACTCCCAGGCTCAAGCGATCTGCTTGCCTTGGCCTCCCAAAGTGTTAGGATTACAGGCATGAGCCACCATGCCCAGCCTGTATTTGCTGATCTTTTATTGTTTGTTCTTTAATGAAGAACACTAAGATAGAAGGGCAAAAAATACTATAATTCACTTTTTTTTTGGTTTTGATTACTCCATACTTTAGATTGTAAGTCTGCATATAGAAAAACCAAGACATGATATTAAAACCCAAGGCAGCTTCAATTAAACATATAGACTTTAGAAAATTATAAAATATTCCTGATTTCTTCTGTAATACATGCTTCAAATAATTTCACCTTTATTTCCCTCTTTAAGTTAAACCCATATTGATGTTGAGTAGTTCACAGACAGATTTCGAAAGCTTGTTTAGGTGGTTTTATAATTAGACCTTCCCAGGTAGCAGGAAATTTTACTTTGCCGTTCCATTTAGCAGCTGTGCTCCAGCTGGGTCTGTTTGTTATAAATGAAATGGCTCTTTAAATTTATGTTCTCTGCATGATCAGGCTTGGCATTAGATGCTGCTTCTGGATGATGGCAAAGATAAACACCAAAGGGTGTCAGATTGAAAATCTGGATCATGGGGTGTAAGACGGCATTATCAACCATAATTGTATATTTCTATTAAAGCCAAGTAATGTGACCAATGGATCTTTGAAAAGTGAATCATTTCCAGTCATTGAATGTTTCTGTAATGTGATTGAGATAAATCCCCATGATATGTCTATGGAGTATAATGAACTGTGAAATATTCAAGAATAGAGGTTGTGGCAATATAGGACACTTGACCCAAATAATGATATTCCTTTGCTTCAGGCCATAGGCTTATGAAAGAAGTAAATCATTTCTCCAAATAGTACTCATCAAACATCACTGGATGGAATGATGTCTTCCTATTTCTTACATGAAGACTTGTTTTGCCTCACAGTTCATCTTTTCTTTGTCTTCCTTATTGAAATCAATGGGTTGTGCAGAGTTTCCACTGGAAAAGTCTATGCAATGTGTATGCCAGTTTACTGACAGCCCACAAAGTTCTATGTATATAAAAAACCGAATTAAAGCTGGAAGTTGCTTTTGTTTTTTCTAAGCAGCATCTTTAATTAATATCTATGGAAGACAATAAGGAGAGTGAGGCCACAAAAAAATGACAAAATATCAGTATTTACTTTGAATTTCCTAAAAGTTATTTAAATTATTTTAAAATTATTTTCAAAAGATTCATCAGTGAAAAAATCAACTGTATATAAGTTTTTCTTTGGAATACAATTTTAAAGTGACTTTTCTCTACCTTCTTGGAGAAGAGATGATTAACTTGGGTCCTAAGAACCTCTGGTAAAATTTTGAGTATTGAGTATATCTAAGTGAAATAAAGTAAGGCATTATTCAAGCACTGTCTTAATAAAATGACTGGGTGCAGAGGCTCATACCTGTAATCCCAGCACATTGGGAGGTTGAGGTGGGAGGATTGCTTGAGGCCAGGAGTTCGAGACCAGCCTAGGTGATGCAAGGAGACTCTGTCTATACAGAAAGTAAAATTAAGCATTAGCCAGGTGCGGTGGTGCACACCGGTAGTTCTAGCTACCAAGGAATCTGAAGCAGGAGGATTAGGCGAGCTTGGGAGATGGAGGCTGCCATGAGCTACAGTTATGCCACCACACTGCAGCCTAGGTGAGAGAGTGAGACCCTATCTCTATCAAAAAGTAATAAGTTAAGCAGGTACTGTTTTTAAGCAGGAATTCTTGGGTTAATTACTAATAATGTAGTTTTTCTCTTTTTTCTTTTGATATTACATAAATTGTACAGTTTGAAGGTTGTTTGAAAATGTCTTATTAGGATTTTCAGCAAAAGCTAGGGTTTATCAAAAACAGAAACAATTTAAAGCATATAAAAAAGAGATTAAATTTTAGGTCATATGACTATGTTTCTGGGCATTTACTTTTCGATATTGAGATCAGATCCTTAGAGACATGAGCTCATTTTTCCTGGCTTAATCTAGGCAAATAAAATTAGTACTAAGTGTTCAATGTTCTCTTCCATTTGCATTAATTGAAATTCTAGCACAAGGCCCCATTAAACTTAGCACATTCATACTTTAGTTGAGACCCTCAAAATGACATTATTGATTTTTAATACTTCACCAAAATCATTTTTATGTTAGCATATAATACTCTTTATAAATGTCACTAAAATTTGCCCCACTTATGTACAGGAAATAAGAGGGAACTAAATTATTTAGTTAAATGTTTTCCCCCTCTTCCAGCATTTTGAGAAGTGTTTTAAAAATTCCACTTATGCTATAGTTAATTCTTTTTGCTTTATTAGTCTTCCTTGCATTAGTAACTTATATTTTTTGATCATTTAACATGTATCAGCTGAATACAGGCTATATCTCATTTAACTCTCATCACAAATCTAAGAGAGTACAGTTATTATTACTTTTATTTCATAGATGATGAAACTGAGTGTGAAAGAGAACAAGTCACTTACTTGCCCAAGACTGTACAGATTGTGAGTGGTGAAGCCAATCTGTGTCATTACAGACCACAAGCCCTTAACTAAAACATTATACAGTCACTCCTAATTATTCCTGGGTTCCATATTCTTGATTTCACCTACTTGCTAAAATGTATTTTCAATCCTCAAATCAATATTTACTGCACTTCTGTGGTTGTTCACAGACATGTACGGAGTGGCAAAAAATTTGAGTTCCCCAATGTGCATGTTCCTAGCATGCTCCCAGTCCCCCAATTTGCATGTTCCTTGGTTGAACAAGGTAATGCTCTTTCTTGTTTTAGATCTTATACTATAAGCAGGTGTCCTTCTCACGATCTATTTAGTACCGTGTTTTGTTTGTTTTTGAACTTTTGTGCCGTTCTTTTGGTGATTTCACTACTTAAAATGGCCACCAGCCATAAGTACCGAAGTGCTGTGCAGTGTTCCTAAGAACAAGAAGGTTGTGATATGGTTTAGAGAGAAAATAACTGCATTATTTAGGCAAGAATTACAGGGCTGTTGGCCATGAGCTCAATGTTAATGAATTAATAATAAGTATGAAATACAGTGTCTTTAAATTGAAACACACATAAAACAATTTGATCAGTTGGCAAAAATGTGACCAGAACCTCACAGGAACCTAATCCTGTATTTCTTCTAGGAACAATGGGTCAATATTTGCTGATTCATTGTTCTTAGTGACTTTATAGAACAAAACTACCATAGTAATGAAATCAACTGTATTGCCCTTCAATAACAATCATCTTTTATTGAAGACTTAGTATCTACATCTATTTCATTTCCTTTTCCTCAAAGTCACGTATTTTGATCTTCATTTTACAGATAAGGGATTGAGAGGTATGCTTGTCAGCCAGCTACTGGATGACTGTTTGACATTTGAATCAGCTTGTCTCCAAAGCTGGTGCTCTTTACTACTAAGATACATAGTGTCAGGCTCCATCCCATGCTAGGGTCCAAAAGGAGTTGGTGAATGGGCGGTGGGCAGCTGAAAGAACAGTCGAGGGACTGTAGGCAGTTGGGACATGGCTTTATTCTCCCCTCTCTCCCCACAGCATTAGCAGTGTATTTATACATCTTACAGATGATAGTGGCTCAGAGCCAGGTAGGAGCTCACATAAAGTAGTTACATAAATGGGATTATATAATGTACAGGGTTGTGTGCCTGCATTCCAAACATGCTGTGTCATGCTATACCGGATATTTGCCTTGGCCTACTTCTATCTGTAGCACAGCCATTTTCCTTACACTCCACTCCCTAGGCCAAGGGAGTCCAGCATAGGCCAACACCCAGGGATGCCCACCATGCCTGTAGGTGGTTGTCAGTAAGGTTCTCAACTGCTTTAATCTCCTGTGACAGCCCCTGCAAAGCTGCCATTATGTTCTGTTGATTGTCAGGGATAAAGATACAACATTGTATTCCTAAAAGGGCACAGGTGCCACCTTGGGCAGCAATTACTATGACTAAGGCCATCCAGTTGTCCAGTGTCCCCCCAAGCTGGCACCTCAGCCAGTTCCCTAATCAAACACAAAAGATTCTATGCCCCCATCCGCCTTCAAGTAGTCTTTTAGCTGGAGTGTCCAGGCAGGACTGGGTCAAGCAACATTGTCCTTCTCCCTTTCAGGCATTTTCCGGAATTGCTGCTCCAGGGACAATTGCCTCCATAAAGTTAATAGTACTTCACTGGGTTGCCTACCAATTTTCTCCTGGTCGACCCCAGCCAAAATCAAATCAATCCACATCTGTGTGCATGTCACTTGTTGGGGCCCCTTTTTGTCACATGAGGGAGCCCCCTGAGAAAGGGGTCCTTCCCCTTGTTCATGGTGTGGAGCCCTCAGTCCCAGCAATGGCCTTCTGCTTCCCTGAGGGCCACCATGGCAGTAGTTACTTCGTGTATGTGGTGCTCCACATACAGGTGAGGACAGCAACCAGGAAGCCAAAGGCACTTGGGGGCACAGAACCCAACACGAGGTCCCTCATGTGGGAAGTAAAGCATTCATCATCTGGCCTTCGGGTATCCAGATCGAACATAGCCTGCCACATACCCATCTCCTGGATTACTTGCACCAAATCTGTATATGACTGCCATTTGCTCATGGTTTCTGATATTTCACTGGCATCGTTCCTGTCCATATGGCCACCATCAGCCATTCAAGCAGGGTGTGGTCACCTTGCCCTTGTGCTAACCACCTGCTCACCTACAACTGCTGAAGGAGGGAGGGGTGAGTTGTGATGGAAGCCAACTTTTCCATTTCAGAGGCAGAGCAAGAGATACTAATCACTCCTTCATCCCAAAGGAGAAGCATCCAGGCAGGTAGGGGTTCCCCTGGACACTGTTGACACTGTTTACCTAATACCCACAACTTGATTGGCCTATAGGCACTATATGAAGTGTACTCCATTATGGTGGGGGTTCCCTGAGCCCACTCTTGGGGCCCCAGTGGCTGTTTGTGTTCTGCTTTCTGATGGACTACTGGGTGAGCTCGCAATGGGGGTTCTTCCTTCTGAGTATCAGACGAAGTGGGGGGGTCTCTGACTGGGATGCTGGGCTCAGGCCCCCACTAACAGCAGTCCCCAGGTCTCATTCCAAGCTGTGTATCCAGGCCTCCAAGTGCTCTGCTTGCCCCAGGAGATTCCTTACCTGTGCTGCATCCCGTAGGGACTGAGCAAGCACTTCCTGTAGCCCTGTCAAAAACACCCTTCCAACTCTGCCAGCAAAGGCACTCTCCTTCTTGGTACTGTGTGCTTCCAAGTACTTCAGCACCTTCTCCATGGTCTCTGGGGACCTGTCCACCACCGCCCATGTTCCCACTGGGGCCCATCCTAGCAGCACAGCTGCCACTGTGTAGCATAACCCATGAGGGGTTCCACATGGCTGACTTGGGATCATTGGGGGCCAAGGGTTCACTCACCTCAGGATACTGCTGACTACACCAATTATCGGGCTCCAACCCGAGCTGGGGTCCAAGGGGAGTTGGTGAACAGGTGGCAGGCAGCTGGAAGAACACTCAAGGGACTGTAAGCAGTTGGGACATGGCTTTATTTCCTCCTCTCTCCATAGCATCAGCAGCGTACTTATACATCTGACAGATAATAGTGGCTCAGAGCTAGGTATGAGCTCACATAAACATAAATATGATTATATAATGCATGGAGTTGTGTGCCTGCACTCCAAACCTGCTGTGTCATGCTGTACCGGATGTTTGCCTCAGCCTACTTCTATCTGCAGTGCAGCCATTTTCTTTACACATAGTCTGGTCATGAAAACTTCCTTTTGCTAAAACTTCCAAATAAATGTATTAATGTTTACATCAGAAATTGTCATTGTTTACAGATGCCTTGTGTGGCATAAATTATACAAAACAAATCCCAGAAGAACAAAACAATAAGACTCTTAAGTAATAGCTGTTCAGCAATTTTAGAGTAGCCCTATGCATTTTCAGAATATGTGGCTATCTTTGTGAAATAATTTTGTAGTGACTAAAGGTCCTGTTGCCCTCCTGATTTTCATTTCACAATCTTTTCTATTTAAAAACTCCATAATATGAAAATTATTTCATGGGGTAAAAACCTTTCCACTTCTCTTCTAATACAAGCCATTTGGTTGATACAACATAAAATGAAGTTTAATTGGTAGTCCTCCTTCTAATCTGGGGAAATAAGAATTTAAGTTATGCAGGCAGCTTAGAGCATTGCAAGGCCAACCTGTGTTGGGTGTTACAAAGCAGGGGTGGCTATCGCTGTGATGACCTGGGGGCTGGAGTGCAGCAGCAAGATGGGCTAGAGGTGGAAGAACTAAAGATCTGTTTCATCTAAGACCTGCTTTTACCTTGGCTTGACCTTAATTAATTGGAGTGCTAACCACCTTCTGCCCTGCCCTGATCACTTATTCATCCAAGATAGCTTCTATATCTCTGTTTCTTAAGTTATGATGTTTATACTACTTGTATCTAAGATACCTGATATGAAGAGTGCATATCTGTGGCCCTACACATACTTACTATCTCTGTGGATGGGCCCTGAAATCATAGGTGAGAAACTTTTAAGGGAGCAAGGAACAGGGTAGCATAGAGGTAGAGAAAGAATGGCAGTCAACTGAAAGACAACATGTATGAATACAAGCCTAGGATCTGCCACCTACTATTTATATCACCTGAGGCAAGCCACTTAATTCCTCACTGAACCACAGTTACTCCATCTCTGAAATGGGAGTAATAACAGAAACAACATCAACAAACAGGGCTTAAATAAGATAAGGTATATAAAAATGCTTTGTAAGAATAAAGTTTTTGACGAAAATAATGCTATTACTCTAAGAAAGTAAAGTGATAAACATTAATGTTCTCATTATGAGTTAGAGGACTCTGTATTCAAGTTTGTAATATATTGGGGAGAAATAGATGTCTGTCTGCAACATGATGGAGAATGGAATACGTTGAAGACTTTCCCTTCCCCCAGGTATTTTCTCTCTCATGTGCTATGGATGCTGAAATCATATCATTATGGAGAATTGTTATTCTAACCTCCTTTAGCATATAAATTCTACTTGGTAGAAGGAATGCTTTGAATATTAATTATTAATAAGATTTTATGCCAGGGCCAAGAAAGGATACCTTAGGGGGTGAAAGTGGTATTCAAAGTGACATATAAAAAGACAAATTTTGCCTACTTCCAATCTGTTTCTTTGTTAATACAGTGATCAGGACACAATCAGCACCCCCCCACACACACACACATTCAACACTCACACTGTAGTGGAAATTGGAAAGATATGACTAGTGAAGCATTAGAGAGAAAATGAACAAATCGGCTTTGTGATTAAGCCAGAGGAGGAAAAGGAAGTGTTATAGCCAATGCCAAGGTATGCCAAAATTCTTTTTATAACTTTGGATGTCATGATATTAGAAATGGTAAGGGTAAAATTACAGAAAAGCAATGTTATGTTGCTCTTATGCACTTCATTTCTTGTCAGCTAATTGTGAACTACGATGGCTGTGAAACTTACAGTGGTGAGAGTCTGGCTTTAAAATACTTCGTATTTATTTCAGTCTCTTTTTCTCTTCTGTTTGCAATGTTCTTATCCACAGTCATCCTCTATCACATGTGGTCCAGAAACATTTCCCTAGACCCGGTCAATAGCAACTGATCATTAGTATCCTGCTTAGCCACCATTTCTCAGTGATGTTTTTGGCAACTCTATCAGAGAGTTCCAACAATTCCCCAGTTTATATTGTTAAAACACTTTGTTCATGCATCTATAAAAGCACTTAGCAAATTGTATTGTTTTTTTCTTTTCTCATACATATCCTTTTCTATCTCTAGAGTATCAACTCCTAGGGGTCTTTAAATCATCTCTGTTTTTGCGTTTTCAGCATTTAACAGAAAGGTCAACGTCAACACATGTTAGCTTTAAAAATATAATTGTTGAGGGAATTAATATTATGACTATTACAATTTTTAGTTTATCAATTTCTTTATACCTACCAAACTTTTCTAATTCACAAAGCACCACGCTCTTTCATTTTTTCCTTCCAGCTTATCAGCAATTTGTAACTTTTGTTACATATAGGCTAGTTATTCTATCTTTCATTGTAGGCTATAGTTATGATTGCAGCATACTTTTTTGTTTCAGATGTATAATACTCTAATTCTGCCTAGACTTTTTTTCACATCCTGCCATTATTTAGCTTACATTCCTTTCTTTTAATGTCAATAATTTTCAATACCACTTTTTCTGGAATCTTCAATCCTCTAATAAAATTACTTTCTAGAATGCCAAATAAGTCTTTCATCTAAAAAGAAATTTAGCTGCCTTGATCAAATCAATGCCATTTGATCCTCACACAGTATTTTGTTCATCATGACAGAAAAATGTTCTCATATTTTTCAAAAATGATATGGAAACATAAAAAATATTTCTGTTTTGAAAATTTAACAAATAAACTGTATTATAGAAAATTAGCAAATGAATGTTTCCCAATTATAAGAAATTTTTGTAGAATTATGTCTAATATTAGCTCTTTATTCTTTCATTGAAAATATATTTATTAGCTATCTGGTATGTGTAATATATAGATTACACATAGAATTTTTCAGTAGATGGAAGGCTTTTTAAAAACAAAAATAATATCCCCATTCAAATGGATCCCTCTTAAAGAATTAGAAATTTAAATGTAACCCAGTTTGGTGGTACTATTAATTTCTGTAATTGTGTCTATATTACATTGAACATTAATTCAGAAAATTTCTCTAAGCAAGGGTATACAATTTCAATTCAAACTCAGCATTTTTCGATTAGCTTGATTTCCCCATTTTATCTTCATAGAACTTCTATTTACTGGGCCCCTAGGAGAAGCAAATTTTTCCTTCCTATACGAAATCTTGAAATTTATATTATTCCAGATTCACACTCAAAGATTACTAGTCCCTAGAATCCTTTTTTGTTGTTTGCTGGTTTTTTGTTTCAGAGACACTACCATAGTGGGTTGTTTTATCACAGTCTTGGCTCAGAAGAAATCTCAATTAGTTTTCTCATACATATACATGTTAGAAGTTTTTGTCTAAATACCACCACTTTCATTTGTTGCTTATCAGGATTGTGAGAGATTGTAAAGAGAGCAGCGTGGGGTGTTGCGGGGATGAGGGGGGGTGGAGAGGTTCTTCATGCAGGACAAGCCCGGAGCAAAATCCTAGGGCACAAGCTGGCATCATTCTTGCCAGCAGCCAATGGGCCATATGATGGTGGCTCTTGCATGAATGTCTTCCCAGTGCACCAATGGGAGAGTCAGTTATTGCCAACACTCGGTCATTTTCGGGTTTCCAGTCTTAGAACTAGGTCAACAGTCTCCAAAGAAAGAACAAGTAAAAACTGAAATAGTTATTTTCCTAAAATCTGCCTGTGAAATCACTCTGTAAAGCATCAGTCACATTTACATAGGTAGACCTGGCAATGATGGGCACAGACATAACTGCTCTTGACATAGGCATTCGGTAACTCAAGGCATTTTTGAAATGAAGCAGATTATAAGTGAATTAAACAACAGCAACAAAAAAAACAAAGGCAGCCTCTGACCTTGAGTACAGATATCAGCATTTGAGTTGGCACCTTCAGTGGTCATTTGTGATAAAGCTATTGTTTTTGTCATTAATCGCTATAGAAGATATGATCACAGCCAGTCGGTATTAAAAGAGAAGAAAGTAGTGGCACAGAATAATTATTAAAGAGGATTAATTCACAGGATTCACTTAAGAACCTACTTTTCTTCCCCCTAATCCCCTACCCCAGGGACTCTTAATAACAAGTTGGGAATTATTTTAGAAAAGGATCACGAGCTTGTAAAGATCAGGTGGGGTAGATTCAGATAAATACATTAATTTTAGTTATTTATTTATCTTTTATTCTGGTAAGACACACAACATAAAATTCACCATGCATAACAAAGTGTGCATTTACAATGTTGTACAACTATCACTAGTATCTAATTCCAGAACATTTTCATGACTTCCTTCAAAAAACCTGATACCCTTTAAGCAGTCACTTCTCATTCCTCTCTCCTCCCAGCTTGTGGCAACTATTAATCTCATTTCTCTATATATAGATTTGCCTTTTTTGGACATTCCATGTAAATAGGAGCATATGTGGCCTCTCATGTTTGGCTTTTTACTTAGCATATTTCAAGGTTCATCCATGTGGTAGCATGTGTAAGTATTTATTCCTTTTCTACAGTGAAAAAATATTCCACTTTATGGAAATACCACATTTTCTTTATCCATTCATCAGTCGATGGACATTTGGGTTGTTTCCACCTTTTAGCTATTGTGGATAGTGCTGCTGTGAACATTCGTGTACCAGTTTTTGCCTGAACACCTGTTTTCAATTCTTTTGCATACATACCCAGGGGTGGAATTGCTGGGCTCTGTGGTAATTCTAAGTTTAACTTATTGAAGAACCATCAAATTTTTTCCACAATGGCTGCACCATTTTACATTATACCAGCAATATACAAGGATTCCAATTTCTTCACATCATTTCCATCACTAGTTTTGTTTTTGTCTCATTTCCTAATTTCATAATATAGCCATCCTCCCTGTGGCTTATTGTGGTTCTGATTTCACACAGAAAAATATATTTGAATAAATCCTCTTGAGACTATATTTTCTCCCAAGGCTATCATGACTTGAAACAAAGGTTAACATTTTAGGAATCTTTTCAGGATTCAAAAAAAGATGAGAAGAGTTACTCTCAGGAATGTCATTTTACTTAAGAATATTGTATTTCTTTGGAAATGTGGGGCTTTTCCTGGAAGGTAGAAAAGAAATCTAAGATAATCATGGTTGAATTGTTCAGAAGCTCCATACCTGTCCAGGAAACTTAGTTATGGGGATATAAGGTGACTGGGAAGACCACAGGCCAGGACTGGTCCAAACTTCTTGCTATTTCACTTTCCGCATTGCCAAAGTTGAGAGAGGGAAAAGTATCTCAAAATCATGAATCTCCAAAACTATCATTTTTTTTTCCACTAGAAAGTGAGTAATTCTTTTTTCCAAAGTGGAGAGTAAGTCCTCTTTCACATAGGGTTTCTTGTTAGATGCTAAGTGATTGATATAGATCTGTTCCCTGGAGAACAGAATCTTAAAACAAAACAAAACAAAACATGTAAGTGCCAAAGCTTAGTTGAGAAGTACAGTCTCAGGCTAGTGAGAGTGAAGGATAGGGAAGCAGGCAGGGTCAGTTGGACAGCAATAGCAAGGTGATAAGTTACTGTGCTTCCAAATTGCTGCAAGGAAGCACAGATGGTCACTCAGTAAGGCCCCTTTTATCAAGACTGTCACTAAACAAACTGTATTAAAAAAATGCCTCACACATTCTGTTGGAGGGAGGGAGATAAACTTATATGCTAGCTCTGTCCCCTTCCCTGTTTCATTAGATAAATTTCATTCTACAGGGAATTAATTCCTCCAAATAAACTAGATTTTATTACTGGACTGCTTTAATATTGAATTCAGACACGTGCTTGCTCAGCCTCAGCAGAATTCTGAGTAGCTACTCAGAGTCTGCTGTTATGGTGGAGGCCAATGAAGACAGACGAGGCTGAGGATATCTAAAGAGTCACCTAAGGTGCTACTAAACAGAATGGATGATTATAGTTATACTTTGAAAGTTGCCTTGGTAATATCTTTGCAGCTTAATTAAATGCCTTTTCTCATTCACATGTTATCAGTTAATCCAAACATTCCAAAATCAAGGATTAAAAAAATACAATGATGAACATTTATATATCCGTAACATCCATAGTGGCAATACTTTCTTAGATGTTTTGATCATTTTAGGAAGTTTGGGACATTTTTCCCAAACAACGCATAAAAGTTTATCTCCTTACTTCATATTTCACTCATAATTTAAATGCGTTTATCTATTTTACCATGTACATAAGGAAAATGAAGTTATAAAGGTCATGGATGAACCCAATGACAGAGAAAGCCAAAGAATTTAAAAACTGTTTGAAATGACATTGAAAAGCTAAACTTTTTGCAACCTTACTAGAAGAGAGAGAACATATAAATAAAATATTAAAGAAAAGGGAATACAGCTACAGGTGTGAAAGATATTCAAAAGAATATTATAAACTGCTAAATGCCAATAACTTGAAATACTAATTAGATATTTTTGCAATATCTATTTTGCGTAATACTCTAAAATTAACATAGAAATAGAAAATTTGTACACATTATTCTCTACCACTAAATCCTTGCCCTAAAACTATAATTTTATAGGTGAGTTCTACCAAACTGTCAAAAAATATGTATCCATTGTACACAACTTATATCTTATAGTAGGAAAGAAAGGAAGATGCACAATTCACATTTTGAAGTCAGTGTAACTTTGATATCTGTATCAGTCAGGTTCCCAGTAGGAAACAGTTGACATGCCCACACTGGGGGACTATGGAGATTTCAATGAAGGGACACTCTACAATGGTATTGGCTGGCTTTAGGAAAATCAAGAGGGAATAGTTTTTATCCAGGCTTACAATAGAAGCAACTAGTACCACTCTTTAGCCTAAAGAAGCAATTTGAGGAAATTATTGGAAAAATCCAAAGGGGAGCTGAAACTTTTGGTAAAGGGATGTATCAAATTCTACAATCTAACAGAGAATTCGGGGGAGTAAGACTCAGACTTCACTCAACTCCTGCTCTTAAGTCTCATGCCAGAAATAGATACCATCTCAAACCATCAGAATGGCTATTAAAAAGTCAAAAAATAACAGATGTTAGTAAGGCTGTGGAGAAAAGGGAATGCTTATACACTGAGAATGTTATTTCAGCCATTGTGGAAAGCAGTTTGGGAATACCTGAAAGAACTGAAAACAGAATTACCATTCAACTTAGCAATCTCATTATTAGGTGTATACCCAAAGGAATACAAATCATTCTACTGTAAAGACACATGCATGTGTATATTCATTGCAACACTATTTGGAATAGCAAAGATATGAAATCAACCTAAATGGCTATCAATGGTTGACTGTATAAAGAAAATGTGGTATATGTAAACCATGGAATACTACACAGCCATAAAAAAGAATGAGATGATGTTCTTTGCAGCCACATGGATGGAGCTGGAGGCCATTATCCTAAGCAAACTAAGACAGGAACAGAAATCCAAGTACTGCATATTTTCCCTCGTAAGTTGTAGCTAAATATAGAGTACATATGGTCACAAAAAAGGGAACAGACACTGGGGCCTCCTTGAGAAGGTGAGAGGAGGTTTAGGATTAAAAAACTACCTATGGGGTACTATAATTACCTGGGTGATGAAATAATCTGTACACAAATCCCCATAACACATTATTTACCTATATAAAAAACCTGCTTATGTACCCAGGAATCTAAAATAAAAGTTAAAAAAAATAGATCATTGACTAAACTTTACCAAAAGCCAGGGGCAAAGGAACCTGTGGAGGGAACCCATTCAGTACCTTTCATGACACAGAGCAGGAAGGAGAAGAATAGAGAATAAATTTTAAAGGGAAAATTAAAAAAAAAATCCAGCATAGTATCAAAACTAGTGAAAACCCCATAAGAAAATCAAATTTTAATCTATGCTCAATTTCTTTCTATCAAATATTAAAATTTTCTAAATATTAATATGCCAACAAAATTTAGCAGCATATTTTTAAAAACAGACCATGAATCAAAGAGGATTTATCTAAGGAATGCAAGGACAATCAACTTCAGAAAATGTAGTAACAAAATTTATCACACTAATGGACTGTAGGGGAAATATCATGTGATCATTTCTTTTTTTGTGTGTGTGTTCTTTTTTAAAAAAATTTTTTATTACACTTTAAGTTCTGGGATACATGTGCAGAATGTGCAGGTTTGTTACATAGGTATACTGGTGCCATGGTGGATTGCTGCACCCATCAACCTGTCACTTACATTAGGTATTTCTCCTAATGCTATCCTCCCCTAGCCTCCCACCCCAAACAGGCCCCAGTGTGTAACGCTTCCCTCCCCGTGTCCATGTTTTCATTGTTCAAATCCCACTTATGAGTGAGAACATGCAGAGTTTGTTTTTCTGTTCTTGTGTTAGTTTGCTGAGAATGATAGTTTCCAGCTTCATCCATGTGCCTGCAAAGGACATGAACTCATCCTTTTTTATGGCAGCATAGTATTCCATGGTGTGTATGTGCCACATTTTCTTTATCCAGACAATCATTGATGGGCATTTGGGTTGGTTCCAAGTCTTTGCTATTGTGAACAGTGCTGCAATAAACATATGTGTCTTTATAGTCGAATGATTTATAATCCTCTGGGTATATGCCCAGTAAGGGGATTGCTGGGTCAAATAGTATTTCTGGTTCTAGATCCTTGAGGAATCGCCACACTGTCTTCCACAATGGCTGAACTAATTTACACTCCCACCAATGGTTTAAAAACATTAGTATTTCTCCACATCCTCTCCAGCATCTGTTGTTTCCTGACATTTTAATGATTGCCATTCTAACTGGCATGAGATGACATCTCATTGTGGTTTCATTTGCATTTCTCTAATGACCAGTGATGATAAGCTTTTTTTCATATGTTTGTTGGCTGCATGAATGTCTTCTTTTGAGAATTGTCTGTTCAAATCCTTCACCCACTTTTTGATGGGGTTGTTTTTTTCTTGTAAATTTGTTTAAGTTCTTTGTAGATTCTGGATATTAGCCCTTTGTCAGATGAATAGATTGCAAAAATTTTCTCCCATTCTGTAGGTTGCCTGTTCACTCTGATGATAGTTTTTTTTGTTGTGCAGAAGCTCTTTAGTTTAATTAGATCTCATTTGGCAATTTTGACTTTTGTCAATTTTGGCTGGTGTTAAAATCTCCCGCCGTTATTGTGTGGGAATCTAAGTCTCTTTGCAGGTCTCTAAGAACTTGCTTCATGAATCTGGGTGCTTCTGTATTGGTTGCATATATATTTAGGATAGTTAGCTCTCCTTGTTGCATTAATCCCTTTACCATTATGTAATGCCCTTCTTTGTCTCTTTTGATCTTTGTTGGTTTAAAGTCTGTTTTATCAGAGACTAGGATTGCAACCACTGCTTTTTTTTTTTTCCTGCTTTCCATTTGCTTGGTAAATATTCCTCCATCCCTTTAATTTGAGCCTATGTGTGTCTTTTGACATGAGATGAGTCTCCTGAATCCAGCACACCAATGGGTCTTGACTCTTTATCCAATTTGCCAGTCTGTGTCTTTTAATTTAAAGACAATTTGCCAGTCTCCAATTTGCCAGTCTGTGTCTTTTAATTTTAATTTAAAGTCTTTTAAACAGGGCCCATTTACATTTAAGATTAATATTGTTAAGTGTGAATTGTATCCTGTCATTATGATGGTAGCTGGTTATTTTGCCCGTTAGTTGATGCAGTTTCTTCATAGTGTTGACGGTATTTACAATTTGGTATGTTTTTGCAGTTGCTGGTACCGGTTGTTCCTTTCTATGTCTAGTGCTTCCTTCAGGAGCTCTTGTAAGACAGGCCTGGTTGTGACAAAATCTCTCAGCATTTGCTTGTCTGTAAAGGATTTTATTTCTCCTTTGCTTATGAAGGTTAGTTTGTCTGGATATAAAATTCTAGGTTGAAAATCCTTCTCTTTAAGAATGTTGAATATTGGCCCCCACTCTCTTCTAGCTTGTAGGGTTTCTGCAGAGAGATCCGCTGTTAGTCTGATGGGCTTCCCTTTGTGGGTAACCCGACATTTCTCTCTGGCTGCCCTTAAAAGTTTTCCTTCATTTCAACCTCAGTGAATCTGACAGTGAATTATGTCTTGGGGTTGTTCTTCTTGAGAAGCGTGTTTGTGGTGTTCTCTGTGTTTCTTGAATTTGAATGTTGGCATGTCTTGCTAGGCTGGGAAAGTTCTCCTGGATAATATCCTAAAGAGTATTTTCCAACTTGGTTCCATTCTCCCTGTCACTTTCAGGTACACCAATCAAATGTAGGTTTGGTCTTTTCACATAGTCCCATATTTCTTGGAGGCTTAGTTCATTCCTTTTCATTCTTTTTTTCTAATCTTCTCTTCATGCTTTATTTCATTAAGTTGATCTTCAATCTCTGATATCCTTTCTTCCACTTGATCAATTTGGCTATTGATACTTTTGTATGCTTCATGAAGTTCTTGTGCTGTGTTTTTTAGCTCCATCAATTCATTTATGTTCTTCTCTAAACTGGTTATTCTAGTTAGCAATTGATCTCACCTTTTTTCAAGGTTCTTAGCTTCCTTGCATTAGGTTAGAACATGCTCCTTTAGCTCAGAGGAGTTCTTTATTACCCACCTTCTGAAGCCTACTTCTGTCAATTCGTCAAACTCATTCTCCATCCAGTTTTGTTCCCTTGTTGGCAAGGAGTTGTGATACTTTGAAAAAGAAGAGGCATGCTGGTTTTTGCAATTTTCAGCCTTTTTGCACTGGTTTCTCCCCATTTTTGTGGATTTATCTACCTTTGGTCTTTAATGTTTGTTACCTTCAGATGGGATTTTGGTGTGGATGTCCTTTTTGTTGATGTTGAAGTTATTCCTTTCTGTTTGTTAGTTTTCCTTCTAACAGTCAGGCTCCTCTGCTGCAGGTCTGCTGGAGTTTGCTGGTGGTCCACTCCAGACCCTGTTTGCCTGGGTATTACCAGCGGAGGCTGAAGAACAGCAAAGATTACTACTTGTTCCTTCCTCTGGAAACTTCGTCCCAGAGGGGCACCTGCCAGATGCCAGCCAGAGCTCTCCTGTATGAGATGTCTGTCAAACCTGCTGGGAGGTGTCTCCCCGTCAGGAGGCATGGGGGTCAGGGACCCACTTGAGGAGGCAGTCTGTCCCTTAGCAGAGCTCAATTGCTGTGCTGGGAGATCTGCTGCTCTCTTCAGAGCTGGTAGGCAGGAACGTTTAAATCTGCTGAAGCTGCACCCACAGCCACCCCTTCCCCCAGGTGCTCTGTCCCAGGGAGATAGGAGTTTTATGTTTAAGCCCCTGACTGGAGCTACTGCCTTTCTTTCAGAGATGCCCTGCCCAGAGAAGGGGAACCTAGTGAGGCAGTCTGGCTACAGTGCCTTTGCCAAGCTCCAGTGGGCTCAGCCCAGTTTGAACTTCCCAGAGGCTTTCTTTATGCTGTGAGGGGAAAACTGCCTACCCAAGCCTCAGTAATGGTGGACGCCCCTCCCTCCACCAAGCTGCAGCATCCCAGGTCAACTTCAGATGGCTGTTCTGGCAGCAAGAATTTCAAGCCAGTGGATCTTAGCTTGATGGGCTCCGTGGGGGTGGGATCCACTGAGCTAGACCACTTGGCTTCTTGGCTTCAACCCCCTCTCCAGGGCAGTGTACGGTTCTGTCTCACTGGCATTCCAGGCGCCACTAGGGTATGGAAAAAAACTCCTGTAGCTAGCTCGGTATCTGCCCAAACAGCCGCCCAGTTTTGTGCTTGAAACCCAGGGCCCTGGTGGCATAGGTGCCGAGGGAATCTCCTGGTCTGCAGGTTGCGAAGACCATGGGAAAAGCATGGTATCTGGGCTGGAATGCACTGTTCCTCAGGGCACAGTCCCTCACGGCTTCCCTTGGTTGGGTGAGCGAGTTCCTTGACCCTTTGCACTTCCCAGATGAGGCAACACTCCACCCTGCTTCTGCTTGCCCTCCGTGGGCTGCACCCACTGTCTAACCAGTCCCAATGAGATGAGCCAGATACCTCAGTTGGAAATGCAGAAATCACCTGCCTTCTGCATTGATCTCTCTGGGAGCTGCAGACAGGAGCTGTTCCTATTCAGCCATCTTTCCTATCATGATCATTTCAATATATACAGACAAAGCTTTTGATGATAATGTTTAGTGTTTATTTGAGATTTTTTAAATGTTCATAAAAAAACAGGAATAAAGGAAATTTCCTTTATCATATAAAAGCTGTCTTTCATCACCCCTATTGCCAGTCATCCATATTGGCAAAATAAAGCAAAACAAATTAACAAACATAGGCCAACATCAAATGTTATCATTAATGAAGAATTTTTGAAAGTTTCCTTTTACTAATAGAAATTAGGCAAAAACTCTAACATTCTTCTACTTTTTAAAATAGTCCTGGGAGTTGTCTAATTAGATACAAAATAAATTGCATGTATGTAAATAAAAAGAAGAAGATAAATGTTCAGTATTTGTAATACATTATCATTTATAAAGAAAGTCCCATATAATCAACAAACTATTAGAATGATTAAGACATTGCAACAAGATCAATATGCAAAATCAATAGAACTTATTTGCAACAGCAATAAACATTTAGTAATTGAAATAGAAAATAGGATACCATTTACAATCACAATAAAGATTATGAAGATTCCAGAAAGTAATTACTATATATCTGAAGTAAAAAATTTATAATTCATTCCAAATGTCTTTTCTTTTGCCCTTCCCTTTCTACATCTAATTTAACACACCCTACAATACTTTCCAAACCTGCCCACTTCACTTCACCTCCACTACTATCACCCTTGTCAAAGACAATCATGTCTAAATTTCTGTTCAATAAAGTCACAATGGACAAAATTAATGGACAGTTGACAGGCTAGGAGAAAACATTAGCAGCATTAAAAAATAAACACTTACTTTTAGAATAGTTTTATATTGACTAAAAAGTTGCAAAAGTAGTACAGAGAGTTTCTATATTCCCTGCAGCCAGTCCCCCAATTATTAACATCTTACATTTTTATGTTCATTTGTCACAACTATGTTATCTATACTGATACATTTATTATTAACTAAAATCTACACTTGACTCAAATTTCCTTAGTTTTTGTCTACTGTCCTTTTTCTGTTCCAGAATCCCATCCAGGATAGTACTTTACATTTAGTCATCATTTCTATCTTAGTCATTTTGTGCTACTATAACCAAATACTTGAGATTGGGTGATTTATGAAAACAAAAATTAATTTTCTCACAGCTCCTGAAGCTAGGAAGTCCAAGGTGAAGGTGCCAGCAGATGCAGTGTCTCATGAGAGATGCTCTCTGCTTCCAAGATGGCACCTCTTGCTTCAACTTCATGTGGTGGAAATGATAAACAGCTCTCTGGCACCTCTTTTATAAAGGTGCTAATCTCATTCATAAGGGCAGCTCTCTCCTGACTTAATCACCTTGCTAAGGCCCCACCTCTTAATACTATCACGCTGGTGATTAAGTTTCAATATGTAAATTTTGGAGGTACACATTCAGACCATAGCAACGTCTCCATAGGATCTTGGAGACTGTGATCGTTTGTCAGACCTTCCTTCTTTTTGATGACCTGATCCATTTTGGGGAGTACCCACCAGTTGTTTTGTAGAATATCCCTCAGTATAGACTTGGCTGATGTTTTTCTTGTGATTAGATGGGGTTAGGGATTTTAAAGGGTAAGACCACAAGAGCAAAGTGCCATTTTCATCACATCGTATCAAAGGTACATATCACTTTGTAAATTGTAACTCTTGATTCTAACCTAAATTACCTAACGATATGGTATTTATCAGATTTATCCACTGTAATGTCACTCTTCCTCCTCTTTCTACTGGGCCAACACACTTTTCCACCCTGTACTTGGAAGAAAGTCAACTATGAGCAGTCCAAACGTAAAGGTGGAGAGATATTATACTCCACCTCCTCAGTGGGGCAGTAACTGCATAAATAATTTGGAATTCTTGTGCACAGACTTGCCTATTTCCCCCATTCATCTATATTTCAATCATTTATTTAAATCAGTATGTACTTGTCAATATTTATTTTGTACTCTGGGCTACTGAAAGCTCTCTAGGATGGCTCCTGTGCCCCATTGACATACCTAAATTATTTTTTGAGTAATTCCTTAGTCTTTGGACTATTCGCACCGTCCTTAACTGGAAAAAGTCTAATGATTTAGATTATAAGAGAATCTCAATATAAAATAATGGGTAAAGATTTTAAATAAACAAGTTAAAAAAGGAAATTCTAAGTAGTTAATATTGACAATATTCTCACATTAATTCATAATAAAAATGTAAATAAAAACATGTAGATGGCACTTTATATGCATATAATTGGCAAAAGTGAGAACATTGGATAAATCTGTGGCTACTAAATGTGATAGAAAATGGAGATCTTGTAGTCTATTTTTGAGAGTGTAAGTTGGTGAAGCTATTTTAGAGAGTAAATTGGCAGCATTTTAGTAAAATTGCGTAAGTACCTATTCACTCTGGGACATATATACCCAGAGACACTCCTTCAGGTACACTGAGATATTTATGAAGATGTTTATTTTGATGGTTAAAGAGTTAAAAAAATTGGTGGTAACATATATATTTATCATACAAGAACAGGTAAATAACAATGTAGCTAGCTGTGCATATCACAGAAGAGTAATCAGAAGAAAAACCATAGATTTACATATAGGAACAAACAATAGATGTAAATAACAATATTAAATGAGAAAAATAAGAAATAGTACATAATTTACAGCATGATGCCATTTATATAATGTTAAAAATACATATATAGAGGCAAGTAAATGTATAGAAATTAATCTAAAGGCCACGCATTAAATACAAATTGTGGCATGTAAGGGGTGGGGTGAACTGGGATGGAAGGTAAAGAGGAGAGACAAGTAAATAGTAATGCATTTTAAATATGCAGAGCGCAATCTGTTGATGTTATGCTATAAACTGAGAAGTAAGTCAACTCAGTTCTTGAGGGTTAAAATCCAGCAACAAGGGTGCAGTAGCTCACGCCTGTAATCCCAGCACTTTGGGAGGCCAAGGCAGACGGATTGCCTGAGCTCAGGAGTCCCAGACCAGCCTGGGCAACACGGTGAAACCCCATCTCCACTAAAATACAAAAAATTAGCCGGGCGTGGCGGCGTGTGCCTGTAGTCCCAGCTACTCTGGTGGCTGAGGCAGGAGAATCCCTTGAACCTGGGAGGCGGAAGTTGGTAGTGAGCGGAGAGCGGAGATCGCTGCTGCCCTCCAGCCTGGGCGACAGAGCGAGACTCCGTCTCCAAAAAATAAATAAATAAATAAATAAATAAATAAATAAATAAATAAATAAAACAGCAACAATACCTCAATCAAAGTGCCCCAACCAACCAAATATAACCATTATCAACAAAGTTGTAAGGTATAAATAAAACCATTTCTTATGTGAAGTCAGATTTAATATGGTAATGTTTACATTGATAATTATCATTATTCATTTAATAATTTAACAAATATTCTTGAGCCTTGAAAGTAGTACAATAGGCTTGGTTGAGGAATATAAAAATGTATACCTAAACCAAATAGGAGTTTTCTAAAGACTTTTATCACATCAGTAGGAAAATTAATGTGACATATAACAGCATTTGTGAAACACACGTTACCAGCATATTATTTTCATATTGTTCCTTATTGTTGCTGGCTTTTTATTTTAAAATTTACTTCTCATAGACTGAAATCATCAATTTAAAATCCTGAGAAAAAGTCCATTATTGTATATTCCATTCAGTTTTTAATACTTGTTTGCCTTTTAAAATATAATTTGGCATTATTTATAGTATTCTTGTCTGTTAAGAATAACTCTGAAGAAAAATTGTAGATACTGCTGAAATTTGAACTTATGCTCCCTTTTCATCTCACTTCTCTGTGAACCTTGTCAAATTCAACATTATTCTTAGATTCAAAGCCCTTATTAATTTATCATTACTATGCAGCTTCTTTTTTATATGCAAAAGCTTGCAGAACTAAATAGTTCTACTTGAATGTACTGGCTCTATTTTATTACTAGAATAAGATAGAGTCAAAAGTCAAGCAAAAAATGTTTCCTCGACATTGGCTTTTATTCTATAATTTATATAATCTACTTCTAGTGTAACTTCTAAATTTTATTTCAAGACAGAATATATTTCTTAATTTGGTTTTTTAGTATATATACATACTTTTTACATGCAACGGTATATCTTGGAGATCTTCCCACAATTGTTGATAGGGAGATTTTTTTTGTTCTTCTGTACAGCCACATCATAATCTATTGTGTGGATATACTATTGTTTATTCTAACAGTCCTCAAATAATAGACATTTAAAAAGGAGAAATGAATAGGATAACTTTTCTACCTTCCAAGCATTAGTGATCCCTCTTGTCTTGGTGAAACGTTAATATGACCTAGAGATATCCTCGCTTCTGGCTCTTCCTAATGTTCTGGCTCTTCCTTTTTATTTGTATCTATTGCCCCTGTTCTGCTAATTTGCATTCTATTCCAAGAGGGTTCTCTTTCATCCTGCACAGGCCTACAGTGGGTTAGTAGGCTCAGCCTACTCCAGCTCTTTTAGACCTCATGGCGGGACTCTGAACTCACACCAACATGGAGAATGTAGAAAACCTGCTCAGTTTCAGTTGTTCTGTGGCTTGCTGCTCT
Organism: Homo sapiens; assembly: GCF_000001405.40. NCBI lineage: Eukaryota > Metazoa > Chordata > Mammalia > Primates > Hominidae > Homo > Homo sapiens. The sequence goes on along the minus strand of NC_000004.12, from coordinate 44,468,808 downwards.
TTCCAGAAAGTACCTATTGGGACTCTGGGTTTTTCCTTCCTTACATCTGTGAAATATCTCTTTACTGCCCCTAACAAAAATGTTGATACTACACAAGTTGTACTGCTATAGGGTTTGTTGCTAGATTTAGCAAATAGAAATTCAGGATTCTTAGTTGAATTTTAACTTTAGGTGAACAATATAAGTACATATTTAATATAAGTATGTCTCATAATATTTGGGGCACATTTAAGCTAAAAAATTCAAGTTGAACTAGATGTCTTTCTTACATTTTATCTGTGCAACTTACATTCATTCCTTTGTAAATTTTTTTGGGCAAATGGTTATGTGGTTGTTTCATTTTACTATCCTAGTCATTGCATCTATTTTTATGGATAGATTCAGAGAGACTCAAAAGCAATGTTACTGCCATAACCATCAACACAGAATTTCTGGTTTTTAAATTTGTTTGATTAAATTTTTAGTTTGGCTATACCTTCTAGCTACTAAGTGACCCTTTTTATTTATTCACTTTTTGTTTATTTAAATACGTCATAATGTTAGGAGTATTTTCCAGAAAGATACAGCTTTCTAATTCACATTTCTATAAGTGTTCATGGATATTTGTTGGTCAAAAATGTTTTTATATTTTAGTTTTTGTGGGTACATAGGAAGTGTATATATGAGGTACACGTAATGTTTGTACACCGGCATGTAATGCATAACAATCATATCATGTAAAATGGGGTATCCATCCCCTCAAGGGAAAAAAGCCTTTGTGCTACAAGCAATTCAATTATACCCTTTTAGTTATTTTAAAATGGACAATTAGATTATTTTTGACTACACTCACCCTGTTGTGCTATCAAATACTAGGTCTTAGTCATTCTTTCTAATTTTTTTTGTACCCATTAACCATTCTCACCTCCCTCGACTTTCCCACTATCCTTCCCAGCCTCTGGTAACCATTCTTCTGCACTCTTATCTCCATAGGTTAAATTGTCTTGATTTTTAGATCCTACAGATAAATGAGAATATGAGATGTTTGTCTTTCTGTGCCTGGCTTATTTTATTTAACATAATGACCTCCAGTTCCATTCATGTTGTTACAAATGGCTGAATCTCATTGTTTTTTATGGTCAAATAGTATCCCATTGTGTATAAGTACCATATTTTCTTTATCCATTCATCTGTTGATGGATGCTTGGGTTGCTTCTAAATCTTGGCTATTGTGAACAGTGCTGCAAAAGACATGGGAGTACAGATGCCTCTTTGATATACTGATTTTCTTTCTTTGGGGTATATACCCAGCAGTGGAATTGCTGGAGCATATGACAGCTCTATTTTTAGTTTTTCACAGGACCTCCAAACTGTTCTCCATAGTGGTTGTACTAATTTACATTTCCACCAACAGTAAATGAGGATTCCCTTTTCTCCACATCTTCTCTACCGTTTGTTATTGCCTGTCTTTTGGATATAAGCCATTTGAACTAGGGTGAGATGATATCTCACTGTCATTTTGTTTTGCATTTCTCTGATGATCTGTGATGTTGAGCACCTTTTCATCTGTCTGCCATCTGTGCCTTCTATTGAGAAATGTCTATTCAAACCTTTTGCTTATTTTAAAATTGGATTGTTATTTTTTTCCTACAGAGTTTGTTTTAGCTTCTTATATATTCTAGTTATTAATACTTTGTCAGATTAGCAGTTTGCAAATATTCTCTCTGATAAAGTGGGTTGTCTCTTCACTTTGTTTATTGTTTCCTTTGCTTTGCAGAAGCTTTTCAACTTTATGTGATCTCATTTGTCCATTTTTGCTTTGGTTGTCTGTGCTTGTGGGGTATTACTGAAGAAATCTTTGCCCACACCAATATCCTGGAGAGTTTCACCAGTGTTTTCTTGGAGTAGTTTCATAGTTTGAGGTCTTAGATTTAAGTCTTTAATCCATTTGTATTTTATTTTTGTATAATGCTAGAGATAGGGATTAAGTTTCATTCTTCTGCATATGGATATCCAATTTTCCCACAATATTTATTGAAAAGACTATCTTTTCCCCAGTATATGTTCTTGGCACCTTTGTTCTTGAGTTCACTGTAGGTTCATGGATTTGTTTCTTGGTTCTCTATTTTGTTCCATTGGTCTTGATGTCTGTTTTTATGACAGTGTCATGCCGTTTTGATTACTATAGCTCTGTAGTATAATTTGAAGTCAGGTAATGTGATTCCTCCATTTGTGTTCTTTTGGCTTAGGATAGATTTGGCTATTCTGGGTCTTCTGGGGTTCCATATATATTTTAGCATATTTTTTCTATTTCTGTGAAAAATATCATTGGTATTTTGATAGAGATTACATTGAATCTGTATATTGCTTTGGGTAGTATAGACATTTTAACAGTATTAATTCTTCCAATCCATGAACATAGAGTGTATTTCCATTTATTTGGTGTCTTCTTCAATTTCTTTCATCCATGTTGTATAGTTTTCATTATAGAAAGCTTTCACTTCCTTGGTTAAATTAATTTCCAGGTATTTAATTTTATTTGTGGCTATTGTAAATGGTATTACTTTTTTATATCTTTTTTCAGATTGATCCCTGTTGGCATATAGAAACACAACTAAATTTTGTACATTGATTTTGCATCCTGCCACTTTACTGAATTTATCAGTTCTAAAAATTTTTTGGTGGCATCTTTAGGCTTTTTTCAAATATAAGATCATATCATCAAGGATAATATACAAGCAAACAGGGATTATTTGACTTCTTCCTTTCCAATTTGGATGCCTTTTATTTCTTTCTGTTGTCTGATTGTTCTAGCTAGGGCTTCCAGTACTATGTTGGATAACAGTGGTGAAAGTGAGCATCCTTGTTATGTTTCAGATCTTAAAGTAAATGCTTTCATTTTTTCCCATTCAGTATGATACTAGCTATGTGTATGTAATTTATGACTTTTATTATGTTGAGGTAAATTCCTTTATACACAGTTTTTTGAGGGTTTTTAACACGAAGAAATGTTGAATTTTATCAAATGCTTTTTCAGCATCAATTGAAATGATCTTATGGTTTTTATCCTTCATTCTGTTGATATGATGTATCACACTGATTGATTTGCATATGTTGAACCATCCTTGCATCCCATGGATAAATCTCACTTGGTCATGATAAATGACCTTTTTAATGTATCACTGGATTTGGCTTGCCAGTACTTTGCTGAAGACTTATGAATCAAAAGTCATCAGAAATATTGGCCAGTAGTTTTCTTTTTTTGATGTGTCTGTGTCTGGTTTTGTTATTAGGGTAATAGTGGCTTTGTAGAATAAGTTTGAATGTATCTGCTTCTCTTCTATTTTTCAAAATAGTTTGAGTAGGATTGGTATTAGTTCTTCTTTAAATGGTATAATTCAGCAGTGAAGCCTTTGGGTCCCAGGGTTTTGTTTACTGGGAGAATTTTTATTATGGCTTTGATCTTGTTACTTGTTATTGGTCTGTTCAGGTTTTGGATTTATTCATGGTTCAATCTAGGTAGGTTATATGTGTCTAGAAATTTGTTCATTTCTTCTAGATTTTCCAATTTGGGCATACAGTTGCTTATAGTTGCCACTAATTGTCCAGGGATATTTGTAACTAGAGATGTATCAGTTATAAATTCACCTAGCTCTGTTTCACGTATATGTGGTCAAGATACTGATTTGGTTGGTGGTAAAATCCGTTGATAGATTACTAATTTACAGTAAAATACAGTTTATTTTGAAGTTATATTCTAATTCAACAAATCATATAATTGTTTAAAGAATTACTTATGGCCTTAAAGGGAAAGGAAACCCTTAAGGTAACATTTAAGGGAGAAAAAGTAACTCAGTGTTTTAGTAGGAAAAAGCAAGAATTCCAGCTATATCAAGCAGCACTGATTATTCATTCATAAATGTTAGAAGACCAAGGGACAAAGACAGAAACACATAACATTTTCACCTCATGAGGACAAAGAGCTTAAAAGTCCTAACTAAAGAAGCAGCATATCTGTTGCTTAACAGATATGTCAATGGTTAAGAAAATGGGAAGAACTTTAAAAGGTTTTGATATATTTCTGGGATATCAATTCACACACATATAAACACACACACACACACACACACATACACACACACACACACACACTCATGAGGAAATGCAGCCCTTCCTTATTTTAAAAAAAGCACTAATTTTCTAGGCAAAGGGGGCTAATATCTAGACCAAAATTAATGAATTAATTAAAATCTCTCTCCTCCATGTTTAGGTAGGAAGAATCTATGTTAGATACACTCAATAAAAAGCAGGACCATGATGACAGACAGAAAGGGCACTAAAGCAACAACAAAAAAAGATACAGCATCAACTTCAAACGAAATGGCTTCTGTGATGGAGAGGTACCTATTATGCAGGGTAGAAACAGTATGATTCTAAGACCATTGAAGGGAGAAGACAAGGGGAAAATATGAGACTGTAATATTGTAAAACTTTAATAAAGAAAGGATGAATCTAAAATAATTAAGGTGCATCTCAGCCCACAATGTGCTCCACCACCACAGGAGGTCATGCGACAGATGAAGAGAGGAGGCTAAGAAGGCGTGTTAAGGCACTTGTAGACAGACTCTGACCTTTACAGCTTGGCATTTCAATAGCTACTATTAAAGTGCCTTTTAAAATGCTCTTTTAATTATGTTCATATACAAAGCCATTCTAAATAACACATATTATTCTATAATGTGTTTCTAAAATGTAGTTTAAATGTACATTTTGAAGTGCTGCACTGCAACTGGAGAATACTGGAAAAAATATTTTCTGTAATAGATAATAGAGCTTCCAGGTCAGTTTTTGTGGTAAATTAGGAAGGGTTTAGATATTTTTAAGGTTTTCAAAAACTTCTTGAAATGTCTTCAGACTAAGATAAAAATAAATTATGTCAAACATCCCTTTTAGTAAGGGGAGGATTTGCACACACAAAAAAATAATAACTGGGAGATTCCCTGAAGTCTTGTCCAAATTGCATTGCATTGCCTAAGATGCAATCAGAAGAGAAGAGACATTATATCCCACACAAAAATCAGGCTCACTGAAAATAGAAAATTGAATTATAAGTGACAAGAGGAAGATCATTAAACATGTAAATTGTCACTTTAAGAATAAGGTGAAATTCAATCTAAAAGTAATGAAAGTACATCAAAGAAGCAAAGACTGTATAGATAAGGAATAGAAACTCGGACTTCAAATGGGAGGGTAAAAAGATTATTCGTTGATGTTGATTTGTTTTGGTTTTTGAAAAGCATATTCTATTTTAAACATTAGTTTTAAATGTGATAAGAAATTACCTAATAGTAATTCTTATTATTACTTAAAATAATAAATAAATATATTAGAAAACACTGATAATTATGCCCACAGGATAAATATATAAACCTTTGTTAGATTCAGCAAGAATAAGGAAAGAATGGAGCTGCATTCATTGGTAGACTACCAACTAGCCTGATGCAGCTACAAAGCACTTTAAATGTGGCTAGTCCAAGTTGAGATGTGCTGTAAAGGTAAAATATCCACAGCATTTCACAGGCTTAGTACAGAAAAAATATAAGCTATTTTAATAATGTTTTATATTGATCATATGTTGAAATGATAATGTTTTGGATATATTGAGCTAAATAAAATGTATTATTAATTTCACCTGTGTGTAGTAAGGAATTTAATCTTGCCCAAAGAGAAGTTTGGCCTTTGTGTTCAGCTCTTGGGAGGTTATCTTATTCGGCTCTTAGGAGGTTATCTAAGCCCTTGTAATGTCTTGCCTGTTAAGAGTATTTTCGTTTACCTGAAAGTCCTGGGCTATAGGAGATGTATTAGTCCAGTTTTGTATGGCTATTAAGATACTACCTGAGACCAGGTAATTTGTAAATAAAAGAGATGTAATTGACTCACAGTTCTGCATGGCTGGGGAAGCCTTGGGAAACTTAAAATCATGGCAGAAGGCAAATGGGAAGCAAGGCATGTCTTACACGGCAGCAGGAGAGAGAGAGAGCCAGAGGAAAATGCCACTTTTAAACCATCGGATCTTGTAAGAACTCCCTATCATAAGAACAGCATGAGGGAACCATCCCCATGATCCAATCACCTCCCACCATGTCCCTCCCTTCACACATGGGGATTACAATTCGAGATCAGATTTGAGTGGGGACACAGAGCCAAACTATGTCACAGACAGTATAATAATATCATTCATAAGGGGGCTCTGAGTCATATGGGATCAGCTGAAACTTGAGAGGGTCTGGAGACTGAGATCAGTCACTTGGGCAGCCAACCATGTGTATATGACTAAGTTCCAATGAAACTCTGGATGCTGAGTGTCAGAGGAGCTTCCCTATTTGCCAATACTCTGTGTATATTCTCATACCCTGATGCTGGGAATGTTGATACTGTCCCTGACTCTACTAGGAGAGGGCAACTGGAAGCTCCAGGGATGAAATGTTCCTGGACTGTGCCCCATGTATCTGATCCCTTGGCTGACTGCACCATTTGCTAGCTGTGTGAACTTTGTCAAGTCATCTAATTTACTGTGCATCAGTTTAATTCTGAGTGGAGATGATAAGAATACTTAGAGGATTCCTGTGAGGATTAAATGGCTTATTATATCCAAAGTGCTTACAACAGTGCCTGGCACATGCTATGCAGGAATAAAATACAGTCATTGTTGCCACTGAGTATGTGAAGATGTATAAATGATATCACTGTCCATCTAGTTGTCACTAACTCCTCCCCCTTATCTTTTTTCTTTTTAACCAGTAGGATGATTATATCACTCTTTTTTTCTAAAATACTGTGATAAACCTCCATTACTTAATTTGGATTACAGCTTATCTTTGGCTTCATTTCCCTTCACTCCCTCTGTATTCCAGTTGTATCAATTTACTCAAATTCCTCTAAAAATGCCAAGTACTTTTTCTGAATAAACCCCCAGCCAGGAATATTATTTTTTGGCCCAAATCATCCACTTGTCTTTCATCTTGGCCTTGCCTGCCATCAAAGTCTGTCCAGAATTCTCTTTCTTGGCTGGTTCCCTTGGCATTTGCTTATATTGCTGTCATGGCACTGTCACCTTGGATTATTTGTCTGCTCTGGATATCTCCTATTTGCCCTTTCCGGTCCACTCTTCAGCCTTCTACAGTCTTCTTTGTGTCCTCAGAATGCTGACCCATATGAAATAAAAAATGAGCTCCCCTGCTTTCTGTGTGGCTTTTGGTTGCATTTAACGAAGTGATGATCACTGACAAAAAATAAAATAGGAGAAGAATAAGATTGGAGTGTTTATTTTTCCCTTGCTTCCTTCCTGCTGGGTTGCTCTAGGTTAATGCCTCTTTACCAAAGCCCACAGCCTCTTCAAACAGCTTTCTCCATACAGCTTTATCTCTGAGGTTCCAAGGACCACATCTTTCCCTTAGCCTTCAGACTTAGACATAGCAATGGCTCTCTGCTCTTACTAGTACAAGTGCTTCCTTTGTGCCTTTCTTTTCTTAAGCTCTATACACACTAAGTCTTGGCAATTACACAACAGGAGTGTGTGCCATCCATTTCCTACCTAGACCCTAATAAAATGCTTATGGTGCCCTTTGAGAAAGAAGATGAAATGAGAGAAATTCTAGGTTGGTGGGAACGAATAGGAGATATTAATTCAGAATGCATATTTTGAATATTCCTTTTTTAGTTTATTGATAAAAGAAACAATTTACATTTTGCTCTTTCTCATATTCTTTTCTTTAAGGTGTTAAAAAGCACATTTGATATGTTATCTCATTAATCCTGGCCAGGCTGCATCAGGCATCAGAACAAATTATTATCTAAAGACAGGGTAGGTTGGGCATTGTGGCTCATTCCTATAATCCCAGCACTTTAGGAGGCCAAAGCAGGTGGATCACGAGGTCAAGAGATTGAGACCATCCTGGCCAACATGGTGAAACCCCGTCTCTTCTAAAAATACAAAAATTAGCTGGGCATGGTGGCATGTGCCTGTAGTCCCAGCTACTCAGGAGGCTGAGGCAGCAGAATAGCTTGAATCCAGGAGGCAGAGGTTGCAGTGAGACGAGATTGCGCCACTGTACTCCAGCCTGGTTACAGAGCAAGGCTCCGTCTCAAAAATAAATAAATAAATAAATAAATAAATAAAGACAGGATATAGAACCAGGAAAGGGATGTGAGGCAGGAAGCAGAAACCAACATCTTAGTGTAAGGGGATCAAGATTTGTACTAAGATACAGGATTTTAAATACCAGTACAAGAAAAGTGACAAACCATCCCAAAAAACAGGACCAGGGAATAGACTCAAGTTTCAAGATAAATGAACTGCTGAGAGAACGCGGCTAAAATCTGAGGTTCTGCATCATTTTTAAGGTGAGCTGGGTGCCTGTCTCTTAGAAAGCAGCACATAAATATTTATTGAAAGAATTGGAAATGAAATAATGAATACATGCCAGAGTAAGAGGCCTTTACTGATCTTCTATTAAGGGTCCTTTTTCAGCTGTCAGATCTCGATATGTGTTGTGTGAGGATTGAAAGTAAAGGAAGGAAACAACTCACAGTTATTGATTGCTTAGTGTGCTGGGCACAATATGGGGGCTTTTAATTTTTAATAAAATTTGAGTACATAAATATTAAAACACCATTTTTATATGGTGATATTGAGTCTCCCACAGAATAAGTAAGCAGTCCAACATGAAACATCCAGAAGTTGGGCTGACTTTTCCAAAAACCTTGCAAACCTTAGGCTGATGGAATGTCCACAGCTAATGGGGACATCTAGTTGTTCTAATCCCTAGACTAGGATACACATTTCTAGACGTGACTGATTTCATACAGGCAGAAAATGGAATGAAGTTAGAAAAATGGCTACTTGATCTCATTCCATGCCTTTGCTCTCAAATGCTGATTCCTTTAGGGTCCTAAGTGCAACAAAAAATATTTTACCTGAAAGAGTTTGGCCTAAAAATCTAAACAAACTCTAGGTTCTTTGATTTGAAACCTTTTGGAAAGCAAGGGTGGGCCATTTCTTGAGCTCTTTAGGTGATATCATTTCTTTTATTCACAATCTGTTCAAAGAAGACTAGTTCTGCCTCTCTGCCAAGGCCAAACCCCTCAGCAGGTCTCTTGATCCTATCTTTCTTTAGGCTTTTCTCCACTAAACAGCCTTTCTTTAACTTTCTATTTCTACAGGCTGTTTTCATCTCAACCTGTAGGCATCCTTAGTTTTCCTGCCTCCAATTCTTTATTTTAACCCTGACAGTACATTCTCAATTATTCTTCTCCCAACCAAATTCTCTCCACCAACTCAACTCTATCTTTTACACATAAACTTTTCCCCTCACATCAAAGTAATGCAAACCTGGAAACAAATACAAATACAAACTTTAATAAATATTAGCTGTGTGATTTTGGGTAACTGACTCAATATCCATAACTCTGTTTTCTGTTTTGCAAATCAAGGAGAATATTACCAACATCCCTTATAGAACTGCTTTTATTAAGTTGTAAATTAATGTTTGGTCTGAAGCTCTTAGGATAAGTAAATTTTCTGGTACCCTTAATCTGCTAGTACAAGTACCGTAAATATGTCATTTGAGATATTGATCATTATCTTATATTTAATCTGCCTTACATATAGAAACATTTAACAAATCATTTTTCTTTCCCAAATGGATTGGTAATTTCTTTCTTCTTTTTGGTAATTTGAATCATTTGACCAGCCACATTTTCTTTCCTCTAGGAAGCTCATATGTCACACGAGTCCAATTTGGGTCAAATTTAATAACCTAGTACCCTATGAAATGTGTAATCGTGTTCTACATTTCTTACTTATCTCAGTTTTGTATATTATATTTCCTCTGTCCTGATTTTAAACTATTTATATTGTTCTATAAGCCACTTTTCTGAAATAAGGGCATGGTTTGATAGATGAATAGATAGATGGATAAGTAGATAGATAAGTGGATAGATAGATTAGTGAGACAGTATTATTACTAGCCCTGGTTTTGCTTATGCTATATTTTAACTTTGAAATCGTCATCCAAGTCTATCAATGTTATGTCTATCTTTTAGAGCCTATCTGATATACCCACCACCCAGTGATTTTAGTTTTTTTAGTCCTTCAACCAGAAGTGCTCTCTCTCTTTCCACAGACTCTCATATCACTTTGTGTATTCTTCTGTTGCAACATTTACCTTATTCCTCTCTGTAATTTAATCTCTAGTTATTTGTGGACATGTCTAGTTCTCCTTTCCCATGTTGCACATTTTTAATGACAGGGTATATGTCCTATCCACTTTTATAACCCACAGTGTACTTAGTAAAGTATATACAGTCATGTTCCAGATAATGACATTCTGGTCATTGATGGGCTGCATATATGACTGTAGTCCCATAAGATTATAATGGAGCTGAAGATGATGTAGCCATTGTAACATTGTAGTGCCATGCATTACTCCTGTGTTTGTAGTGATGCTGGTGTAAACAAAGTTACTGTGCTGCCAGTCATATAAAAGCATACAGTAATGCAATAATGTCCTAGCCTTCACATTCACTCACCAGTCACTCACTGATTTATCCAGAGTGACTTCCACTTCTGAAAGCACCATTCATGGTTAAGTACCCTGTACAGGTGTACCAATTTTAGTCTTTGATACCATATTTTTATTGTACCTTTTCTGAGTTTTAGTAGATTTAGATACACAAATACCATTGTGTTACAATTGCCTGCAGTATTCAATACACTAATATGCTGTACAGGTTTGTAGCCGAGGAGCAATATGCCCTACCATATATCCTAGGTGTGTAGCAGGCTATACCATCTAGGTTTGTGTAAGTACACTCTATGATGTTCCCACATGACAAAATCACCTAATGACATTTCTCAAAATCTATCCCCATTGGTAAGCAATACTTGGCTGTAATTTATATTCAATAAATACTTGAATTTTATTGAAATGGAATCGGTATGAACTGAGATTGTGAAGCTGCTTCAAAATTAATCAAAACTGTGTACATGAGTGAAAGATAAATACCATCTTTTTTGATATTTGTACTGAAGTAACTGATTCTTTCCTTTTACTTGATGAATTTCCCCAAGATTAGGCAGAAAATTTCAAAATTTCTGGTTTCATGAAGGGTCAATTATCCAATATTATCCAATTTGGAGAATATTGGTCAATTATCCAATATTTGAATAAATAAATGAGTAATATGGAGTAAATGAGAGTAACATGGGTAATCCTTTTTTAAATGAGCATAATGAGTGCTGCTAGACAAAAAGCCAATATTTCTGCAGGGAGAAGAATGAACTTTGGAAAACAGAGATAAAAATTTATGCTAAAAATTTATGTAGTGGAACTATATGCATCATATAATGATCAGAGTAGAGAAAATTGTTGAAAAACTGGGTAACAAGTAAATTTTTAAGTGTTCACAGATATATTGGTGTTTACTAGGTCAGTATCTAAAAGATGAAAATAAATGATTCACCAAGGGAGAATTAAGGCTTGTAGATGTTGTAAGGGGTGTTAAAAAATGAGGTAGATGGTAGTTCTGTATTAACTAGAGCAAAGGCAAATTGGCTAAAGCAATTTATTAGAGCAGAATAAATGATCATGATGAAAAAAATGGAAATTCTTATTCAAAATGAAGGAAACACCTGACTGTCCTTCCATGTCTTTGAATATTGGCTTAAGATTTCAGATAGCCATACTCTTGAGTTAGCTGCCTGTGCATGTGTGTGTACCTCTCTGTGTATTTGTGTCCCATACATCACAATTAGGTATGCTAAACCTACAGAATGTGTGCCACAGCAAAATCCTATGGCTCCACTCACAGAACTTTCCCCATGTAAATATTATTGGGGGCATAATGGTGTTTGATTCTTACAGCTTTTGCAGTAGATTGTACTTTCCAACAATGGCCACAATGATATTTTTGGTGCCATATACTCTACTAGAATTTCTCCCTCTCCCTTCAAGTAGCAGCATTTTGTTTCTTCCTCTTAAAACTGGGAAGGCCTTGTGGCTGCCTTGATTAATAGAATAAGATAGAAATGACATTTTGTGATTTTTTGGGTTAGGATATAAATATGATACCCCTTCTGCCTGGCTCTCTCTTCATGAGTTGTAAAATTTTGGAGTCCTAAGTAACCATGGTGGAAAGCCCATGCATACAGACCACACACACACACACACACACACACACACACAGACACACAGACACACACACACACACACACACACACACACACACACACACACACACACACACACACAGAGAGAACCAGTGCCCAAAGAGCCTCAACTGTTCTAGCCCCAATTGTTTGAGTCTTCACAGCTCAGACACCAGATGATTCCATCCCCAGCCTCTGTCTTATTTCAAACTTCGGAGGCCTTGAGCAAGAATCAGCCAGCTGAACCCAGAACCACAAAGATAATGATAAAATTATTGTTGTTTAAGCCACCAAGTTTCGGGGTGCTTTGTTGTGCAACAATATATAACCAGAACAGTATTTCCCAGAAGATATTAGGAAGTATCCATTTGATAAACTAGTAAACTGATCAGAAAAGATACTTGTTCTGGGTCACTAAGTAAATCTGTATCATTGTTAAGGCTGGGATTAAAATTCAGTTTCTGTCTCTTGTTCAGACCTCTGTTTCACTCGAGTTATGATGGGGAAAAACAACTAACACTCATTGGCATGAAACTTTATAACATACAATTTACTCAAAAGCTAGATTTTTAAAAACCTGTTTATCGAGCCTGAATAACATTGTGTGTTATAACAGGTGTTCATTAGCTGAATTTATACCTTACATTAAAGTGCTCTCCTAGATTAAAGCATTGTACTTTAATTGTATTTCTAAAGTTTGATTCAACTGATGTACTTTTTAAAATAGAACCTACAGATATACAAATATCAATATTTTCCTACTTAGCAGTACATAGAAAAATTAAATTGTACCACTAATGCCTGTGAGTTGTCTCATGCTAATTAGCTACAGTGTAGATAAACAATCTGCTCATCATCATTTTAGGCTTTCTGTTTGCAGAGCACTGAACTGAAAATAAAACAACTGGAGAATAGTACTTGTCTTCAATGAATTTCTTATCTAGGTAGAGATAGTGATAATTCAGAACACATACAAGCCAAAGATTTAAAAAAATATTTCTTTGTACAAGCTATATTTATGTGCTGAGAAAACCAAGAATAAAGTGATAGAACTTTTTAAAGAAAAATATAAATATTCAGCACACTACAATGCATGTTTAAAACTCATGTTATAAATTATGCATTTCTAAATATTTAAGCTTTTAATGGTATGGTACTACATTAATTGTATTTGTTGATGAAAACTATTAGCAACCACATAAAATTTGTCATATGAAATCATATGAAAAATACAGATAAACCATATACAATTGTCATTTTTTGAGACTTTTTATGAAAGTGGCTATTTTATATAGTTCAGCCTGACATATCAGTTAGGTAAAGGTACTGTTCTAGCCTCAGACAATTGACCCCTAACAGGGAACTCAATTATTTGACATATATTCAGCGATCCTTTTATAAAATTCCTATGATAAGAGAAGCTATTTGACTTAATAAATATAAACTGTATTTTGTTTTATCAAACTATCAGCATTCCCATCCACATTCTACATTTATAACTTTTCATAGTAGATTACTTAAGGACACATATTTTAAATTTTTGATTGCTTCTCTTTAGATTTAATATATTTTCCAAACATTTTACTAACTGCAGATCTTAAACTGAAGGACTAATTTCTTATATTGAATTCACCCAGTGCTCCCATTAGGGACAAGCATCATAGAAAAAGAGTAATATTATGTTAACACTATTTTATTTCCATAGTAACTTCAGTTAAGGAGTATAAAATGCTCTATAGTCATTATCTAAATAATCCTCTTGACAAACCTAGTAAATAGGTGCTATGATTTGAATGTTTGTGCCCTCCAAAACTCATGTTGAAATTTAATTGCCATTGTAACAGTATTAAGCAGTGGGATCTTTAATAGGTGATTAGGCCATGAGGGATCCACAGTCATGGGTGGGTTTAATGACCTAATAAAGAACTTTCTGGCATGAGCATGCTTCTCTCTCTCTCTCTCTCTCTCCCTCCCTCCCCCTGTCCTCCCCTTCTCTCTTCCCTCTGCCTTCTGGCATGTAATGAAGCAGCAAAAAGACCCTTGCCTAATGCTAGAACCTTGGTCTTGGATTCCCAGCCTCCAGAACTGAGAGAAAATGAATTTTTATTAATTATGAATTACCTAGCCCCATATATTCTGTTATAGCAGTGCAAAGTGGACTAACACAGTAGAACAAGAAGCTAAAAAGTATAGGAAATGAGTGAATTTTAGCTATGATTAGAATTTTTATGATGGAGCCAAACTCATCAGTTAATAATTGCTGGCCAAAATAATAAATGAAAGTTTACAATTTGCAAGTAATTTCTAAGGGAAACTGACTTGCTGTCAGAAATTAATATTTTAAATGTATTGTGTATGTTAAAGTCTTCTTCCAGTCAGTGAAAACTTTTTTTAAATAGCAGTACAAATTTTATAAAATTTATGTCATACATATACCATCACCAGTTTTAGCCTCCTGGTTTATGTTATTTGAAGAGACGTAGAGTCCATCCAGAATCAGAATATCATTCCCATTGTCCAGCCTAATGAAAATTCTTTTCCAGAATGTTCTGAGGTTATGAGGAATTATGTTGCCCTTTCCCCCCAGGCTTTGGGGAGCTAAGCTATATTTTAAGAAGGCAACCAGTTGTGCACAATGAGAGACTAGACCATCTATTGCTAACCACCTTCCCAACATAAACATTCCCCCACCCACAGCATATTAAATTAAATAGCTACTTCTGAAAACATGACTTATATATCATATTAGTTAATATGAAAATAGTTTGCAAATAATTTTGACAAGTACCTGTTGATCAGTTTATGTGCCGGTATTATATTAAATGCTTAGCTATACTGGATCATAATCTATACAAGCTTTCATCAATTTCTTTAGGTATCTAATTTTATAGAGTTTAACCACGTGTTACCCTAAACTTCAGTAGTATTTCTATACAATTTTAAATATAGAATCAGAACTCATATTGAATTATATTAAGATATTGAAGTTGCTGGAATATGTTATTTAATGTGTTCATTAGCATAGATACTCTGAGTTTCCTAAATATCTGATTTGCAAAAGTTTTTCATTTTATAGAACCATTGACACTCTTACAATTAACATATGAGGTTTGGGGGCAATGCATACTCTACTTTCCAACTTTCCCTAGATTCAGCAGCAATTGCTGAATTTGCAGAAGATCTTTCCCATCTTATCTTCAGTCTTATTCCTACAAAGGCTAACTCTGCTTTGTTTGCTCTGATAGGAAGCTCTTTATTTCTAACTTTGCTAAAAGCCATATACCCACAAAATAAACCCTGGCCTGGCCTGCTGTTCACAAGAGTGATACATGCATTATGGGGGTGTGCCTGTTGTGTAAGGAATATCTAAGTTCTTTCGTGATTACTTTCTATTTTCTCCTCCCTCTCTCTCTCTCACTCTCTCTTTTTTTCTGTTTGTTATTTTTGCTTGTTTTTTTTTTGGCCAGAGAGATGTTTTATGGTTCCCATTTCACGTGTTAAATGACTCTACGCAAGTACTGAATTCCAGCCTCCTCTCATTACAATCTTGTAATTAAAAACTTTTAAAAGTTATACTTTCTTACCTAATCCTCAAAACACAGACAAGCTTTAAAGTCACAAATGCTCTAGAGCTATGCTGTTCAGTTTAGAAGCCACTGGGCACATGCGACTATTGAGCATATGAGATATGGCTAGTCCAAGTTATAACTGTTTAGATGTGTCAGAAGAGCTAAATACATACCATATTTTCAAGACTTTGTGTGGAACAAAATGTAAATTATGTCATTAATACATTTTGAAATGAGATTTTGGACATACTGGGCTAAATAAACAATAATATTAAAGTAATTTCATGTTTATTTTTTAATGTGGCTGTAAGAAATTAAAAATGAGATATATGGTTCCTATATTTGTATTAGACAGCACTGCTCTAAAAATTGCAAAGGCTCTGGTACTGGAAAGAATGTCAGGCTTTTTACTTAGAATTACATGAGATACTTGAGGGTTTTTTGTTTGTTTGTGTTTATTATTTATTTATTTTGGTAAAACTTTCAAATGTCCTGAACTAGATTAACAGACACCAGATGGTTTCCTGAAAATTAGAAGCACAGTTGGCCTTGGACAGAAGCAAGCTAAAAGGGGTAATTAGACCATGGTCAAAAGACTGAACAAAGTTAAAAGAAAAAAAAAAAGAACAGGGCCAAGGTAAATTAAATCAACGAAATTATATCAGTGTCTAGGATGATAACATGCAATGAAGGAGACAACAATAGATACAGACAGGGAAGGACATGATGGTATGGGGATGTTCATAATGACAGGGCTGTGTAACCCCAGGCCTTAGGGGTGAGACAACTGGAAGGAAGGTAGGTAGAGCGACTAAAATCAGTTACCTGCTTCTGGATCTTGGATCTATCTAGTCAAGATGTAACTCTGTTCCCATCCCTGAGAACCATACTGTGAAATACACATTATAAATATATTGAACTCCATCAAACTTAGGTGGATTTGTTACAAATCATCATTGATGTGATGAGCTGAGGTCTTTGTTATTTCCATGGTGCCCATGAAGAAACTGAGGTTCGGAGTAACTTGCTGAAATTGCAAAGCTAGTAAGAGACAAAGTTAGATTTTAACCTAGTTCTATTTGATTCTAAATGTCGTTATCATTTGTGTTCTTCCTCCCCTTTAGAAGAAGATACATTTTCTGCCTTTAAGTAACTCTCTACCTGGTGAAGAAATATTTGTTATTATAAATTTTAAATTATTTATGTGTTAAAATCTGGATTCAATATATCCTTTTTGGTTTGTTTGCTGTGCTTTTAGAGACACTCAGGTTTGACCGTGTTATTTTAAAATGTGCTGGGTATGGGAACTGTTCTAGTGTAATTTCTATTCAGAGAAGCTTGCTGCCTTGTCTTTGCGTAGCAACAGAAGATCTTAAAGGACCCACATATGTGATCAAATTGGTCTAAGGAACATTAATGGTGTCTGTGGCTTAGAGCAAAATGGTTCTGATTACGGTATTTGGTGTTGATTGCTCAGTTCACCAAATGGATTGCTTCAATTGTGTCTCTTTCTTGCTTTCTCTTCTCTTTTATTTCTGAGTTTATTTTGATTAGATTCTGGTTCTCACTTTACCTGATTTTAATTGTGAAGAACAGTTCTAACTCAATCCTGCAATCTCATTATTTAGCCTGGTACCCAGCACATAGGTGATGCATTGTCATCTATTTATGATATTAATACAGTTCTATTCAGTGAGCTTTCAACACATATAAATTGGCTATCTCTTTATGGGCTACCTCTATAGCCTACCTCCATGGGGATATAATAGTGCATACGGTCGCATGCCATTTTTACAACGTGGCGGGACACAGTTACACATCAGTGTGATAAACCTTGCCCATGTATAAACATGGGATCTTATGGGAACATCTTAGGAAGACGCTTCACTAGGTTGGGTAAGTGAATGTAAAGATTTCTAGAGAAAGTGATATTTAAACTAAGAGCTGGAGGAAATTGGTAAGCAGGGAGAATGGGTTAGGGATCTGGTGGAAGAGGAAGGGCATTCCTAGCAGAAGGAAGAGGAAAGATAGAAACATTGTAGATCTGCAATTTGTTCAGTCTGAGTTTGGTTGAAGGGTATAACTGGGAGACAGAGGAGAGTAATAGGAGTGTGAAGAGAGAAGAAATTAAGAAAAAATGTTTAATCAAGTTGAAGGAATCATTTTAAAAAGGAATATATCAAACAATACAATTCATTGTGAATTTTTGAGATGATTCATTTAGAGTATAAATTTTTGATCACTTTATCTTATAGACATAATTTATTTAATTCAAAAGTAAAGATGGATTTCAACCTGATATTAGCGACTTCATATTCACATGCATATTTATTATATATCCACTTCATTACAGTTCTACAGTCTGCACCTTACTTATCATTAGGGACACTTACCTTATGATAAATGGGCTTCACTAGTAGTGGTTTGAGGCATTATTATATATTCATCTATGAAGATTATAAAGCATCTATTAATTCATTTATCCAGGAACGATTACTTTAAATCCCGAATATTCTTCTAATGAGGCAGAAAATAGTGTATTTTTTCTGTTATTTTAATACTTGGTTTTAACTTTTAAATGAAGGCTAAATCAATTAAATTAGTTAATTTGATCAATCAGTTTATAAATTTGGCAGGACACAATAGTTTTGAGTAAAAGGATTGCATGATGATGCATACCGAAACCCCCGTTTTAAGTCTCAGTCCTTTGGCAAATATATTCTGTTCTTTCATTGGTCCATTAGGTTCTCTCTGCTTCATATAATGCAACTTCAAAATTGGTATAACATTGTCTATGGATGCAGCTTATAAGGATCAATGATTTAAACATAATTTGTAATGTTCCAAAAATAATGTATTAATTTACAACCGTATCTGAAATTTGATACTTTTTTGGGTGGTTTGAAGAAAAGGAGTTGTTAGTAGGCATTTAACTTTTTAAAAAATATTAAAATCTGTATATCGACTGCTAATGGATAAAGTTCATCTGTAATATTGTTATGATAATTGAAGCAAACTACTTTGTGCCACAATACACCCTTTTCTCTTTTGTACTTCATAAATCAATGATTCTTTATGTTTCTGAACACAGATGTATGCCCCAGGGTAGAAGAAATATTTCTCATTTGCTTTCCTATTTTCAGTCTTTATCACAAGTAATGCTCATTTTGCAGACTGTACCTGTACTATGTACACATGGAAATTAAGGTGAGCTTAAATTCATATAATTTTTATTTGTGACCTTACTCTTGGGGTTAGAAGACTAATAAAAATATCAGCCACTTCTCTTGTTTGATGGAGCTGAAAGGGAAATGGAGAGATTAATGAGACTGATCAGGATTAGAAAGAATGAACAAATCGAGTAAATTTCCTCTCGGGCTCCGTCTCTCCCTCTATAAACATTTATTAAGCATCTAATTTAAAACTAAAAATTGTAAAAATGTCGGAAGGAAACAGTTGTTACATACACTCCTTTATTATTGTGAACTGAAAGCAGATTACAAAGTTTTAAAAATTATTCAAGGATATTCAGTGCACGCAGTCGTGAAATTTGATTCCAAGAGAGGTACGCGCATTTAGCCCTTCACTTAAACTGTATCATAAAGCCACTACAAGAGATGTACCTTCCCACCCTCACGTAATCTTTTTGCAATCACTGCTGGCAAGCCAACATTTGTGGTGATTTCAGATTAGGAGCCTGGCATCTTTGCTATAATCAAAACCTTATTCTCCCCTCTCCGCTCCTCCACTCCTTACCTTAATGAAAGTGCAAAAAACTAGTTTTACTGGGGAGGGAGGCAAGGAAGGAAGGAAGAGAAGAAGGAAAGGAGGGAGGAAAGGGGGTGGCACAGACCCAAGGAGGGAGTGAAATGAAGGAATGAGAGCGCTGTCCCTTTTTCTCGCTTTTGCTTTAGGAGCTCCCTGCCTGCCTGTCCCCGCGGGTCGGGGAGCTGCACCTCTTGCAGGCTCGGCTCTCGGCCCCGCCCCCTAGCGTCGGAGCCCGGGAGCCGCGGCTGCAGCCTATCTCTTTAAATGACAGCTGAGGCTCGGGTCCCAGTCCGGGGCTTGACGTCAGTGCCTCCTCCCGTGCTGCCAGGAGTAGTTAGCGCCACCGTCGGCGCTCCGGCCTCGCGGCACGCTTGCAAGCTGCCGGGGCGGCGAGTTTTCTTTGCTTCGGCCCCTCCTCCCGCCCTCCCCACGGAGAGCCGAGCAGCAGCCCTAGAGCCTCTCGCAAGTCTCTCTCACACTTCCCCGCCCTCGCCCCAAAGGAGCAGCAGCTCCTTCTTGCCTCTCCATTGCCGCCGCCGCACCGGCGGAGCTCCTCTCTCGCGCGTCTCTCCTCCGATGGAGCTCGGGCGCCGCCGACGCCGCCGCTGCCCCGAACCCTGAGCGGGGCCGCCCCGGTCGGAGGAACGCGCCGCCCAGTCCGAGGGCGCAGAGCGCCAGGAGCACGCGGAGGGCTGGGGCGCGGGCTCCGGGAACGAGAAAGTGCAGCTCTCTCGGGTCACTGGGCCGGCGGCGGGGGGACTATGGCTCTGAAGGACACGGGCAGCGGCGGCAGCACCATCCTGCCCATTAGCGAGATGGTTTCCTCGTCCAGCTCGCCCGGCGCGTCGGCCGCCGCCGCCCCGGGGCCCTGCGCACCCTCGCCCTTCCCTGAAGTAGTGGAGCTGAACGTAGGCGGCCAGGTTTATGTGACCAAGCACTCGACGCTGCTCAGCGTCCCGGACAGTACTTTGGCCAGCATGTTCTCGCCCTCTAGTCCCCGTGGCGGCGCCCGGCGCCGGGGCGAGCTGCCCAGGGACAGCCGGGCGCGCTTCTTCATCGACCGGGACGGCTTCCTTTTCAGGTACGTGCTGGATTATCTGCGGGACAAGCAACTCGCGCTGCCGGAGCACTTCCCCGAGAAGGAGCGGCTGCTGCGCGAGGCCGAGTATTTCCAGCTCACCGACTTGGTCAAGCTGCTGTCGCCCAAGGTCACCAAGCAGAACTCTCTCAACGACGAGGGCTGCCAGAGCGACCTGGAGGACAACGTCTCGCAGGGTAGCAGCGACGCGCTGCTGCTGCGCGGGGCGGCGGCCGCCGTGCCCTCGGGCCCGGGAGCGCACGGTGGTGGCGGCGGCGGCGGCGCGCAGGACAAGCGCTCGGGCTTCCTCACGCTGGGCTACCGGGGCTCCTACACCACCGTGCGCGACAACCAGGCCGACGCCAAATTCCGGCGTGTGGCGCGCATCATGGTGTGCGGGCGCATCGCGCTGGCCAAGGAGGTCTTCGGGGACACGCTCAACGAGAGCCGCGACCCCGACCGGCAGCCGGAGAAGTACACGTCCCGCTTCTACCTCAAGTTCACCTACTTGGAGCAGGCCTTTGATCGCCTGTCCGAGGCCGGCTTCCACATGGTGGCGTGTAACTCCTCGGGCACCGCCGCCTTCGTCAACCAGTACCGCGACGACAAGATCTGGAGCAGCTACACCGAGTACATTTTCTTCCGTAAGTTCGCAGCCCCGGCGTTTCCCAGCACCCCTCGCCCCCTGCTGAGCCGCCGCCAGTTTGAGCCCCGCTGGAGGCCCCGCGGGGGTGTCCGGGGCAGGCGCTGGTTAACTCCTTATAGAGAGCGGCTCTCCCTGCACGATTCCCTTATGCAGTAGACACGATTTACATTTCACCGATTCGGATATTTCCGTCTCTACTCCCCCTTTCTAGAACTCAGTAGCACCCAGCTCCCAGCTGTCTACTTGCTGAACTTTATTGATCTTGCCTTCTCGGCCCAGCCCGCTCCCAGATGCCAGGGTCTCCTCGGTTGCGGAGGACAGGGTGGGAGAGACTGGGGCACAGGGCAGGGTGCATAGACCCTCCTCCACCCCTTTGCTTTTGCAGGACTGCTGGGGGTCATTTCATGTGGCCCTCAGTGGTGTCCCTGCAGAGGGCAGGATGCCATAACAAGGCATCGCCTCGCACCACCTGGATCACCTGCTGTTGGTGCAGCTGCCGCGCGGGAGCCTCCAGTTACGGGTGGTTTTCTAGAGGGCAGGGGAGAAGCGATAAAGGTGCCCCCAGAGCCCCTCGAGGGGGCGGGGGCATGAGAGCGGGTGTGGGGAAAGGGGACTCCTTGACAGATGGAAACCCAGATTTCCCTGCGTCTGTTATCTCCAGTCTAATTGCCCAGTGTTTGGGACAGGGGAGGGTGGAAGGAATTAGAAAGTTTGCATGTCTGAGTGCTGCTCTTAGGGTTGGAGATTAGGAGGGGCAAGGGAGGAGGGAGGGAAGGTGTTGGGGAGGGAGGGGAAGAGAAAGAGAGAATGATTGTGTTTCCTTCTCCAGCGCGAAAGCGGGGGTTGAGTCCACTTTCTCAGGGTGAATAAATAGAGCGATTTTCTGAAATGAGAGAATGAAGGAATAGATTTGGGAAAGCATCTGGGGTGCGTTTTGCAGTGCGCTTCCGGAGCGGGCTATGTGGAGTTCAAGAACTATACCAAATACCATAATCTGAACCTGGGGATTGGGAGTGGGATTGGGAGTGGGGTGGGGCTGTGGTGGGCACAATTCTCAGTGGCGTTTATGAAGTGAAAAGACAACGACTAGAGAGCGATTTGGACAAACGAAAAGCCAGCTGGGATGGCAGCAGGAACATTATTTGGCAAAGGTTTTTCCTTTGGCCAGACACAAGTTAAAACTTGCCTGTAGCATAGGGAGAATAGCCTTGAAATCCTGTGATGGAAATAGACCAGCTTAAATTGAATTTATTTATTTTGGTAATTTAGTCACTACAGTAATTGGGAACTGAACAATTTTCTGGACTTTATTTTGACTGGAGAAATGGAAGGGAACTCTCCTTGCACAGGTGCAAGCTTAACTGGAAGGTTGGCTTAGTGTTTGTATATTCTGGTAACCTTGGAAGTTGGGTGACAAACCACAGCACACAGGTTCTCAGAGTTAGACTACTTTTTAAAGTAATGCTGGATTTCTTGAGACAACGGTTTCAACAGAGAAGCAAATGAAGTGTCTGTCCACTGAATTGGAAGCTAAAAAACTGTCTTAATTATATCAAAGTATTACTTGTTACACAATAAAAAGATTAATGGTCAGAAAAGCCACCCAAGGGAAGATATTTTATTGCTTGTATAAAATTGACATCTCTTAAATATATATTGAGTAATTAAGTATTTTAGCACCATTTTATTTCTTATCATTGTGACCTTTGTCAACAACTTTTTAGATTTTAAACCATTTAAGTCATTTCAATGTAGATTTCCAAACATTTCAGAAGATAAGGTAAAATGAACTTTTGCCTTTCTTGTAGTTAGTGTTTTTTGTTAGAGAAGATACAAGCATGAATGTTCTGCACAGTTTTCTGAAATTTTGAAAATCTTACTTGGTTTTGGTTTTTCTTATTCCTCTAGAAAGATGTGGACATGAAAATGATCATTACTTTGATTATGAAGAGATAATACAGGTTATCTCTACATTAGGAAAAAAGTGCCCTTAGTATATTGAAACTGGAAACTTAGTTAATTTAGCTAATGGGATAAATTTGAGAGATATTTGAAATTCAGGATGTTTCACTTCTAGAGCTACAGAAGTGTTAAATATTCATATTATGAATAACTACTTTCAGAGTACTCATATTATTAATGACCTCTGAAATTCATTCATAAAAAGTCCCAGAAATCTAAGGAGGCAACCTATTTTGGGAGAAAATATGCAATTCCAGATTAAATATTGTTCTTTTGAAGTGGTAAGCTAGTCGTTGATCAACCAGGTGGAGTTGTCATTTTAAATGTTGGATGTAAAATTTGTCTTGAGTACTAGAATACATATATTTATTTTATTTTTTACAGCTTTCATTATATTTTTACACATTATTTTGAATGGGATTCATTTTAATATTTGGTGAATGAAAACACACTGTAAAATGTATTTCCATCGTATTCAGTTTAGTTGATGACCAAATGTGTTTATCTTATTTGGCAAGTTTCTATTTAAAAAGATTATCGGTGTTACTCATAAGAGCAAAGTTACTGGGTGACCTTGTTTGTCCACTTATGTTTTAGATGCAGAAAATAACCTTAATAGCTTTTATTTCCCCCTTTGACACCCTTTTTTTCAGCAAATATTTATTTGTTGTGTGACATTTATTTAGTGTATAACAAGTATCAGTCACTTTAACACCTTTTAAAATCCAGGTGACATGTGAACTTAGTAGTTGAAACTGTTGTAGTTTACACACTTGAGCATCAATGTTATTCCCCCCCAACCCCCGTCACCCCCACCACACCTGAGTTTCTGCAGTAGAGGGGAAGAAAGTGGCAAATGGTTCAGTAATCCCAGATACTGTTATTTTCCAACTGTGTGATCTTGGTTAAATTATTTACTTGTTCTCTGTCTTGGTTTCCTCACCTGTATTACAGGAGTTATCACAGTATCAGTTTTATAGGATTTGAGAATATACATGTAGTGCTTAGATTAGTGCCTGACTCATAATAAAAGCTTAACAAATGTTAGCTGTTAACTATTGTAATATGTTACTGTTTTTATTGTTCTCGTCAACATTAAATTTTAATTTTGTTTTATAGTAAGTATAATTAATTTAATTGTAAAGTTAATGGAAAAATTATTTTGCAATTAAATGATAGCATACTATACTTTCAGAATTATGAAATAACCAATTAAATAACTAATTTCTTTCTTTGAATTTGAATTTGAATTTTTCAGGCCAAGTCACCAAAGGTTGCTAATCATATTCCAATTGGTTTTTCTGGATTGACTCCAACAGAACCCATTTCCGATTCAGGGCCAAGAAGTGTTTTAGCACTAGGACTTGAAACTTTGGCAATATATTCTGATAAATATTGAGCTAGATTCATATCTCCTTAAGTGCTTGTATCCAAGTCACTGGGTTTTTATGCTCAAGGTTATATACAGGCTATTAAACTTTAATATCAGCTTTATTTGGCTACATGAACCCTTATATCTGTTCTCAGTCTTAACTCATTGTTTATCAAGTGTTTTTAGTACACTGCAACATATACTGGTACTATTAAATTCTATATTATTCTTCTAATACTGAAGATGGATTGTCCTTTCTTGGGGGAAAAACAGTGATTTATTGTGCTTTCTGTTTTTAAGAGATGTCTGCTGAGTGTCATTGTGGCTGCCTTTAGCAATATCTGGGAGACAAAAAAAGACATTTTATGTTGGCAATGAATTATATAGAATATAGATAACATGCCTGGAATGTGACAAGTTGATTATCATTAGATAAAAACTACCTTTTTATGTTTTCTTTCTCATAATCAGTGAGTTTGCAGAAAAGATAGTGCTGATGTATTGCTCTTCTAACAGTGCTTCAAGTTTTGAACTCCATATTTTGGTTGAGCAGTATGTGTGTGAATGTACACCTTTCTCTAGGTTGTACTTGATATTCTTTAAATTTGGTATATCTTTTTTTGTTTGTTTGTTTGATACATGAAAATGCCAGATCTAGGAATTAATGCTGTTACTGAACTGGGCTGGGAAATGTAATTTGTCTTAATGAATTTTTATATCCACTCTTTCAAATTCATTCTGATTTATTTCACTGTGTTGAGTTGAAGAAAACTAGTTGAGTTGAAAATATTCAAACAGCTATTCAATCCTGGGCTAGCATGCTTGCTGAATTTAAGAGCTTTCTAAGACACATCTTTAAAAATCATTCTGTTTAGGTGAATACCATTAAAATTGCATCTTTTATGAGCCTAAAAATACTTCTTTGATTACCAAACATCATTTTATGGAAGTTAATTTTGTTAACCACAATTTTAAAAGTTGATTATTTTTCTCCCGAGTTACTACTTATTTTTACAATTACAATGTGAAAATTTTCTCTGCAGCCACATGGCTGAATGACTTTTGAATTAGTGAGGAATAAGCAAAAGCAGAGGATAACTTTTTAAAACATCAAGATTCTGATTTAATGTAGCTAGTTCCAGTAATAAAGCAGACAAAATGACAAAAATCTTGGAGTGCAAAAAGTTTAGAGGCTGTGCTATGACACCGATTGTTGTTTAATGGCATTGAACTTTTATATCTGGCATAATTCTGTCTTTGAACTTATATTTTTTTGTATTGCTATGGCTTTGGCTTTCCCTGCCACCTTTTTCAGCTTTGTGTGGGTCAATCTTTATGCAGGTAATGAAGCTGAAAAACTGAGTGGCTACAAGCTTTATTTGACAAGGTTCTTTCTCTTGTAGCTTAGGATGCTAGGACTTGCAATTTGTGTGTGTGTGTGTGTGTGTGTGTATACCTTAGTTAAGAAAAAGCCTCTTTGGAAAAAAGAAATATGTATAAAACCAGTATTTAATTATTATCTATTTGACTGTCATAAATTATTAGCTGGAATTTGTTTAAAAATGTGAAAATGATTGTCTGCTTGTCATTTAAAAGTCACCCTTTTTATAGTTAATAAGTTTTTAAATTTTTTATTTTTTTGAGACAGAGTTTTGCTCTGTCACCCAGGCTGGAGTGCAGTGGTGTGACTCGGCTCACTGCAACCTCCGCCTCCCAGGTTCAAGTCATTCTCCTGCCTCGGCCTCCCGAGTAGCTGGGATTACAGGCACCTGCCACCACGCCCAGCTAATTTTTGTATTTTTAGTAGAGATGGGGTTTCACCGTGTTGGACAGGCTGGTCTTGAACTCCTGACCTCAGGTGATCCACCTGCCTAGGACTCCCAAAGTGCTGGGATTACAGGCGTGAGCTGCCATACCTGTCCATAATTTTATATATAGTTAATTGATAATCTATATCTTTAAATGTTCTCATTACAAAAAATAAGATTAAATAACTCTTTAAAATCATAAAAGTAGTACATTTAGTTTTAGGGACTTTTGTTAAAAAAAAAAGTGCAGTTTTAATCAGCACCACTAGTAAGTGCCAATAAAATCTTAATTCATTTCCTTCCAGTCTTTTTTCTGTGTACACATAGATAAAAAGACATATTTTTAAAAAGTCATGGTCATACTATATAGCTGGTTTATATGCTATCTTTTTTTGGTTTATTTGGTTTTATACATTTAATAAGTTTACACATTTAATGAAATTTCCCCCATGACATTAACATTTTTATTGACATCTTAAATAACAAAAGTACAATACATATACATTGCCACAGTTTTATAAATATTGGTATCGAATATTTTGTTTGTAAGCCCAGAAAAAAATTTGATTATTTCAAGGTACAGAATCTGTTAAAAAATTTACTATCACATTTATTGTCACCTAATTTTATGCTAAGTGTTTTGCATACATTACTTTGTTTATTTCTTATAACATTCCTTGAGCTTGACATTAGTTCCCTAATAGTTCAATTAGAACACTATGATTTAGGACATTAAGTAACATCCCTGGTTCATAGAGCTTGTATAGGGCTGAGCTGGGATTTGAATAGTTCTGTCTTATTTCAAAGCCCTTACTCTTAAAACGTTGAAAAATAATGCCTGTTTCTGGCAGTCAATTTGGCAAATATATTTCAGTGTCTACTGAGTACTTAGAACTTCTGTTTATAAGCAAAAAAGTGTGGTCTGAAACGTATATGAGTGAACTCAAAATTTTAAAATTTATGTTAAATTTCCATAGAAATATAGTAAATATATACTTTATGTCTTGCTGGAAGGGTTATTTTATGGATTAATGCTATCGTATTCATGAATATTTTTATAGTTAAAGAAAATAAAGCATTTGAGTCCATTTAACACTTTTGAGGGTAACCAAGTTATAGGTTTGATAAAACAGTAATACCTGTAGGCTCGATAAACTGACTTAAAGTGTATTTTTTTTTTAGTAGTAGTATGAGTCTGCACCACCAGAGGTTTTGCAAGGACTTACCTAAAGATCAGAATAATTTTATTTACAAGATTTCAAAGTCATTCCAACAAGTAAATTAGCTACTTTATAATTTGTAAGTATAATGGAAAATATAGGTGTCATCTGCCTATCAGCCATATATGTCTCATTATTAGTTTCTATTAATGATACCAGTTTCTGATTAGTGTCTGATTGTCATACAAATTTAGTTGTATTTTGCTTTTTTAAAAAAGTGAAAATATATGAAGTATTCTGTGCTGAGTGTATATCATTTATAAGTTTATTCCCTGACCCATTGGCTTTTCAGGGTACCTCTTGGCATCATAGTCATGTAATGCTAAGTGAACCCCTGCTGTAGAATCCTTCACACTTCTCTGTCTTTTCTGTGTGCACTAGGATAGGTCCCTCATTGTGTTTCCTACAATTTGTAATGATCTTTTCGCATGTTGATCTTCTACAGTAGGTTTCTGTCTCTGTGCCTGAAAGTGGTATTCTCAGCCCCTCAGGGCAGAGGCTAAGGCCACATTAAGAACTTAAAAAATATTTGTTTTCTGAATGAAAGTGTGAATTAAGGAATGAACTAGAGATGTTGGAATTTCCATTAGGTTGTTACTGAATTTGAGGTTTAGTTTCACTTCAAGATAAAGTGCATTTATTGAACAACCTACCAGGCTAAAGCGTGGGTAAGACATACACATATGAATAAGACAGAGACCTTGTATTTAAGGTGATCACAATAAACTTTATATAATTGTGAATTATGTTATAGAGAGGTTACTTAGTATTTTAAAAAGAGGGCAAAAAGCAGGAGTAATGACATGAGAAGTTGTTACATAAGCACCTATATGAAATGAAAATAAGTAAAATGTTAACTAAAATATGGAACAGATTAAAATAATGTTATAAATGAAGTTGTTAGATTTGGAAACACACACATAAAGGTGCACACACACACTTCTTTATATTTAAATTATTGGTGGAAGCTGGGTGCGGTGGCTCACGCCTGTAATCCAAGCACTTTGGGAGGCTGAGGTGGGTGGATCACCTGAGGTCAGGAGTTCAAGACCAGCCTGGCCAACATGGCAAAATCCCATCTCTACTAAAAATACAAAAAATTAGCTGGGCGTGGTGGCGGGCATCTGTAATCCCAGCTACTTGGGAGGCTGAGGCAGGAGAATTGCTTGAACCCAGGAGGCAGAGGTTGCAATGAGCCGAGATCCCACCGTTGCACTCCAGCCTGGGAAACAGAGTGAGACTCTGTCAAAAACATAAATAAATAAATAAATAAATAAATAAATAAATAAATAAATAAAAATAAATGATTGGTGGACTAGAAGTTGTAAGGGATCAAAAATTAACTGACTTCATTAATTTAGAGTGTTGGGCAAATATTCCATACCCCAACATACCATAGGTAGTGTTAAGTACTTGCTTTAAAAAAATCTTAGATGCAAAGAGAATATTGCCTCCTGACATAGGCTTTATTATGTAAATTAAATGTAGGAAGTATCTGATAATACTGATAAGGTATCTGTAAAAGTAAGGATCTGGTTAATTCTATCTTACAATCTTGATTCATTTTTTAAAAGGCATCTTAAAATATACTTAACAGGTATTACTGTTTAATAATATTACAATATTGGTTTTACTTATATTTCTTAACCTTGTGTCAAAGTAGTTAATAAAAATAAACCAACTTTGCTGGTAATAACAACAGACAGCTTCATGATTCCTAACTGGACACTTAACTAGTTCTGTGCTTATTCAACATTAAACTTAGTTAAATGTATGTTCAAAAGTTAACTTGGAATATTATTTCTACCATATTGTAACCAGTCTCTCATTAAACCCTGCTTTTATCGGGGAAAAAAGCAAATAAAATGGAAGAAACTAATATAATAAAGAAATATGTAGTATTGACTTAATATCACCAGAATAGTGAATGATTTAACCACTCAGTTTTGTTATTTTGGTTGATTTCACCAGTTACAATATCAAAAATCTTGAGAATAGGATTCATATTATATTGCTCTTTCTCATCATTTGGCATAATTAGGTGTGCTTTCTAATTTTTGGTATAAGTAAAATAGGGAGAGTAGTACTGTGTTTATGGAGTGACAATGCCAGAATCTGTTGGCCTCTACTCCTAAGAGGTGAATACTTGAACACAATGAATGTTTTAATACTTCTAAATCAGATACCTTGAAAAATTCTGGCTGTAGCTTTAAGATCTTGGGAAAATAATTTCATGCTCCCTCCTGAAGGGAAAGTGAGAGAAACAATTGTATTCACTTTAAAGCTTTGTTATGAGGATCAAATAAAGCAGTCCACAGTTAGAATGGTATCAGGCACAGATGGTATCAGGGACACAATTAAAAGCTCAACACATGTTAGCTTTTGCCACTTACTAATTTAAGGGCCTCACAATAATGCATAGGCAATCCCATTTCTTTACAATAATTCTCAGTACCAGATTTCTTCTCTTTTTCTTTTTAAGGAAGTTGAAAGCAACTCCTATCTAAAAGCTGCCCTGAAAAGGTCCTGTTATCATTAATGAGTTCTTACTTTTTAAAATTATTGACCTGCTAAGTATAAAATAAATTGTAATGTATTTTTAAAATAAGTCTATTCTGGTTGGTTTTTCATTGATTAGGTGGAAAAATGTACTCTTCCAGGTCCAGTGCTGGTCACTGGTTAATTATGACACAATTAAAAATAATACTTATAGTCAATGGAAATTGTCTCAAACTCTGGGGCAAGGCACTTCTTAATCATAATCTTTATTTATATTTCTGATGAGGGCTTTTAGTTTGCAGTTTCAACAGTTTTATGCAAAATGACAAATTGTCACAGAGCCAGATGGGCTCAAATACTGCCCAGAGTCTAGGCATTTGGCCAAAATTTCAGGCTAGATTTTGGATTCAAATACATATCTTCACAATTTTAAGAAAACTATGTTAGCTGTCAATCAGCTCTAATTGAAACCACTCTGACATATCTTCAATATAAGTTTTCTAGTTGCTCAAAGTCCAGGTATTTGAAGAAACCAGAGAGATCTGAGGCAGATGCTGGCAGACATTCAGAAATAATTCTCCAATATTCTGATCTCTTTTCTTCTGGTTGGTGAGTCTGCACCTAGCATGTCTCCTTGTAAGGATTCATACATATGATTCCAAAGTGACTTTTGCTTTTGATAAGAAAAGTTGCTACAGTGGCAGCTTTATAGTGAGTGGTGGGAGGTAGCAGGTGTGGTGGTCGCAAATTATTGGTATCATTTATATGGTGGTTTTGGGGATGAATCCTTCTAATGGTGATTCTCGTTTAGAGTAAAAGAGAAAGAGATTTAGAATCAAAGTCTTTGGGCTATATTCTTAACCTTCATCACTGTGTAGATTTGTTTTATTTTGTGGTTCTTTACTTTTCTATAGCTCAGTTCTTTAGGGAGAAAATGGTAGAAATTGATCGTCTTTTTCACCTTATCTCCATGTAGTGCCATAAGTATTGTGTGCCAAGTAATCTGTGCTAAATAAAAATAGAGTATTTGTCCTTACTTTAGGGTGTCAGGCTGTCATTTCTGTTAAAAATGTGTTGAGTATATTGCTATTAATAAAACATTTACTGAGGTGAAACACCTTTTCATGCTCTATTTCATTTAACGATTTTCAAAAAAAATCAGAAACATAAAAACTATCAAACTGAGGGAAATCCAGATTAGATTAATTTTAAGGTACTGAATCATATCTCTTCTTCAGTTCATTTATATTTATTCATGCATTCATTAACCGATATTATAAACTAAGCAGCCTCTTAGATATTGAAGGTGTGGTAGTAAACAGTAGTGAACATATTTCCTACCTTTCATGACTGGGACGATGACATTTGTAAGATATGTGCATTGCCTGACTTTAGACTGCACATGGTAGGTGAATGACATGCCTAATAGATACATAAGATACAAGTTGTGAGGCTCCTGTGAGTGCTCCTTGGCCACTTCTTGAGGCACATTGGGCAGTGTATACTCTCCTTGCCTCTGCAGACATACACAGCTCATTTTCCAACTTGCAGGTATGGGACTTGTGAGTTGCTTTAAGGGTTAAATAACCCAGGCTATTTATGGCCAATCTTGAAGTTTCTTTGGTTAAAAAAAAAAAAAAACTTTCAAAATCATTGTGCACTTCTGGACAGTTTCATGAGTGAATTAAGGGAAACAAAAATCTAGAGTAATGTAATATTTAGGGTTGAAGGCTCTTTATTTTATGGCCTCTGTGAATTATTCATTTTATCCTCTTAAATTAATGGTTTTGGAGGAAGGTGCCAGCATTGTCAGCAGAGCAGTGGCCTTTGTGTGAAAGAGCACCAGTCGTACCTTTTGCTAAGGCTGCAGTTTTGTAGTCTTTGCTTAGATGTTATTGTCATTTTTTTTAAAGTTTCTAGTATGAAAATTTAAACATCAAGGAAAAAGAATTGTTTATTAAAAACTCCCACATATACACCTCCTAATTTCAACAATAACCAAAGCATCACTTCATGTCTGTTTCTTTTTTGCTGAAGAACTTTAAAGCAAACCCCAAATATTATTTCACCCCTACATACTTTAGTATCTAAAAATGCATATTTAAAAACATAACCACTATTCCATTATCAACCCTAACAAGATAAATAATATTTCTTGTCAATATCTGATACATCATTCATAATCATATTTCTAAGTTTGTCTCAAAAATATAGCCTTTTTAAAAATAAAGCTCAGGACTATAAATCTTATTTTTATGTCTTTTTTTCTGTTAATATAAGATAGTCTCTCTTCTTTGACTCTCACTCCATCCATCTCTGTTTCTCTTTACATGTAATGCCATCAATTTGTTTACAGAAGGAGGTCTTGTTGAGCTGATTAATGTCCCCTGTTCTGAATATATGGCTGCTTGCTTTCTTGTAGTATCATTTAAATTGTTCTTCTGTACCAATATTTTGTGTAAGTGGACATTGACTCGACCATGACTATATTCAACTTCTTTTGTTTTTAGGCAAGACTCTTTTGTTTTTAGGCAAGACTATTTATAGGTGATT
This sequence comes from Homo sapiens, assembly GCF_000001405.40. Taxonomy (NCBI): domain Eukaryota; kingdom Metazoa; phylum Chordata; class Mammalia; order Primates; family Hominidae; genus Homo; species Homo sapiens. The sequence continues at coordinate 44,436,146 of NC_000004.12, read as the reverse complement.
CTGTGCCAATTTGCCCCACTAATCAGTTGATGTGAGTGGTGTCAGTCAAATCCCTCCATTGTAACTTCGCATCAAACATTTATTTGATAGTTGTATGATTGAATACAATTGCCTGATTCAAGTATTACCATAAGGGATACAAAACTGTGGTTTTCTAATTTGTGTTTTCCATATTTATTAGCTGGAAGAACTTTCCCTGAAGAACTGCTTAAAATATTGTTCACAGAGGAAAGGCAGGGCAAATGCTTAAGTATTTCTTATTCATAGCCAGTTTTCACAGTGGGAGGACAACCGATCACCTATAGAAGCCCATCTCAATGGGATCAGGAAATTTGGTTTGTAGCCACCTAGCCTCCTCATGCTAGTATACAGCAGGCACATCTGCCATATCCTGCACACCTGGTGCTTCATTTGAATTTGGAAAGAATATCTGATAGGCTTGTAATTTTTATTGAAATACCTACAACTGTATTCATATTCATACACATTTCATTTCTGCAAAAACATCGTTGCATAACTCCCCTTATGGCATTTCTTTACGTATTAATGTGTATGTCATAGAAATGAGACTGGTAATTTTAATCTCATAATTTTCAGTGCTTACTTGCAAGTTATCAATTCGGAAAAGTACAAGAAGTAGGATTTCAGTTTGGATAATAAAAAATACCTGGAGAATATTTATATTGTTGAAGTGTATAATTTTGAAATGGTCATATTAGAGTCTAGAATAAAAGAATATCTGTTAAATTGTTAGACAATTGTAGTTGTGATAAAGAGCATGAGGATTCTGGCAAGGATTAGAGAAAATCAGAGATCTTGGCTTACCTTTTGTTTTTGCCACTTTATAGTTATTAATTTCATGAAAATCACTTAAATTCCTTGAGGTTATTTCCCCATCTCCCATTTGAGGAATGATGTGAGCATAAAAGAGAAGACACTTGCTAGGTGTTTTTAGCATCTCAGTTGAATTGTACTATATGAATTGAATCAGTAGTGAAAAGAGCCCATAAATTGCTTCGAAGTAAAAAACAAGGAAGAAAGTAGATTAGAAGCTATTCTACTCTTCATAATTTAGGTAAGATACAAGTTGAAAGTTCTATGCAAGCTATTTGCCAGGTGAATAACTTTCTCCTGTCATTGGAGTATGAATTAAATCAGTGAAGTGCAAGATATAGGGTAGATAGAGTACAATTATGGACAGTGATAATGCCTGTAAATTGTAATAAATAATCCCACAAAATCCCATGAATGACAGCAATTACTAGGTGACTTCAAACTCCTCAGAGAAATTCCTTGTTAATCCTGAAGTGGGCATTCTGGCCAGTCGAGTTAAGGGCGATAATTTCACACTAGATCTGGTCTCTTTTCCCTATGGAGTAAAGTCTTGCACTGTGTCTGACAGTACTATTTCTTGTGTGAAGTATTGAAAGATGGTATGTTAGGTAGGCTTTTAAAACTGATGATTTCTTCAGTTAGAGACAGTGCTTTCTTTTTTTGTTCAACTTGCTCTCCATGCTCATTAAAGCCTCACACTATGTCTGGCAGCAAGTTGTCACTTAGCAAATATTTATTGATTTAAGTAGGGAAGCTGTGTGATGGGTGAGTATAGACATCTTATGACTGGGTTTAGGAGTGTTCTCGAGTAAACCAGGGCTGCATTTATACCCTATTTCCTTTAGTTAATAACTGTGTGACTTTGGCTAAGTCATTTATTTACTCTGTACTTTGGTTTCCCTTTTGTAAAATTATCAGAATAATAGTACATATTTCAGAGAGTTGCCCCAAGGATTAAATGATATGACGCATAGAAAGCACTTGGCATGGTACCTTTTGCAAAGTCAAGGCTCACTAAAGTTAACTATTTTACTTGTTATTTATAGACAGTTATGGTGAAATAGAGAAGGAGGTAATTGCCTTGAACTGAATGGAGAGTTCAGGGAAGGCATTAGAGAAAAGGTGACATTGCAAATTATTGACAGAAATGTGGGCATTCATGTAAGAGAGCTTGGGAGCTTTGCTAGTTCATGCAAAAATGGCATGTTCGGGGAATAGTTTGATTTGGCTGGATATCAGGGGAAGTGTTGGAAGAAAAATCTGGAAATGTAGGCAAAGGAAATATGATGTAGCACATTCAATATCAGGAAAAGGATTTTATATCAGAATGTGCATTTTCAAAAAGCAACTGTGGCAGCAGACTGCACATAGAATTGGGGAAACTAAATGTGTTTGGATAGTTGGTGGGTATTGAAAACATTGAGGCTAGGGATGAGTCAGATGAACATTAGTGGAGATAGGGAGTAAGGGACAAATTCTAGTGCTATATAGGTGGTATAATCAAATGAACTTTGGGAGGAAGGAAGTCAGACAACTGGCAGCTGGCCTGTGATTGATTCATTTCTTTTACCAGGGGTATGTCTTGGTGGAAAAAATAAGGAAATAGGTGACCCAGTCTAATCTCCATGTCAACTGGCTGGCCAAATAAAAGATGAATGATATTTCTAGGAGGAAGAGACTGTATCTAGTGAAGGCCTTTATCAGATGTCTTGTAGTAAATAAGTACAGAATCTATGGGGTATGGCTCACTGGAGAATATCATATAAACTATTCATTTTTCTTTGGGAGTGTAAAATGCAGACTTATATACTCCCATCTGTGAAGAGCTCCATAAAACCTTCCTTGAATTTCTCATCAGTCATTCTGGGTCCCATGTGGGACAGAAGAAACTGGGAAACCAAGTGGGATGTCCCAGACCTTTCTTTGTTTCATCTAGTCCTGCACTTTTGAAATTATTAGTGAAAGTTTATACTCTTATCTCCAATTCATGGGAGTCTGATTAGATCATCTGCTCCTATGTCTTAGGTCAGACTTTGTGATCTATTGGATGTGGAGAAGACTGAGAAAAAGATATAGGTAATGACTCCAGAGTTGGTGATGGCTTTATCTTAGAGAGGATATACTGGATGAGTGAGTCCCTGCTTCTGTCCCTAAGGAGAAAATAATAAAGTCAATTTTAGATCCATTAAAATTTAAGGTATCTGTGTAAGTTTCAGGTGGAAATGTTCCATATGCAAGCTCTGGAGGTCAGATAAATAATCAGTGAATTTGGAGAGAAAGATAACTGTGCTGAGGTTCTTGAATGGTGATAAAGAGGAGCCTGGAAATGATATTGACAAGGGCCAGTCAGACATTAGAAGTAACAGAAGAGAAGAGTGGTTATGGAAGCTATGGGCGAAACAAGTTTTAAGTGCAAAGAATGTGTACTTAACAATACAAATGCTCCAGAGAGTTGATTGTAGATTAAGACTAAAAATATCAATTAGATTTGCCACTTAGGAGTTTATTAGTGATTTTAGAGATAATGAAAGAAAATTATAAACTTGCAATGGTAACAAATTGCAGAACTGGAGGTAGTCTGGTGTGGTTACATAAATAGAGAGGGAAGATAATGGGATTGACCTCATTTGTGGATTCTTAGTGTGGGTGTTATGAAGAACAGATCAGAGCTAGTTAATGCTGATAAAAGCGTAGTTAATGCAACCAGTTGCTTCTTCCAGGATGGGTAAAGAAATAAATAAAGCTGTATTAGTCTGAGGTACCTGTAGTAGTATCACCTGGGATGCTGGTAAAAATTGAGCATTTGTTCCCTACTGAATTCAGATCTCTGGGGAATAGTGCTTGGGCTATTCTCTAAGACACTTCCCATATTGTTTTAGAACACGTCTAATATAAACAAGAGGATTCTGAAAAAGATTATGGTTTTGCTAAACTATTAAGTGAAAAGAGGACAGAGATCTGTATGTATAGAATGCTATTAACCATATTTAGAAAGAAGCAAATAAATATCCATTCATTAAAAAACATGGAAGGAAATGCACTTAATTATATCTATGTTGTAGGATACTGGATATAAATAATTTTTTTTACAAATCTTTTAGTTGCAGCTTTTTATTTTATAATTAAAATAAATTGTAATTATTAAAAAATAAGAGCTAATAAATAATATCTATTTCTATATAGTAGATTGTAGATATAGGAATAAAATACTGGCTCCAATAAAATGTTTTAATAAGGATAAAAGAGAGAAAGGACATAAAGACATTTTAACCTGAGTTAGATATAGGGGGAAAGGAATTTGAGAAGAACACGTAAAAGCAGAGCTTTGTGAAAATCAAATCTCATGTACCGTATTTCATAATTTTGTCTAGGGAAGCCCATGCTCTTATATTCCAGAGATTACAGATGTTCAAGCTCTCAACTTTTAGCCACTTTTTTGACCAACAGCCAAACTGTCAAGGTGTCGTGGAACAAATAATAAAAAATTACAAATCATTTAACAGAATCAATACAGTAATGTGGAGGAAACATCAGTCTGAAAAATGCTAGGGTCACAAATCCCAGTTTTGTTAAGAAAATCCAAAAGACCATCTTAGAGGAATGGCTGAAAAATGCCATGTATTTCTGGTCACCTGAGTATATCTGTCAAAAGATACCCTGATAAGAATTGGATACAGGAGACTAGAATATTCTTTGGAAGACATAGAGTAAGGTTTTTTTTGTTGTTGTTGTTTTTAAAATTAAATTTTTTTATGAAGCTCAGCATTGCCAGATTCTAGTGACTGTATCAAATTCACATATTTTGACTGGGTAATCATTATAGGCTAAACTCTTCAAGGAAGGGTATCAAAATGTTTGTATCATAGATATCATCCTTAGCTTAGGGGATTTACAATATAGGTGGGGAAACAAAATAAGTAAGATCTTTATCCCGAAGATAATAGCAAATATTAAAGATACTGAGACAAGAGAAGACATGAAGGGAGTGGATTGTAACAAGAAAGGCCTTTGGGAAAAGGGGTGGATAGGAGAGAAACTGAAGAAATAATTATTGTGCTTTTGTGAGAATGGGGGTGTATCAGAACTTTCTCTACTTTCTATTCAGTTTTGCTGTGAACTGCTCTAAAATAGTTTATTAATTTAAAAGAAACTAAAACAAATTTTAAAAATTAAGGGGGATTAACTTTGTCAGTGGTTGCTTAATACCTATTCTTACGTATCGTAAAGTTTTTATTGCTATTGTAAGTTATATTTTAAAAATTTGGTTATTGAAGTACAGTTTGTTTTTATATAATGATTTTGTATTCATTTTTTACTTCTAATAAGTTCATAGGTTCTCCTAAATATTCTGTGTAATTAATCGTAGAGTCTGCAATGGATGACAAGAAAAAAAAAAGAAAGAGAAATAACCATCAGGGCTTATAGACTGGTGATTACTGAGTGCAAGGGAGGTGGGGAGGTGGAGTAAAAGGTGAGTCTAATGCTTCAGTGGTTAGTGCCTAAGGGAGCTTACTGAAATATAGAAGTTGAGAGGAAAAACTGATTTAGGAGCAGGAGGGAAATAGTGAGTCTGGTTTATTATATTACGTTGGATATTAAGGTCATAGCCAAATCCATGAGAATTTTTACAACTGTTGTCTTCAAAACATGCCCTCATGGAAGGAGGGTTACCAATAAACATTCTAGGTAGAAGGATCACCAAGGGGAGACAAAAAGGTTGGTGATGGAGCACCATTTGGCTCCACATATTTTTCTGGTCACTAATTCAGGACAACAAAGATAGGCCATATGCTATGTACACATATTTGCTTCACCTCTAGAACTATTAGTTCAGAATTTCATGGGCCATAACATACTCCCTTTCCAACTTGTGTAATTACTCTAATATAACTTTCTTTCAATACATACTTTCTTTCAATCCATCTGTCTTTTGTTCACTGCCCTTGTTATTTAGTTTAGATTACAGTTTTATAACTGCAGTGACACTCCTGGAAATACCCTGAACACTCTTGCTCCTCTGTCTTTTTTCTTTTTTCCAGTTCTTCTTCTGACCCCAACTCTAATGGGGACCATTTAGCAACTTTTCCCTGCTGTAACCAACCAGCCTAGAACCATTTGAGGAAGTCACCCAAGAGAGCAGTTTATTTCTACTGAATATCCATGAAGACAGCTTTCAATAGACCTTTAGTACTGGCTGACAGTTCTCCTTTGATTCTCTGCTAAGACTTCTAATTTTAACAGTACATTCTTAGTATAACTTTATTTTTTGTGTTTTTTTTTAAACCCCCCAGTTACATCACCCATTCCTGACTATCAGTCTCAATAAATGTCTTTGTCTTTTTCTTGACAGAGGAAAGGAAAGCCATTGCAATTTATTAATCTTCCTGCTCCTTCATTTTCCTGCTGCCAGGGATATAAACCTGTCCACACTGAACCCATCTTATCTGACGTCCCTTCTGTTCTAATAGTAGAGGAACTATCCCTTCTATCCTAGGACAGTTATTCCATTCCATGCTCTGGGCTCTATTACCTGCAGTCTTGCTAGGAATATTATATTAATGATTATTCCTTTTATTTTTGGACATTCAACATCTCTCCCTCTCAATTATACATTTCCCATTACTTTTTAAACTTGCCAGAGTTCCTTTAATTAAAAACAATAATGACATGGCCACAAAGTTATTCCTTATGTTTAACCAACTATCAACCTACCCAGCTGAACTTATTGAATGGTGTATATTTTTATGCCAGTGTTTCATTTTTTGTTTTCTGTTGATTCTCACATCTCAGCACATGCCAATTTGGCTTGTTGTCCTCAGCATGCCTCCAAAACAGCCCCTTCAATGGTCTCCACTATTTTCTATCTATGCCCTTAAATCCAGTAGGTACTTCTTTCCTTGCTTATTTCCACATCTTATCAGCATTTGACACTGATGACTACTGTGACTTGAAACACACCTCCTTTTTGCTTCTGTGCAGGGTTGTTGCATATGGCTGTTCAGCTTGTGCCTAAATTAGGAAATAAAATCTAATGTGTGAGCCCTTGTCCAATACTTGTACAAAAGCGTGGACCAATGTCAGGCAGAGGAAAGAGTAGCTTTTTTTTTAAATCTTTCCAGAAGGGATGCTTTTAGGGTCCTTGATTTTATGACACAACACTGCTTATCGCTTTGGCTCTTCCTTTTGTTTCCTTTGTAGGTTCATAATTCTCTACCTACCATTTAGATACTGGAGTTACTTTAGTTCTTCTCTGTCTCCCTTCTCACCATCTCCATGCCACCCAGAGATCTCATCACCATGATGCAATGATGATTTATGGGAAGATGACTCCCAAATTTGTATCGATAGCATGGACTTCTCCTTTGGGTGCCATACCTACTGGTATACACAGACCCTACTAGAAATTTCCATGTTAATATGTAAGTGGTGTGTTTGGTTTAATATGTCTAAATTAAGCCCAAAATTTTTAATCTCCCTCCTTCTCTGTCATTTGACAACATCTGCTTATATTTCAGTGTGGTCTTTAAGTGACCATTCTGTGCCTTCTGATACACAAACCAAAAATTTGTTAATCTGCTTTGACACATTCCTCTATTTGTTTTCCTTTTAGAGTTGAAGGGAATTATATGTGTTTTCTAGTTTAGAAGTATTTAATCTGAGGTACAGGGACCTTTTGGAGGTCTGTGGATACTCTGACATTTGTTTTACAATTTTATGTGTATAATCTTGTGCACACTTTTGGGAGAGAAGGAGGGAGCTAAAAGGGAGCTCTAATCCCAAAAATATTGATAACACTAATCAGTACTTTGATTAATTTCCTCACTCATGTGTGAGGAAAATGAAGCCCAGAGTGGGTAAGTGACTTGATCAGAGTCTTAATTATTAATTGACTGGAGGCAAAATTAGGCTCCTGACTTCTACGCCACTTCTCTTTTCCCCATGAAGGCATTAGTGGTCAAAATGAAATTGTTTTCTATAGAGGTCATCACTTCTTATCATAAATGAAGCTACACTGAAAGTAAAATAAGTCTTGAGGTACATATTTTTTGCTGTACATAACCTTTTGAAAATTCCATTTATAATTTATCTTAAATTCAAACATGTATACTTAAATGTAACATTTAAAAAATGTTTTCATCAAATTTTGTATTTATATTAAAAAAAATTATGATAGAATGAATTTCTTTTATACTTGTTTGGACAAACTAATTTCCATCATGTTTCATGTGCTCTGGTCTGTCTCTGAATTGTGATTTCATTATTACCCAACCCAATCCCCTAGGCCTATTTTACTTTTCAAAGTAATAATTAGGCCTCCACTGCTATCATAAGATGTCAAAAATGACAAGGGAAACATTGTACGTTTATTAACTTCATAGTTTTATTTTTCATATTAAGGTCTAATCATTTGGAATACTCTTGTATGTGGTATTAAAAGGTGGAAATCCAGTGTTATTTTATTTTTTCTATCTACTAAACTATTTTTGTCTATTTAATGTATGCTGTGACATTACTCATCACTTTGACTTGTGATATAAACTTACTCGTATGTTAAGTTCTCTTGAATGCTTTGGAGAATTTCTGAGTCTCTCTACTTTGTTTCATTTTGTCTATTTTTTGTTAATATTATATACTATTTTTATTAGTGTGGTTTTGTGCATTCTTTCTTAAGTCTTTGCAGGTTTCTTATTCTAGTATGAAAAGTATTTTATTACTGATTATATTCTGTAGATGGTTATTTGGTTATTTCTGGTGCAGAGAGATCTTCATGAGTTTTATAAATTGATCTTTCATCACAGTCTTTTGTTAGTTTCAATAGTTTGCCTGTTAATTCCATTTTTTTCTATTTTAGACCATTGTGTTATCTACATTGTAGTTTTATTCTTTCCCTTCTAATATTTACACTTTTTCTTTCTTTTTTCTTTATAGAACTTGCTAGGATTTATAGTAATACCCAAAGCATATCTAATATTGCAGTTCTTAGACTTCTTATAATTTTGTGATTCCCCTGAAATTCGGTATTTTATATGAATTATATGTAAAATTGTATATAATTTTACTGTAAAAGGACAGTGTGTAAAGGTTTTCCCTTAAATGTAATATTTAAGCATAATGTTTACTTTAGGTATTTGGTTCATAACCATCACCAAGTTTAGGATATTCTCTTCTACTTCTAGTTTTCTAGGAATGCACTTCTTTTGTAATCATAAATAAGTTTTAAAATGTATATTCAATTTATTTTCCTCTCTCTCTTGAAATAATTATATGCTTTCTCTTTGTTAGTCTACTAGTATAGTGAATTGGTGCATTTTTGTACTAAAATCATCTTTATAAATCTGGATAAATCTTACTTTATCATATTTTAATACAGTTTTTCATTTGGCTAATATCTCATTTTGGAATTTGCACATATATTCATAATTGAATAGGCTTATAATTTTTTTACTATCTTTACCTAATTTTGGAATGAATATAATGCTAGATGGAAACTAGATTTGTTTCTTTCTCTGTTTTTACTTAAAAGGTATGAATTATTTGTTTCATGATGGTTAAGTGGAATGCAACTAAAAATCAATACGGCTAGGGAATTTGGGGGAGGAAGAGACTTGCCTTTTCAAGTTCTTTAATACTTATAAATATATTCGTTTTTAATTTCCTTTTATACCAATTTGAAATTTTTATATTTTTCCAGAAATAACATCTTTTGTCTAGGTTTTCAATTTCAGTACCAAATGGGTACTCATAATATTGTTTTATCATTTTAATCTCTTTATGTGTCAACAGTTATTTCTCTGTCAACTTCTGTTTTTTGGTTATTTCTATTATCTCTCTCTTTCTCTTTTTCTCTCCCATCCTCCTCTATTCTCTTCCTCTCTTGTTCTTATAATGTCATTCTTACTCTGAATTTTGTTCACTCATTTTGGATTAGTTTGTCAGAGTCTATTCATCTATCAACTTCCTTAAAGCTTCTAGTTTTTTAATTTTTCCTAATTTTTTTTGGTGGGTTTGATTTCTATTGGTTTTTACTAGCTTCTTGATTATTTTCTTCCTCTGTTTCACTGGGTTTCCTCTGTGGCCTTTTTAGAGCTTAATGATTGGCTCGATTTTTTTCTAACCCTTTTTCTTTCTTGATGGACCTACTTAAAATAACTTTCCTTTTACATGGTACCTTACAAATGTATCATACATTTTGACATGTATTATTCAGCTTAAATTCTCTTATAATTTTTCTTTCCTTTTTAGTATACATTATCTAGTAGTCTTTTACTTGGTTTCTAGACACTTTTTTTTCAAATTCCTCTTGTTATTTATCGCTAATTTTTATTGCCTTTGGTTACATATCTTTGATATAGATATGTTGTGACTGCTGGTTTCTGTCTGGCAAATGGTATGGTACAGACAATGACTCTTGCAAGACAATGTCCAGGAGATGCACTAGCTGGGTCCCTCCCCAAATTATCCTCTGATGCTGTGCCTGGCCACTCTTGGCCACAGGGTGTCATCATCCCACAAGGATGTTTCCCAGACTTCTTATAATGATGGATAGATTGCGTTGATAGATTTAATTCCTCAAATCTATAGCTCCCTCTATCTTTTGTCCTAAGGGTAAATACTGCCTCCCCAGTATTCACCCATCTTGTGCTAGTCTGCCATCTTGTCAGTAATAACCAGAAACTACTGGTATTTTTTATTCATTGATTCTTTAAACATTCATCAACTACTGCCTAAGCATTGACAATGTCTGGAATGGTTCTAGGTGCTGAGGATTAAGTGGCAAAAAGACACACTAAACATCTGCCTCTTGGAACTCGCACTTTTATTGGTAAAAAATATTTTGTTTCCAAGCCAAAATGAAATATCTCCTTATTTTTATTAAATGAAAAAGTAACTGATTTGTTAGATTTAATTTTAATGTAAGCACTGTTATATGATATTTAGTTTCAAGAGAAGTGGAAGACTGGCTGACTGCACCATTTTCTCTGTTATTTGTTTTCTTTCAGATGCAGGTAGGACAACATTAGTAAATCACATTTAACTGTGGAATTAATCTATGGTAAATGGGTTCTTCCTTTCCCAAATCAGAATGTTTAGTCTACAGGAGTGTATTAGTTTGCTAGGATTCCCTTAACAAAGTACCACAGACTGGATGACTTAAACAACAAAAATTTGTCACAATTTTGGAGGCTAGAATTCCAAAATCAAAGTGTAGACAGTGTTGGTTTCTTCTAAGGCCTCTCTTTGTGGCTTGCAGATGGTCATCTTCAGGTTTTTCCTCAGTGTATCTGTGTCCCAATCTCTTCTTATACAGATACCAGTCATATTGGATTAGGGCCCATCCTAATGAACTCATTTAACCTTATTTACCTCCTTAAAGACCCTATTTCCAAATGCAGTCCCATTTGGAGTCACCGAGGATTAGAACTTCAAGATGAATTTGGGAGGGTTAGGGAACTCAATTCAGTCCATATCAATGAGAACTGGGTAACAGCAAAGTGTTTATTAATGTTATTATAGCAAATGTTCCTGGTAGATATTTTCTATTGATTAAATTAGCAGAACTATATATCGTGTCCAATGTGTTTAGAGTTCATATTTTTAGGGTTTATATCATTTTCATGTTTTGGAGTTGATTTTTTAGGGAAACATTCATGTGACTCTCTGTTTAGTTTTTCTGGGCTAAAGTCTGAAACAATTGCCAAACTTACTTTTTGTGGACACACCTGACTTATAGAGAGAAAAACCTCATACATTATACAAAACAAGAAATTGTGTAATGCTTTCAGTAGATACTTCCCAAACAGTATGTAGGTGTCTTTAATAGTCTGTAAAACTTCATTCTTCTGTACTAATTTCTGTCATTAAGTATAGAGGTGAAATTGGTTGACAGAGAAAAGAAAATGGCTGTTTACATTGTGTATATATGATGGTCTATCTAACTGTATGAAAAAGCAGGGACCTATGCTGGGTTGGGAGTGAGAACATTTGGTTAGGACATGCCTGATACTACGTATAGAGACAAATACAGCTAAATGGCCAGACTGCTGAATGACCAGAGGAAGTGTTGGGGGATGGTGGTGAGAGACCCAGGATTGTCTTCTTAAGTCCATAGATAGGTATTTAGAAAAGACTGACTAACCCATACTGGTAAACATTGTCACCCCGTTGATTTTACACAATGATATTCATGATAATGACATCCATTGTTTATGGCATTCATTGTATAAAATCAAACTAGAACCCATTGTGCTGGACTAAAGATGGATAGTGTTAGACAAAACTTATAGAAACTACCTACCCAATACTGGTTTAGTAGATACAAATTCAGGATGAAATTATGTCATTTAAATATTGTTTTGCCATTAGCACCTGAAAATGTGTAAGCTGTCTCTGAATGAGCTTTACTATAGAATCAAGTCACATGAATAATTCAGAGGTCTTGTTAAATACCTGTTCTAAAAATTAAATCTTTTCAGATAAAACTTTAGTATGTAACTTCAGAATGGGAAGTGTATGAATCTGCTGATTAAAACATTCTTTTTTTATGTTTTAAGAAGCTAACCTTCTGTTCATAACTCAGTGGAATTCAAAAAGCTTTCGTTTTTTTCCTTACTCTTCAAGTAAACAATAATCTCATGGTACATTTATTACTTACTTTATTTCCTGTTAACTTTCCACCCTCCATTTGTCTTTAGAATTCTGGGTTTGCTTTTAAAAGGAGATGAATTTACTGTCTCTTGTGGGCCATTGTCAAGAACTTCTTCCAGCCTAACAGAACAGAGGAATTGGGTCACTTTTTATTAAGCAGACAGAATTGTTGACATTTTCTGGAATCACAGCTGTGTCAGTTAATGAACTGCCAAGAAGCTCTTGTTTCTCTGATATCTTGACAGTTCACTAAATAATTAACAGCATAGCTGTTTTTACTAATAGATTATTTTGCATTTATAGTGTTGTCATTATTTACTTTAAACATTTCCATAGAGGAAAACAGTGTAATGTGTTCTGTGTAATGGGTATTTACTGACTGAACAAAATAAATGAGTCTACTTTATTAATTTAGGTCAGGCTTTCTCAACCAAGGTACTATTGAGATTTTGGGCTCAGTAATTCTTTGTTGTAGGAGGACTAACTTGTGTGAGATGTTGAGCATCAACCCTGTCCTCTAGCCAACAGATGCTAGTAGCACATTCTCCTCCTCCCCTCCTTAGTTGTGACAATGAAAAATGTTCCCAGATTTTCAGATGTTCCCCGGGGGGTAAACTGCCCTGGTTGAGAACTGCTGACCTAAATAAATGTTGAAATTTACCCTGGAAACAGAAGCAGACAAATTTATGGTTGGTAAAGTGGAATTTTGGGAGGGTCAGTCTCTTCTCTATCCACCAACAACAACATCAGTAACAGCAGCCACAACAGCCACCTCTACCATCCTGAGGCTGAAGATATGAAAAGAATATTAGCTGGAAATGAGCCAACTGTCAAATACTATCCTAGGCCTTCTGGGCTACTTCATTTAATCTTCCTAATAGTCCTATGAAGAGATGATTGTTATTCTCATTCTACTGCCATGGGAATTAAACTCAGCATTTGATAGGTGTTATAGTTCAAATTAAACCATCTAGCCCTATCCCCAAACTCCTCTTCTTCCTATCTCATTCTACTATACCCTGAAACTACCTTCTTCTGCAAGTTGTACTATTTCTGTCAATGATCACATGGTTCAAAGCAATTAAGGGTTATATTCTGTTTTAATTTATATTTTTTGCGATTTGCGTATATTAATAAAATTATTAGCTCTACTCCAGATGTAATACATTTTCCCTTTTAAATAATTACAATAAAAGATGGGGGAGAAGGGCTTCCTTAAACTACATCTACCCTTCAAGGAATTCTAATATAGATTCTTCCTTGGCTATGGATGTTAGTTCTGTCTCCTGTTCCTCCTTCCCATTTACACAAACTGAAAATCACACTAATAATATATCTCAAAGGTACACACTCCAACAACTGATAATGGAAAAAAGAAAATCCTCATATTATATATACTTAATTCTTAAATTATAAGAACTTTTTTCTAACAACAAAATTTGATAGATTTAAATTGAGCACTTTCTATCATTTCCTTTGAGAGAGGGGTCTGAGAAGCAACCAAATGGCTGGTAAGTACATGTAAAAGCTAAGAGGGCCAAAATCTTCAGCTAAAGGTATGAATGCCAAGTATGATTCTATTTCCTAGCCAAAGAATGCAGTTTGTTACATTAAGTATAGAAATGTAGAAAGATATTGCTAAGAAATCAAAGAAAGAAGGAATGGCATGTATTTCAGGAACAGTTAATTAATGCCCATGCACAGATCAGATGATTATTATTCAGCACAGAATAATTTAAATAAGGAAATAAAAGCAGATACACAGATAAAATTAGAAACCATAAGCATTATTATGAATAGGCCATTGTGATTTTTTTTCCATAAAAATTCTGGGCTTACTCCCAATAGTAGCTCCATCAAAAATTGGAACATCAGAAACAGATGTTGCATGGTTCTTTTCCCCATTATTTCCAAGGATTTTGTCTGTTATAAAAGGTGGGTAGGAGGTAGGTAGTGACATGATACCCCTATGGTGCATATGTTGTAATTTAACCTTTGAGAATCTGTATGAATAAGGGCTCTCCAAAGCCTAATATTCGGTAATTTATTCCACCAATTGGAAGGAAATATATACACTATATGTCACACTCAGTAAATATCATAAAACCAGAGGATATGAGAAAGCCCAGAAATATTGTATCTCTTGCCTCAGCATCACCTAGGGTTCTTGTTAAAAGGTTCATATGTCTGGGCTCTGCAAGAGATATACTGAATCAGAATCTCTGTTGGTATACCTGGAAATTTGCATTTTAAATAATATTTTCCTGGTGATACTTACGCATGTTTAAAATTTAAGAACACTTAAAGTATGAGGTCATGTGGTCATCAAAATGAGATGCACACACTCCAGGGAATGCACCAAATCATCTAGTAGGAAACAGAAAGAAAATGATAAAATTTTCATGTATGTGTCTCTTTCGAAGTCTTTAAAGTTTTTTATGTTTTTATATGTTTTATAGTACAGAGTACAGTAGTAGATATATTGAGGCTATGTGCTTAAAAATGGCTTTATGATAGGGAGTCAAATCGTATGGAGACAACTGATCCTCTTGCTTTCAGAAAAACCCACTTATGCTGTTTCAGTCATCTGAATTAAACAAAGCAAAAGATACAACTTTAAGAGAATCTTCAGGGAAAGATTCTGAAAGTCCCTTACCTTTCTATTAGAAAGTCACTGCCTTTTTTTTTTAATCTCTCTTCTTAAAAAGCAGCTTTTATTTGGATGACAATCATCCTAGTTGAGATCCACTAACCCTACTCTATTTTAAACTATTTAATTTAACTTCGTTCGAGTCTTTATTTTCTGACTCTTTTATTTAGCTCTTCTGATACTCTTATAATCCTTCCCTATGTCTCTCTACACTTCTATAATATTATTATCTGAATTGCTCTATTAGGAATGATTATTTTATTTCACAAGGGAGATATTCTCAGGATATTTCTGATCTTTTCTTTGAACATTTGTGTTCCTGGAGGAGAAACCTGGGAGAAGGTGTAAAATTCCCCTGTATTTGCAGCTCCTAGGGACGTCACTCTCTCTTGCCAGTTAACAGAAGTGTCCAACAATCCACCAAACATCTACCTCAAGGGTTCAAATTATGGCCTACTCTGTGATTATTGCAAATAAACTTCTCTTGAAACACATCTGTGTCCATTCTTTTCACCTGTTAGTTATGTCTATTTTGTGACCAAGTCTGTATGGCCTCTAAAGCTGGAAATACTTTTTGTCTGGCCTTTTAGAAGAAAAAGTTTGCTGATCCTTGATTTTTTCTTTCGATTGTCCACGTGTATTTTGACCAAATAAGTTATTGCTTACTTATTGTCTCTTCTTGTAAACACCTGACACCAGAGATTTTGGGCAAGTTGGTTGCCTTGTGACCTTCACACTCAAATAATTAAAAATTGTCAACCTTCTTTTGTCCATAATTTTTTGTTTAAAGTTTTGAGTGATGGTCCTTCATTGTCTCTATCTCTAAGTGGCACCCTAACATCTCTGTCCTCCCATGAGTTGTTTTTTTTTTCTTATGATTTATCTGTTAATGAACCTAAGTAATTCAACTGGTGGATTTTTCTTTAGTTTGTTGATTTTGTGTAGTATTAAAATAATATCATGCCTTGTTTTCTGAGATGTCTTGGCTTGGTCCTCAAACTTTTCTTTATTCTGTGCCTTCTCATTCCTTCCTCATTTTTATCTCTTCACTGCTAACTTTCTACTCCACTCCCAGCGGTTTTTGTTCAATATGGAGTCCGGTTCAGAAAGGTAGCTTGAAAGGTTCCTTTCTTTTTTTCTTTTCCTTTTTTTAATTTTTCATTTTTATTATACTTTAAGTTCTAGGGTACATGTGCACAATGTGCAGGTTTGTTACGTATGTATACATGTGCCATGTTGATTTGCTGCGCCCATCAACTAGTCATTTACATTAGGTATTTCTCCTAATGCTATCCCTTCCCCAGCCCCCCATCCCCCGACAGGCCCCGGTATGTGACACTCCCTGCCCTGTGTCCAAGCGTTCTCATTGTTCAGTTCCCACCTATGAGTGAGAACATGCGGTGTTTGCTTTTCTGCCCTTGTGATAGTTTGCTGAGAATGATGGTTTCCAGCTTCATCCATGTCCCTTCAAAGGACATGAACTCATCCTTTTATATGGCTGCATAAATGTGGCACATGTACCCCATAGAAGGTTCCTTTCTAGAAGTCACACTATTCAACTGTTCCAGCTCTGTCAGCTTTTATAGTAGGACACTTGCACTCATACCCTAATGAAGGGAAAAACCCCTGCCATGCAGTCAGTTGCCTTTTATAACTGGCCCCTGGCCCTTCTCAGTGAGTAACTAATGGCTAGTCTGGGGTTCCTTTGTTCTTGGGACCTCAGTTGCTCTATTGATTTCCTCTGTTTCTTTTCACATATTGATGATGCCAGAATGGTCTTGTAGCTGTTGGTGATTTGAATGCACCCACCTTTACTTCAGGGCTTTGCAAAATATTTGCCACCCAATTTTAGTAAATTTTGTCCATGGGTTTTGGGGTTTGCTACCTAGTGACTCTATATGTTTTTATTTGGAGATTTGGAATATTCAAAATTATGTTTTCACTGCTACCACCATTTTCCCAGAATTTCTGATTCATTTTTGGATTAGCTAAGTGCATTAGAATATGTTGAATGTTAGAATGTTTAAAAAGAGTAGTAAAATAATTTGAGTTTTATTAAGCACAGCCACGGTTGGGTTATATAAAAGGTAGTTGTCATGTGAACAAACTGGTAATATATACGTAAATTAAAAAATTATAGTAATGATAACTACTTTTTAGATCATTTACTGTTATGTGCTGTGCTTAGCACTTTGTATGCATTATCTTAATTAACCAGAGCCGATGCATAGTATCTGTTTTTACCACTTCACAGATGAGAAGACAGAGGCTTGAAGAGGTTTTAAGTGTGATTTGATCAAGGTAACACAACTGGTAAATTGAAAACTGGAATTCTGTGAAAGGCATGTCTAATTCTGAAGGCCATGCCTCAATCACTGTAGTATTTGCTCAGCAAGATTTTTTAAAATTTTTTCTTTCTTCTCTATTTTCGTATCCACTGCTTTAATCCTTTATATGAGCTTCTAAAAATAACTACTTGATAGTTTCCTAGCTTTTTCTAATGTTGATCTGATCCCTTGCTTAAGTATAGGCATACAAAACAAAAGACTATAAAAACCTCTGTGATAAGTTATAATTGGTTAGAAAGATATTTGAATGGACAATATTACAGCTCACATTTAACTGCCATAGGAGAAAATTTCAATTATTCCTCCACTGGTTCTTATTTTTTGCCTCATTTTCAATTTCTGTACTGCCCATTACAAATCCTTTGCTCTAGCCATGTCTGTCTAATCACTTTCTATAGTGTTACCATTCAGTTTCACCCTTGTCTTTACTCATGTTACCCTCTCATAATTAATGTTTCCTCTTTCCATTGTCGTCTTTTAAAGCCATATAGTTAGGTGGCCTTCTCTGTGAAGCCTCTCCCAATTTTCTCCATTGCAGAGGCATAATTCGTGGCTCCTTAGTGGTCCTCACACAGTCTTTGGAAAGGATCTGTATTATAGCATTCATCAAACTATTTGAATGAGTTGTATATCTGTCTGCTCTGCTAGACATTGAGATTACTGAAGAGTGGGACAATTTCTTACTCATCTTTCTAACCCCAGAGCCTCCATAAGTGCCTGGAACACAGCAGTTATTAAATCAGTTTTGTTGGATAATCCCATTAGTATCAGTGAGATTATGTTGGTAGTTCATGAGACTTGTGTAGTTTCATGAAAAACAAACACTTAGCAATGGCATACTTATTTAGTCCTTCTGTTGTGGAAGGACTTCCTTTTCCATGTGGAAAATGGCACACAGGTCTTAGAGCAGCTTGTTCAGGACAATAGGTCTAGTAGATATAGTTGGCTAATGCCAACTTATTTAGTCCTTCTGTTATTCTTTATCTAACATCATTTATTCAAAAGTATGATTAAGCATGATTAAACAGGCAAACAGCATATTGTTTATCTATATTTTGGGCTTCATAAAAGAGATTTTTCTTAAGGATCTGCCATAGACATGGATACAAACTCAAGTAAGAAATGATTTCTTTCTTTAAATAGTTGTATAATCTAACCAGGAAAACCATGATTATAAAAAGAGTGTGGCAAGTTCTTTTGAGCCAGTACATTACTAGAGTGGATGGTATTATTATTATTTCAAAATCGTCTTCAAAGATTCTGTTTTCACAAATACAATGGGTAGATGAAGTGGTCTCCTAGCGAGTAGTATCCTGTGAGCTATAATTTAGACATAATTTTAATAAGCTTTTTTTCTAATTTATGTGGGAGAAATAAATTGGATTCTGATAATGAGATAAGAAAAACAGAGAAGGACATCATTCAATAATTTTAAAAACTTATCCTCCTGAGCTATTTGCTGTAAGGGCGAAAAGCCAGAAGTACTTAAAGCTCCCAATAAGATTGCTGTATTACAATGGTTACAGTTTAGAACTCTGGGCTTTGAAGTCAGACACACAGGGATTCAACTTCTAGCTCCTTATTAACTATGTGACCTTGAACAAGTTACTTAACTGCTGTAAGCATCTTTTCATTACCTGTGTGATGATGCAGAAATTGTTTTGAAAATTAAAAAAGATTGTGACTGTAAAAGTTCATAATCTAGTGCCTGACATATAGCAAGCCTTCAAAATATATTTATTATCTTTCTATTGTTACAGTGATTCCCCTGAAGTAGATTAAAAACATTTTGAATGACTTACAACATAAATGTGTTAATTCATTCTTGCATTGCTATAAGGAAATATCTGAACCTAGGTAATTTATAAAGAAAAGAGATTTTTATTTTGGTTCATGGTTCTGCAGGCTATACAGGAAACATAACACTGGCATCTGTTCCTGGTGAGGGCCTCAGAAAGCTTCCAATCATGGCAGAAGGTGAAGGAGGAGCTAATGTTGTGTCACATGGCAAGAGTGGGAGCCAGAGAAAGAAAGGGGATGTCCCAGATTCTTTTAAACAACCAAATCTTGAGTGAACTGAGAACTCATCACCAAGGAAGGATATGGTGCTCAGCCCTTCATGAGAGATCCGCCCCTATGATCAAATACCTACCACTAGGTCCCGCCTCCAACATTGGGGATTACATTTCAACATGAGATTTGGAGGAGATGCATATCCAAACCATGTAATTCCTCTCCTGATCTCCCAAAACTCATACCCTTCTCACATCACAAAATACAATAATCCCTTAATAGTCCCCTAAAGTCTTAACTCATTCCAGCATCAAGTCCAAAGTCCTAACTCTTATCTGAGACTTATCTCCATCCACCTCTGTGCCTGTAAAATCAAAACAAGTTATTTACTTCCAAGATCCAGTGGTAGTACAGGCATTGGACAAACATTCCTCTTCTAAAAATGAGAAATCAGCCAAAAGAGAGAGACAGTAGGCTCCATAAAAATCTGAAATCTAGCAGGGCATCATTAAATCTTATAGCTCGAAAATAATCTCCTTTGACTCCATGTCCTGCATTCTGGGCACACTGGTGCAAGGAGTGGGCTCCCAAGTTCTTGGTCATCCCATCCCCTGTGGCTTTTTCAGGGTACAGCCCATGTGGCTGCTCTCATGGGTTGGAGTTGAGTGCTGGCAGGCTCAGGATGCAAGCTATCTATGGCTACTATTCTGAGGTCTGGAGGATGGCAGCCCCCTTCTCACAGCTCCACCTGACAGTCCCCTGGTGGGGACTCTGTGGGTCCACCCACATTTTCCCTTGACATTGCCCTGGTACAGTCTTTTGTGGGTGCTTCACCCCTGTAACAGGCTTCTGCCTGGGCATTTAGACTTTCCAGCACGTCTTTTGAAATCCAGGGGAGTGCTGCCAAGCCACCTTCACTTTTGCATTCTGTTTGCCTGCAGGCTTAACACCGAGTAGAAACTGCCAAGGATATGGCAGCTTGAACTATCCAGAGTGGCAGCCCAAATTGTACCTTGATGTCCTTTTAGCCATGGCTGTAGCTGGAGCAGCTGGAATGCAGGGAGCAGTGTCCCAAGGCTGCACAGGGAAGTGGCACTCTGGGCCTGGACCCTAAAACCATTCTTTCCTCTTAGGCTTCAGGGTTTGTGATGGGAGGAACTGTCTAGAAGACTTGAAGACTGCCAAAATGCCTTTGAGGCTTTTTCCCATTGTCTTTGATATTAGCACCAGGTTCCCTTTTAGTCATGCTAATCTCTCTAGCCAGTGGTTTCTCTGCAGCCTGCTTGGATTCTTTCTCTACCACAGGGCCAGCCTGCAAATTTTTCAAATGTTTTTGCTCTACTTCTCTTTTAAATATAAGTCCAACTTTAAGTCATTTCTTTGTTCTCATATCTGATCGCAGGTTGTTAGAAGAAGCCATGCCACTTCTTGAACACCTTGCTGCTTAGAAATTTCTTCCAGCACATACCCTAAGTCATCACTTTTAAGTTCAAACATCCACTGATCCCTAGAACATGAACACAATGCAGCCAGGTTTTTTGCTAGGGCATAACATGGATGACCTTTACTTCACTTCCCAATAACTTTCTCATTTCTGTCTGAGACTCCATCAGCCTGTCCTTTGTCCATATTTCCATCAGCATTTTGGTCACAAGCATTTAACAAGTCTCTAAGAAGTTCCAAACTTTCCCTTGGCTTCCTGTCTCCTTCTGAGCCCTCCAAACTCGTCTAATCTCCACCTGTTACCCAGTTCCAAGGCTGCTTCCACAATCTCAAGTATCTTTATTGCAACAGCTGACTCCTCAGTACCAAGTTAGTGCTACCAAGGGGATGGCACTAAGCCATGTATGAGTGATCCTTATGTCTGATACCTCCCACTAAGCCCTACCTTCAACACTGGAGAGTGCATTCCAATATGAGATTTTGAGGGGATAAACATCCAAACTATATCAATAAATGTATTATCTTAAATTTCTTGTATATCTATGCAAGAAAGTGTTAAAATAAAAGAGAGTGCAATAAAGATGACATGAAGGGATTATAGCTGGATACCAGACTGCAGGAAGACTGGCCATGACAGTAATTCTCAGCCCTCAGGGGCCACCCAGTTTTTGTCAGGGTGCATCTTGTTAAATGGTCTCAGGAGAACTAGGCTCCCTACTTTCGACACATTTATAATAGAGATGATGCCATTCTTATAGCCCACTACCCAGAGCACTTCCTCCCTATTTTGCATCCTGGAAATCAATTGGTCATTGGAAGTCTGCATGGTAAACACAGAAGATCAAAGGGAATTACATTGTTTTGTGGAATTTTGTATTCAGGTTTCCTAAAAACCCAATCAGGTCTGCCTGAGAAGAGTATACTTTTCTAATAATCAGCATACTTCAGGGTCTCTTTTCTTGGTTGATGCTTAATAAAAATTCTCTAAGCCTTTTGCTCTTCTTTTTTTTTTTCAGGACTCTGTGAAGATCAGTATACTAGTTTCTTATTGCTGCTATAAACAAATTGCCACAAATTTAGTGGCTTAAAACAAAATCAGTTTATTCTCCTATAGTCCTGGAGATCAGAAGTCTGAAGTGGATCTTATTGGGCTAAAATCTAGGTGTCAGCAGAGCTGGGTTTCTTCTGGAGGCTCAAGGGGACAATCTGTTTTCTAGTCTTTTTCAGCATCTAGGTGTTGTCCACATTCCTTGTCTCCTGGCTTCCTTCTGTCATCAAAGCCAGCAGTGTAGCATCCTCAAATCAATCTCTTTCTTTCTGTGTCTGATTTTCCTGTCCCTCTCTTTTGTTTATAAAGACTTTCATGATGGCATTGGGCTCTTCTGGATAATGCAGGATTATCCCTCCACCTTAAAATCCTGAATTTAAGTACCTCTGCAGACTCCTTTTTGTACATAGTCACAGAATCCAGGAATTGGGGGTGAACATCTTTTGGGGGGGCATTATTCTGCCTACTACAACCATCTAGGTATTCTTTCTTTGGATATAGTAATACTGTTGACTACATAATGGCATTTTTCATGTTTAACAATACAACAATTGGATTTCCAAACTACCCTTTAAGCATTGATTTAGGAAAAATCTGGTCCTTTGAGCAAGTTTCTATATATAGCTCATTTTATCATTTATGTGTTAAATTTAGGAGTTCAACTCTTAGCGGCTACTGTTATGTTGAAGTTCAAGTAATTCTTTTACCAATAATAGATAACAGGGATGTAGGCCATATATTTTAGAGATTTCCGTCTAGGGGAACAGGGATTTCTTTTCCAAAGATTGTGTTTTAAAGTTTCAGTTACCAGTTTACTTCCATCAAACTGCTCATTTTATACGAATGCTATTTCAGTTAGATATTATTGTAACATATATAGAAGTTTCTTAAATTTTAACAAATTCTGTCATCTGTTTCCTCATTTAGATGTACTGATGCTACTTGATGTCAGTTTAAGTAAATTATACAGTACATTTTCCTCTCTGGGAACTTGCATATATTGATGCAATATGTGGGCACTGATGTGATAGAATATAATACATTCTGTTAAAATAGGATTTACTCTATTAAACAGCAAAACATAAAGGCAGAATAAGCATCTTTTACCTGGAGTTGATTTCCAGTAGCACAGACACAATATTTTATAGCATTATATATTCATCTCACAGGTCCTGAATTGATAAATAAATTGCAGCGACAAAGAAACATGATCATGTTAAGGTGAGGAAGGGCTCAGAGAAGAGAAAAATGTCTGTTTTATTCTGTGTTTTGGAACGACTCTTTGAATAACTGCAGATTATCTACACAAAGTCTCAGAAGAATAGCCCAATCATATTGAATAATTTAATTGACAATATGCCTAGAAAAATGATAGCATCAATTTTTACGTATCATTGTAGTAAATGCTTTCTTTACATTCTGTTATTTTTTTGCAGGCTATTGTGTCCAGTTAAATACTCTTAAAATTTGTAATGTTAGGCCAGTGTCTGCCTATCAAGTCTGTCACAAATAAGCAAGTTTTCCAAGAATCTCTTTCCTAGAAGGCTAATTTTTAAAGCTATGTGGCTTAATGCTCTCTCCTAGTAGATGTGATGCATTCAGAATTTGTACATACTCTTCCAAGCCATAAAGGTATTGCATAGTATCTTGTGGATACAAACATTTTTCCCATATTGGAGAAATTATATACTAATTGGGGAAACTATATTCCAACAAACTATTCTTTCTTCACCAGAATAGTAGTTCTGCATAGCCTTGGAAGTTCTGTAAGATAACTCAAAGAGTCAACAAAAGATTGGTGGCTGGTGCAAGAGTGGGAGTGTAAAGTTGCTAATGTAGTAATATTTACGCATACTTCTTGTGTGTCATTTACTTGGCTAATTATTATAGTAGTCTTGTAGGTTAGAGCTGGTAGCTCTGTTTCCCAGCTGATATAATTGAGTTTCAGGGAGTGGTTGAATTATTTACTGTGGATTAGTTTGTTGGTTTTTTAATGTAAACAAGATCTCTTCTCAGTTGGCCACATGAATATCTTCTCTCAATTCTCTTTCCAAATTATTTACCCTGCCCAGTTATTACATAGTGCTTTCACTTTTAGTGTTCTAGATTTTATTCTAGGTTTAAGATATCAACATTGTGCCACCCTGTAATCCATGCGTAGTAGATTCCTAGGGCTCCTGTAACAAAGTAAGGCAAACTGGGTGCCTTAAAACAGCAGAAATGTATTGCATCACACTTCTACACTCTAGAAGTCCAAAATCTAGTAGTCAAGCAGGGCCTTGTTCTTTCTGAGACCCTGAATAGAATCCTTCCATGCCTCTTCCTAGCTGCTGGTGGTGGCTGTCAATCCTTGGCATTCCTTGGCTTGCAGCTGCAGCACTCCGATCCCTGCCTCTGTTGTCATAGGGCATTCTTCTTCCTTATCTCTCTCTGCTTGTTTTATAAGGAGATCAGCCATATTGGAATAAGGGTCCACCCTACTCCAGTATGATTTCATCCCAATTCCATTTCTACAACCCTATTTCCAAATAAGTTATCATTCTAAGGTTCTGAGGATTGGGATTTCAGCATATTATTTTGGGGAGACAAAATTCTTCAACCCATAACACCATGTGTATCACATTTGAAAAAACATAAAAAACATACATTCATTTTTATAAATTGTGATTTTTGGCATTATGTTCTCAACTTTATCTCAAAGGAGATCACAAATAATGATTATATGAATATAACTCTTTTACATCATTTTCCTCCCTCCCTCCTTTTTTTTTTTTTTTTTTTTTTTTTGAGACAGGCTCTCACTCTATTGGTCAAGTTGGAGTGCAGTGGCACATTCATGGCTCACTGCAGCCTCGACCTCTTGGGATCAGTCGTTTCTCCCACTTCAGTTTCTCAAGTAGCTGGAACTATAGGAGCACACCACCATACCTGGTTAACTACTTTTTGTAGAGATGGGCATGAGCCACTATACCTGGCCCACTTTTGTACCTTTTCCAAGTGTTTCTCTAAGTTTGTTTCAAGCATATAAGATATTGTAAGAAAAATGGAGTGTCATCAAATAATTGTGAGACATATGGAGTTTTTCTACATTTTTATGCACTATTCTTGGGACCTAGTATTCACTAGGATTGTTAAAGTCACTGAGAACTCCTGTGTAAAATCTATTAAATGTAACCCAAAGTTCCTCAAACATGTTTGATATTGGAGACATTTTATTATGTAATACTTGTTATTTTACAGAACTGTCTTGGGAAAGGCCACCTCAGGAGATTATAATATACATGCTGATATGGTTTGGCTGTGTCCCCACCCAAATCTAATCTTTAATTCCCACGTGTTTTGGGACTGACATGGTGAGAGGTCATTGAATCATGGGGGCAGGTCTTCCTATGCTGTTCTTGTGATAGTGAGTAAGTCTCACAAGAGCTGATAGTTATTATAAGGGGGAGTTTTCCTCCTCAAGCTCTTTTTTGCCTGCCATCATCCACATAAGACATGACTTGCTCCTCCTTGCCTTCCTCTATGATTGTGAGACCTCTGCAGCCATGTGGAACTGTAAGTCCAGTTAAGCCTCTGTCTTTTGCAAATTGCCCAGTCTCAGGTATGTCTTTATCAGCAGCATTAAAACAAACTAATACCCATAACCTCGTCCCTTTTCATTAAGAATTTGGGAAAATTACTTAACCTTTGTCTGCTTCAATCTTCCCAAGTATAAAATGAGAATAATAACTGTAGTTACCTTATCAAAGTGATTGAGACTATTGCATGAAGTAATACAGGTGAAGAATATAATGCAGTTTTTATAATAGAAAGAGTTTAATATGTGTTTATTATTATTGTGATTAGTATTACACTGTTAGTTAATATTTGTCACTAGGCATTAATCCATAGTGATGTTGAGATCCATCAAACAAGCGGGCCATACTTATTTTGAAGGCAATTTCTGTATAATTTATAAAGAGATCATACAGATTATTCTCAAAGTATCTAAGTATTTTTGCTGTTTTATAGCCTTATGTCAGGAAACCTAAAGGAAAAAAGGTTATATTATTGTAATAGGTATAACAAGGGAGGGAATTGTGTGATACATTTTAGAAATACTTTTGCGGAAAATAGCTAAATTAAGAAGGTTCCTCATTAATGATACTAGTCATTTTATTGTTTTACTGATAAAGTGATACCCCTGAAGCAATTGAAATATGTAAGGCTGAGGAAACTTGCAATAAAAGCCCCAGTATGCTGTACTTTGAATCTTTTTTTGTGTGTTTTCTCCTATTGTCTGTTATGTTAGGCATTATGCCTACTTTTGTTTTTTTTTTTCTGTTTTCCCAGTCCTGTAATCACTATTCTAACCTCTCATTACTTTTTTTTAATATACTCTAAACTGGAAACCTGAAGATGAGGGCTGTTCAGTTGTTTTTAAAATAGGAAAGATGCAAAAGCTTTTTTTTAATGCTTTTTTTTTCTGCAGATTCTTAAGCATATTTTTCTACCTGGTTGTAATTACTAGTTCAGTGACCTTTGTCAATTTGGTAAAATGTTCTGTAGTACGTTCCTTAAAATGATTATTTTTGTGTAAGCCACAGGTATCTCCCAAGCTCCCACTTCACCATTATTTCTAAGCTTCTGAATGCCTTTCTTTCCCCATCAGTTTCTCATAATTTCTCCAAATAAGGGCCAACCTGGCCATCACCATGCTTCTTCCAGCTCAAACACTCGAGTCTGGGGCTGGTTTTTCTGCCTATTAGGGGAGGCAAACCACCCTCCTAGCACAGATTTATACAGTGTAAAATGTCTGTCTTGAAAAAGCCACAGATTTTTCCTAGGGTCTTTCTCTGGATATATAAAAAATGTCATTCCCTGGATATATAAAAAATCTCCTCCCTCCCTCCCTTCCTTCCTTCCTCCTTTCTTCCCTTTCTTTCCTCTTTTTTTTTTGACTTTTGACAGGATCTCACTCTATTGCCCAGCTGAGTACAATGGCACAATCACGCTCACCACATCCTTGATTCTCCTGCCTCAGCCTCCTGAACAGTTGGGATTACAGGCACGCCCTACCACTCCCTGCTAATTTTGGATTTTTTTGTAGAGATGGGGTCTCACTATGTTGAGCAGGCTGGTCTCAAACTCCTGGACACAAACAATCCTCCCACCTCGGTCTCCCAAAGTACTAGGGTTACAGGTGTGAGCCACAGCATCCAGCCTTATTCTTTTATTAATCATATTACTTAAAAGAACCCTAATACTAGGCCGGGCGCAGTGGCTCACACCTGTAATCCCAGCACTTTGGGAGGCCGAGGTGGGCAGATCATGAGGTCAGGATATCAAGACCATCTTGGCCAACATGGTGAAAACCCGTCTCTACTAAAATATAAAAAATTAGCTGGGCGTGGTGGCATGTACCTGTAATCCCAGATACTTGGGAGGCTGAGGCAGAGGAATTGCTGGAACCTGGGAGTCAGAGGTTGCAGTGTGCTGAAATTCTGCCACTCCACTCCAGGCTGGCAACAGCGCAAGACTCCGTCTAAAAACAAACAAACAAACACCCTAATACTAAAAGAGTGATTACAAATTATCTATTCAGGACCTTTTGAATTGAAAAATCTTCACATTAATTTCCTGACTTTTAAATATATTAAACTCTGGCTATTTGTTGATATGTTGTTTAGGGGAATTTTTTTTGTTTTTGTTTTTTGGTTTTGTTAACTAGCATTCAAGTTAAATGTAGCAGATATCTCAGGTATAGATTATCAATTTTCAAAATGCATACAATGTTTAAGTAGCTATAAAAGTATGCTACATAATTTTTTGTTTAATAAATAGCGATCATTTGAGTCAAAGTGATAATTTTAACAACTATTTCATGATTATATTTAGAAGTATGGATTTAATATTTAATAGATGGCCAAGTAAAATCACTTGTCCATGCTAATACTTTTTATACACTATTTCATTTAGTCTTTCATTGGGTATAGAATTAGGCAGTATTTTCTCCTGTATTGCAGGTAATGAAGCCAAGGTTCAAGGATTTAACTTGTCTTTCACAGTAGATAGATGACAGCACTGGGATTTTATCTCAAAGTTGCCTAAATCCTTAGGATATATAGTTCCCCAATCTACTATATTCTTTTTGATGACAGGAAGGGTAACGAAAAGTGTCAGAGAAGATCTTAGTAAGCTCTGGAAGATGAAAATGCAATAGGCAGTAAGAATGTGGGAGGGTACTCCTTGTGTAGAGTATGGGGTGCGGAATAAAAATGAGCAAATAAGAGATGTAGGTTGTTTGCAGAACCTGAGGAAACTATTCCGATTATAATGGTACAGTTTAATATATAATAAATATAGGTATTTAGTTTTATCCCCAGTAACACACTGGAAAGCTGAAAATTGTTTCTGTGGGTGATGACAGATTATTTAAGGACTTGAACCAGGGTGATGGAATATCATGATGAAAGTGGTGAAATAGAAAAATTAATGTCTGCTGGGTGCGGTGGCTCACACCTGTAATCCCAGCACTTTGGGAGGCCAAGGCGGGTGGATCATCTGAGGTCGGGGGTTTGAGACCAGCCTGACCAACATGGAGAAACCTCGTCTCTACTAAAAATACAAAATTAGCTGGGCATGGTGGCGCATGCCTGTAATCCCAGCTACTCAGGAGGCTGAGACAGGAGAATCTCTTGAACCTGGGAGGTGGAGGTTGCGGTGAGCCGAGATCGCACTATTGCACTCAGTCTGGGCAACAAGAGTGAAACTGTATCTCCAAAAAAAAAAAAAAGAAAAAAAGAGAAAAGAAAAATTAATGTCATGACTATATCGGAGTAAGTAGAATGAAGTAGATTTGAGGTATAGAGATGATTTAGGAGTTTAGTGTAGTAATTGAGAGGAGAATGATGAGAACTAGACATTAATAAAATAGGAGATTTTTGAAGGCAGTGTCTTCAGAACTTGGTTGGGCATGAAAGAGATGAATGAGAGGATGCTGCTGCAATCTGTGTTTTAAATAATTGGAAGAATCATGATAATATTGAATTGAAATAAGGACAATGTAAAACAGTACTTTTCTTGCAGAAGAAAAAGTAGTGCATTTAGAGAATTGTAGAGTGATAGTTAAGCAATGAATTGGACATGCCTACTAGGATATTAGGTAGACTTGAACTCAAGTGTTGGCTGATGATTAGAAAGAAAAATTAGTGATCTATATGCATTTAGCATTCAAGATTTATATTCTCATATTTATTTAGTTATGCTTAATTCAAAGATGTACATATCCGATTTGAAGTTTTAAAATTAACCTGAGAACAGAAACATTTGTAAATACAACATGTAAATTTGAGGACAAAAATAATGTGTCAAGAAACACAGATGGGATATTTTTCATTGGGAATTATAAGTTTGTTTTTTTCCCCAAAATGTTATTTCAACTTTATCTAATTTTTTTGGTCAAGGTTGTCATTCCTATAGAAATTTATGCTCCTGGATTCACTTTTTGGATTTTATATTTTGTAGATCATATTTGAGTTAAGGCAAGGTGTGTTAGTCTGTTTTCTTGCAGTTGATAAAGACATACCTGAGACTGGGAAGAAAAAGGGGCTTAATTGGACTTCGACATGGCTGGGGAGGCCTCAGAATCATGGTGGGAGGCAAAAGGCACTTCTTACATGGTGGCAAAAGTGGAAACCCCTGATAAAACCATCAGATCTCATGAGACTTATTCACTACCATGAGAACAGTATGGAGGAAACCACCCCCATGAATCAAATTATCTCCCACCTGGACCCTCCCACAACAGGTGGGAATTATGGGAGTATAATTCAAGATGAGATTTGGGTGGGGACACAGAGCCAAAGCATATCAAAAGAGAAGAGTCATGTTTTTCAATGTATGATATTATGCTTTGGGGGATGATGGTCTGAGTTGTATTTAACCCCTGAAAGAGATTCTTCATATACCCTGGGTGCCATGTGAACTACCAAAGTCTGGTCCCTCTTCCACCATAAACTCAGAATTGATATTCACCATATATTCACCTCCTTGTTTTTGGATGCTACCCCACTGTGGGAAGAGGAAAAGGGTGTCCAGGATATTATAAAGAAAGAAGTGTCCCAATCTGAAAGGGACATTTTACATTTTTCTATTAATTTTAACTTTACAAAGAAATGAAAAATGTGTTGATCACAAAGGAAATAGAGCTGCCAAAATATGATGTCAGTCTTCTAGCATGGGTACCCTTTTCTTCTCCTCTTGTTAGTTCCCTGAAACTAAAACTGTTTAGAACAATGGCTCATGGACATGCTTCAGGATAAACAAAACAGTACTATTGCTTTTTTTTTTTTTTTTTTTTTTTTTTGAGAAACAGGACAAGGCCCTCAAAACACTCATAGCTAGAGGATGATTGATTCAAAAATTAACATTGACCACCATTAAGATACTTTGTAGTTGTTATCTTGGATTAAGATAAAAGTGGATAACACAATTTTCTTGGTATTTGGAACTATTTGAGTAGAGTTCCAGAGAAGAAAATAGTAGAGAATTAGAAGAGTAACATTAAATCTGGGTATGCCTTTCTCTAGTTTTCTGTGATTCTAAAGACCTGGCTGGGCCGGGTGCGGTGGCTCACGCCTGTAATCTCAGCACTTTGGGAGGGCGAGGTGGGCAGATCACGAGCTCATCATGAGCTCAAGAGATCGAGACCATTCTGGCCAACATGGTGAAATCCTGTCTCTACTAAAAATACAAAAATTAGCTGGGCGTGGTAAGCACGTGCCTGCAGTCCAAGCTACTTAGGAGGCTGAGGCAGGAGAATCCCTTGAACACAGGAGGCCAAGATTGCAGTGAGCTGAGATCATGCCACTACACTCCAGCCTGGCGACAGAGCGAGACTCCGTCTCACAAAAACAAACAAACAAACAAACAAACAAACAAAAACACCTGGCTGATCAAAGCTTTGTCCCTTAATAAGAGCACATTTTGCAAGTGACCTTTTTTTTTTAACCTAAGACCATGTAAGCACGTAAGGGTGTTGTCAATCCTTGGTTGGAACAAAAGCTGGTATGTTTGGCCATGAATATTAGATCACTGAAAGCAGAAATTCAGATCTAAGTTAAGAAACCTCATGAATTTTTAATTTTAAAAAATTAAATTGCAGTTATCTATTTTGAACTGTAATTTCTTTTAGCTTTTTGAAGTAGCTTTGTCCAAAGAAACCCAGAGTATTGTACTTCAAATATTGCTAATGAAGGTGAACTGTGATTATTATATGAAACAAGAGAGGCATTTAGCTCCTGAAAGTCTGACCTAAATTCTTGTCAGTATTTCAAGGAATGTTCAAAGTGAGATTACTTGACAGGCTTCATTACTTTTATACGATTTTAAACATAAGATTAAATGTAAAATGATGTAATCTGAATGAATAAGTTAGGGGATTTCTTGAAATTCAAAACTTGAGGATTTCAGAAATTAAACACCTAATTTTTCTGTCTCATTATTTTCCTGGTTATTTGTCAAGCAGGCCAGTTCTATAGGTCATTCACCTTACTTCCCTTTCTGAATTCTGTCTCTAGCCCTGAGGCAAAACTTCTATCATACCCAAGAGCATGCTGATGTTTCAGGAAAGCTCTATACAGGGTTTATGTAGTTATTGTCCCATTAGGAAATGATGAATAGACTTTAATATAGAAATATAAAATGTCATATTTAGTTGTTCTCTTGGCAAGTCAGGATCATGGTGATATTGTTGATACCATTAGGCAAAATTTTTCCTGTTGGTATTTTCAAAACTTCTTACATATAACCCTTATGTACATAGAAGAAATAAGACATGAAAATAGTATAATAAGAACATAGCAAGGAATTTAATGTCTGGACTTTAAGGACAGTTGAATGTCAGAAACAACAACAACAAAACACCCTTTTAATTTCTTGAACTTAAAAAGCTGGCTGCCATATATGACAATTATATATGACTATTTCTTTTCAAAATACAGATATTTTGTGTTAAAATGGAGTCTACATGTTTTTCGATGTCAGTAAAATGATTTTGGTTTTAGGGATTAAGCAGTTGAACTCTGACACTCTGTAAAGCCATTGAATCTAAGAAATGGGTTGGGTCTCGGTTTTGTAGGTGCTGAATCTGACGTACTATCAGAGGGCTCTCTTTAAAGAATGCAACAGACTATCAATACCAAATTAAGTACGAAGGTGGTTATATATTTCACATGAGAAAATAAATTACAAATTAAAAATAATGAAAAATGCCAGAAATATTACAAACACTGTAAAAACATTTTTAAAAAATATTAATCATCTAACATATGTCTTTATTACCCTTTACATTACATTTTTTGGCTCCGTACTCTTAGTACCTGTTATGGGCTGAATTGTGTTCTCTCAAAATTCATATGTTGAAGTCCTAATCCCCATACTTCAGAATATGACTGTTTGGAGATGGGACCTTTAAGAGATAATCAAGTTAAAATGAGTCCTTTAGAGTGGGCCTAATCTAATCTGACTAGGTCATTATAAGAGGAAATTAGGAAATACAAAAAGACACCTAATATGTTTACAGAGGAAATGCATGTGAAGATAGAGTGAGAAGGTGGCCAATTGCAAAGCCAAAGGGAAGGGCCTCAGGAGCAGCCAAACCTCCTGACATCTTGGTTTTGGACTTCTAGCTTCCAAAACTGTGAGAAATTAAATTTTTGGTGTTTAAGCCACTTAATCTGTTTTTTTTTTTTTTTTAATGGTAGCCCTAGTAAACTAGCATAAAGTCCCTACCTCCTATATATTAAAATGATTTATTAATATTTCTACAGAAAAAGTAGATAATTTAGCCATTCCTCTAGTATGATTGAAATATATTTTTTTATTATTGAGATGCATAAAACGTGTGATTTTATACATAGATATATACACTTTTTACAGTACTGTTAGAGGTTTGTGACCAGCAGAGTAATTTTGACAAATTCTATTTTGCTCAACTTCCACTCCCCGCAAAAATGCATTTGTAATTGGACGTGATGCATTGTTGATTATATGCTTGACAAGATATATCTTCAGTTTTGATCATGTGTTGATGAATTTTTAATTTTCAGTTTTACATTGAAATGTTCGATAAATGAGTTTCCCACAGACTAGCTTCTGGTTCCATTCATTTCCAACCTTGTTTCTCTTCCACTGATCACATGCTCCTAGTTCTGGGTGCCAAGGGGCACATTTATATCATGATATCATCTTTAGTTCATTCCTTTGTGTTACAAGGCTAAGTTGTGTCAGTGAACAGTTTGAGTGTTCTTGGAAGTCATTTGTACTCTGGATGGCTCACATAATGGAATTACTTAAAATTATTTCCAGATATTCCATAAAGGTATTCCTAATTCAGCTTCTCCTTAGCCAGATTCCTGAAATGCTCAGAAATACTTCAGTGCCAGCTGATATGAGGGGAGGTGGGACAGAGTCAATGTGGAAAATGATAGCAATGATAACCACTTTTAGTTAAATACGTTTGCAAATTTTCTAAAAATCTAAGTGTAAATACATTTCTAGGGCCCCCCCAGGACCTAGGATGGAGACTTGAAACTCAAGTTTTATTAGCTTCAGGGTAAGTTGGCTTCTGAGACTTAAGAGGTTTGGCTAAATTCACGTAGTGGTTTATGGGGGCACTACCGTAGACTTGTTTCTCTGGGTTGTTTTCATTCTTAAAGTATTGGATTATGCACTTTTATTTCTTCTAATATATTTAAATGCCTAATGACAATTTCAATTAAATAGTAATTAAATATTGATATTATATTAAGAACTCTAATGCTAAGAAGAAGTAGCTTCTTGGAACATTTGCATTAATAGATTATTGTTTATATTACTCTGTTTAGCAAATGTCTGTGCTGAAAAGAGAAAGTAAACATTTGAAGTTGAAAGCCTTAAATTCAAAGATACCAAAATTAATAGTCAAATTAAGAGCATGACTAAAATCTAAGAAGTTAAATATGTAAATCTCTGAATTGTCCTTTATTCAGTTGTTGTTCTCCAGCTCTATCTTTTTGCTCTATAATCATTCAAATGCCACGTCCACTTTACCTTTGTGAATTCAGTTTTTGCTTCAGAATATTGACTTTCAATCTAAAGTTTAGGATTTTAAAAATAATATACAAGCTTGAATTAATTAAGGAGATTATTATTGGATTAACTTATACTTCATCAAATATTTCAGTTGGTCAAACTTTGTGGCTCTTTGTGTAAAATTATTTTGGGAGGGTATATTGCTCTTGGCACTATAAAAAATAGAATCCATTTATTTGATGCCATAATAATATGGTAGTTTCTGAAGGAATTGTATTTTGAGGCTTAGAGAAAGTATTAAGGAATGAGAATAAGAGAATAAGAGAAGCAGCCTAAATAGAATAGTAGCTGCTGCCGTTTGTTTAAGACTTAGTATGTCCTATGTCCTGTGTTGAACATTCTACATGTATTAACTCTTATCTTTGATACAACTATAATATAAGTAGCATTTTCATTTTCATTTATAGATGAGGAGACCAAGGCTCAGAAAGGTAAAGTGACTTGTGCAAAGGTGACTTAAACCCAAATCTTTCTAACTTCTGGGGCCATGTTGTATGATAATGCTCTTTAACATTAGTTATACCCTTACTATGACTTGATTGTTCTTTTTCATCTTGTGAGGGAGTCTGTGATATGTTCTCCCAACTGTACTTTCTCAAGTCCCCAAGCCATATGTTCACAGACTTTTGGCCTGTACACTCCTTTGTCTTTGACAGTGAGTCAGTGACAGCTGTAAGAAGATGCGCATCAGGGAAATATACTTAAAAACAATGATGAAAACTCCAGCCATTCCAGAGAGTTCTAAAGGATTCAGGTCTTCTGATATGGTCAGCAGAGGAAAAGTACTGAAAGTAGCAATTCTGAAGTCTTGCTTGAAACCCTTCTGCACCCATATGCCTACAGCATTTACTTAATCATACCCAACTACATCTTAAGAAACTCAAGATTTAAAAAAATTGGCTGGGCATGGTGATTCATGCCTGTAATCCTGGCACTTTGGGAGGCTGAGTTGGGAGGATCACTTGAGGTCAGGAGTTTGAGTCCAGCCTAGACAACATAGTGAGACCCCATCTCTACAAAAAAAAAAAAAAAAAAAAAAGAAAGAAAATTAGCCATCATGGTAGTGTGCACCTGTGGTCCTAGCTACTTGGAAGGCTGAGGCAGAGGGATTGCTTGAGCCCAGGAGTTCAAGGCTGTGGTGAGCCATGATTATACCACTGTAGTCCAGCCTGGATGACAGACTCTCAAACTAAAAAAAAAATATTACTTTAAATTATGAAATTCATTCATTGAACTAAAATACCATTTAGTTTAGTGAATTCCCAAGAGATTGATTGAGTTTGCAGAATTGAAAGTGCTAATTTTTTTTTTTTTTTTTTTTTGAGACAGAGTCTCATTCTGTCCCCCAGGCTGGAGTCCAGTGGCACGATTTCAGCTCACTGCAACCTCCACCTTCCAGGTTCAAGTGATTCTACTGCCTCAGCCTCCTGAGTAACTGGGACTACAGGTGTGCACCACCACACCTGGCTAATTTTTGTATTTTTAGTTGAGGCAGGGTTTCGCCATGTTGGCCAGGCTGGTCTCGAACTCCTGACCTCAGGTGATCCACCCACCACGGCCTCCCAAAGTGTTGGGATTACAGGTGAGCCATCGTGCCTGGCTGGTTTTTATGTCTATTTATCTTTATTTTTTTTTTTCTCTCCAGTCTGAGCATGGTAACTGCATGCTAAAATAGATAGTAACTAGGAGACAGGAATATCATACTTTTGACCTGACATTGCTATCTTATTGCAGCATTGAGAAAGGAGATGAAATTTTATACTTAGAAACATTTTTAAATATCTTATCTCTGATTCAAACACTCAGCAGTTGTTGTTGGGTAGGCAATACAAGCCATTATTTTAGAATTTGAAGAAACTTTCTAGAAACTTATCAGAAAGTAACTGTGACTCTGAGAAAATTTTAGCCTGTTTTCTTCTAGTAATGAAATAATGCAAATTTGTGTGAACAGAACCAAGCAATTGCAATGTCAGTCACACCATTTGAAAATGTACTACAAATAGTAGAGTTGATGTTAATAGTAGACAATCTAGTTTCTTACTAGTATTAAGGTCTCTTTTTATAACAGAAAAAATGAATTAAAGAATGGTAGAGGGAAATCCAAAGTTGTTTCAGAAACCACTTGAAAATGTGATAGATTTGGCTTATCTAGAAAAGAATATATTTTACTTCAATACCCTTTACAGTAGATGTTTGGTATAATATTTATCCCTATTGGAATTGGAGGGAGGGAAACATACTCCCACTTAAGTTTGGGCCTTCTTCTTTTGTTGTGTGATTAACGCTCTTTAACCTTAGTTGTACCCTTAGTATGACTTGATTGTTCTTTTTCATCTTATGAGGGAGACTGTGATGTTTAAAAGAATATGGTCTCCCATTTTTACTTTCTCAAGTTCCCATGCCATATGCTCACTCTTGCTTTATTGGATACCCTGAATTATGCTGGGGGACCAACAGGATTTGGGAACTGTCCTAGCTTTTTCTAATCCTTTATAAAGGGCCGTTGATCTCTTCTTTCCTTGAATCTTTACCGAGGATAACTCGTCCACCTCTGAGTTAGATCTCACCCTTTTCCGCCTCTGGGATCTTGCTTACATCCTTAGTCTCCAATTATTCCACTGGTTTGTTTGCCTTTAGCTACATTTAAACTAAAATTTCCACATCCCAGCAATTTTTTTCAGCGTTACTTCCATCTGAATGATCTCTCTCCACTGCTATTTCACTTATTCCCTTCACTTCCAAAACCTAGTTGCCTGAATTCTTTCACTAATCAGTTACTTTTCACTCCCCCACAGTCAGACGTCTGCCTTTCACTACTTTCTTGATTGAAATTGTTCTCGCCTAATGGATAAAAGGAATGACCTCCACATGTGCCTGTAATGTTCAGCAGTGTTGATCAGCCCCCTTAGGTGCTCCTGAAACTCTCCTATCCTGGCCTCTGTGATGTAGCTCTGTCATGTTTATCTTCATAGTGCCCAAATTTGGTTTGTGGGTTACTTTTAATTCTCCTATCCACCAGACATATGAAGGCATTCTTGAAGGTTTTATCATCAAATCTCCTTACTCTTTTGTTTTACTGACTTAAAATTAAATCCAGCCTTTAAAATGATGTACTCCAGGAGTCTGGATGATCTGGCTGGGCCTATTGTATGACTTCAACTCACACTTGTCTTCTTTGGAATCAATATGCGTCAATCATCCTGAAACCACCCGTGCTCTTTCCTCCACAAATAGAGTGCTCAGTAAATGCTGTTTCTTCCATGTGGGGTATGCCGTACCTAGCTCTTCACATAGTTGGCTCATTCTGCAGGAGTCAGTTTAAATGATTACCCTCCACACAGCAGCCTTGCTCTTTTGCTCCCCAGTGAAATCAGCTGTGAAATGAGTTTGTACTAGAAGTCTTTGAGAGTTCGTTCCGGATCTTTAATTCTGTGATAGACCTAAGTGACCTAAAATGATAGAGTTGAAAGGCTGCTATAATGGCCATCAAGTGAAAACCCTTCTAGTATCCCCTTCATCAACTGTGTGTCCTCAACAGCTAGAATATAGTTGATCCACAGTGGATGCTTTATGAATAAATTAGTTGTCACTGTGTGACTCAGAATAAGTCACTTTTCCTTATACATCA
This sequence comes from Homo sapiens, assembly GCF_000001405.40. Classification (NCBI taxonomy): domain Eukaryota; kingdom Metazoa; phylum Chordata; class Mammalia; order Primates; family Hominidae; genus Homo; species Homo sapiens. The sequence continues at coordinate 44,398,422 of NC_000004.12, read as the reverse complement.
TCATTGGTGTTTATGCTTCAGTTTTGCTTGTTTGTTTTATTTCTCCTGAGAAGTGGCATACAGAATCTAATCCTTTCAGGACCAAAGGTAGCAAGGGTTAAAGAGGACACATGAACTCTTTCAGATGACTGGGCATCATTCCTTGCATCCCTGATTTAGTGGACTGCAGCAGTTGACTTATTAAAGTTACTTCGGAGAACTAACTTTTAGGCAATAAGGAAAACAGATAAAAAGCTTTAAACTCTTTAAAGGCCTTGAGCTATATAAATTCCAGCTATTTACTTGACATACAACTTTTTAAAGATTTTCTCGTGATTCCTTACAAAATGATTTCTGACTTTTATTCTCTGAACCTAAGGATATGTATTTCAATTCTCTATCAAAGATTTTCCTACAGGAACATGACTGTGCAGTGAGTCGATTGCATTAAACAATAAAGGATGTGACCAAAAGGATAGTACATTTAATTTGTTTTTTTAAAAAAAGTAAATTTAACTGTAATTCATTGTGCTACAACTGCTTTGTAACCACAAAAAAATCAATTTTTTAGGTATTATAATTGTAATAAATTTTACTTGAAAGAAAAGTTTAAAATTCTTGTAATGTTTTCTCGCATATTAAGAACATTTGCCAGTGTATTTTAGTTTCAACACATTAGCAACAAGAAATCCTAACTTCTTCTTTCTAGAGAATTACTTCATTTTTTTGTAAGAAGATATAATCTCATTTTTACAAAAGATAAGTAATTCAGGAATGTTGGAAGAAAAAGAAAAATTATTCAAATTATTCAGATGGAATACTATTGCCAACTGCAGTTGACATTCCAGTAATCTCTTTAAGACTTGGTTCCTCCGCTTAAAATTTTGTGCTTTAAGTATGAACTCCTATTTACCAATCTAATTATTGTCTTTTGTGTATATGTATGTATGTTTATATGTGTATGTGCCAGTGGGTATATACAAAACCCTCATACCCACACACACATGCATGCACACATACACAAACACTTTCTATCTACCTATATCTACATATATATGAATGTGCATACATATATATACATATAAACATAATGTATACGTATATGAGTATTAGAGAAATGGGCTCAATATTTGCTACTTATAGTCAAGGAACTTATAAATCAATAACACTGATTTCACTAATTTCACTTGTGATCTACAAAAGGGGCTATTAACTCCATGTTTCTGTATTTTTCATTTTTATAGAAACTGATTCATTTAGGTTTAGGCATGGTATCTTTATGTTAGGTACAATCAATCACAATTCATAATCTAGCAATCTAGTTAACTTAAGAACCTGAGAAACTGTGGCTTAAACAAATTAAGGGGTTATTTTTTGTTCATGTGAAAGGGTCCAGATGGAGCCAGCATAGGAATGTTATTGAGGTCCTAGTGTCCCTAGAAGCCAGGCTCCTTTTAGCTTTGTTAGCCATTCTTGGAGTGTGATACTTATTTTTGGAAGTTGACTGCTGGAGTTCAACTACCGGGCTTGAATTTTAAGCTGTGAGAGGAAGGCAAAGGACAAAATGGGGTCATATCAGTTGAGTTCATTAGTTTATTCTTTTCTTTTTAGAAGCTCTCTTAAACCTCCTAACAATTTATATTTCCACTGCATGGGTCTGAAATGTGTGATGAGGCCGTTCCTGCACACTAAGAAGGTGGTTCTCTTAGTAAAGTGGTGAAGGTACTAAGTATGCAACTAATGAATTCTGGTGCAGATATTTCCCTAATAGGTTAGGGTAACCAAGATTTGACCTGATTTTTTTCTTAGATGTTAATCAGCTCATTGTTTTGTGTTTTGTGTGCCTGTGTGTTTGTCCAGAATTTTTATGTTAATGAGAAAAAAACATGAAAAAGTTGAAGTTGTTTTAAAGTTTTCTGACCTGACTTTAAGAAGAAACAAAATGGCAAGTATCTGTTTAATGTGATAGAATTAAAAGAAAAAAAAAAACAACTTTCCTTGAGTAGTTCTTGGAGCAAACACTCTATAGTGCACTCTATAGTGCAGTGGTCCCCAAACCCCAGGCCACAGACCTGTACCTGTCCATAGCCATTTAGAAAGCAGGCTGCAAAGCAGGAGGTGAGTGATGAGCAAGCCAGTGAAGCTTCATTTTGTCTGTTATTTACAGCTGCTCCCCTATCACTTGCGTTACTGCCTGAGCTCTGCCTCCTGTCAGATCAGTGGCTGCATTAGAGTCTCATAGGAGTGCAAACCCTATTGTGAACTGTGCCTGCGAGGGATCTAGGTTGCATGCTCCTTATGAGAATCTTGTGACTGATGATCTGTCACTGTCTCTCATCACCCCCAGATGGGACCATCTAGCTGCAGGAAAACAAGCTCAGGGCTCCCACTGATTCTAGATTATGGTGACTTGTATAATTATTTCATTATATACCGCAGTGTAATAATAATAGAAATAAAGTGTACAATAATAGAAATAAAGTGTACAATTAATGTACTTGAATCATCCTCAAACCATCCCTAACCTCTTCCCCTGTCCATAAAAAAAATTGTCTTCCACAACACCAGTCCCTGGTGCCAAAATGGTTGGAGACTGCTGCTATATAGTGGGATTGATACTGGTGAGCTAGGGGAGGTCCTCAAATGCGGGTGGAACCTCACCCCCAGCCAGTGTCTGGGCTCTTGACACAGCCGTGAGAAGAAATTCAAGGACCAGTCAGAAAATAGTAAAAGTACGAACATTTTTTGCAAAGGTAAATGTATACACTCAAGAAAGGGGACTGTGGGCATAATCAAGAGAGAGTCACACACAAGGGGTGTGTGACTGCTACCTTTATGGGTTTCTTTAACCAAGGAGTGAAATATTTATGAAGACTTCTGGAAAAAGGTGAAGATTTCTTGGAACTGTGCCATCCATTTTTATGCCGAATATGGGTGTTCCCAGAATCCTCATGGTGCTGGTGGGTGTGTGATTTAGGATGTTAATGAGCATATAATGAGGTCCTAGGTGAAACCTAAGTCAAATCAGGTACCGTGTTGTGTCCAGTTACTCTTAGCCAGATTGGCCTACACCCTATTTCAGGGTCTTTTCGGCCCCTAGCTTATGCAGCTATGTCAACAGTTTCCTTTTGCTAATCATGTGAAACTGCTTCCTGGAATTTTCTATTCTCCTGTGACCACCCTGTATTATTCCTGTCTCAGGATCACACGCTATCCCTTTACCTCTCCCTTCTCTCATTACTGTTTTTTTGTAGACTATCAAAATCTAAACATGCCCTTTTCTTACCTTTCTTGCTGCAAAAGTTGGAGATATCACACAGTTCTGGCTACTAACCATTGGAGGAAGTCTTCTGGGAATGTGCCCAGGAAAACTTTTGTGTTCATTACAAAGGGAAATCTAGAGGGTAATATCACCACTTTCCCTTTCTCCTTGCTGTAAACACAACTATCATGCCTGAAACCTGAGCAGCTATCTTGAGAACACGAAGGACCATCATGAAGGAAAAGCCTTGATAATCACAGAGTTAAGGCCTCTATTGTCGAGTCACTGGAACAAGACCTACATCAGAACCTGAATGTTTTTGTGATGTGAGAAAATGTTGCAATAAGTTTTTTCATTATTTTTTGGTAAATTCATGCTCAATTAATGTGTCTATTTCTTCACTGAATCAAGTAAAGTTTTGTTTTTGTTTGTGTTTTTGAGATCTTGGTCTGGTTTAGAGTTGTAAGCAAAATCCCTAGATGTAATGCTTCACCTGTCTTATAGCACATACGACATAGCAAAATTGTGTGGGTCAAATTATCCGATTTGAATTCAGTGAGGTTTAATGATGTCAGAGAGACAGATTTGAAGCCAGGATCTGATCTTAAGGAATCAAAATAAAAATAGGATTCATAATGACCACATCAGTGAGTTTTTATGACATTAAATATGATAATATGGGAATACATATTGCACAGACATTGAATTTCTTTTGAAATATGCACTTGTAAAAAGACCAAAGGGTATTTTTTTTTCTTTCTTTCTGAGTTTAAGCTTTCTTTGAGACATACTATGGTTTTATGTTGGGTTCATGGGATTTGGAAGCTCAAAGAAGATATGTACTCAAATCCCACTCCTATGAATTGTGAAGTTGGGCTAGTTACTTGATTTTTAGAAACTGTATTTCTTTGCCTGTATAAAAGGGCATAGTAGCAACTCCCCTTAACTGAGGCGATGGATGTGAAAGCTTCTAGTGCTTGCCATGTTTTTGGCAATCACTAGATTATATTTTTTGTTCTGAATCATTTGAGTTTACTACTCGTAATTAGGTTTTTGGAATGAATTTTCTATATTTTGAAATAAGTATTATTTTCAGCACTTCCTAATGATTTAATGAGAAAGTAAACCAGTAATGGTAAACTAAGCACACAGAATGAATGCTTATATTATATTCTCTTGAACTCTATATTCTTAACAAAAAATGCATAGATTATCAAATTTGAAGTAATCAGAGAGCTGTAAATATACACCGTATAGGCATACTAAATACTATTTACTTTTATTTTATATTTTAATTTTTTAATCATATAGTGCAATGGCAAAAATAAGCTCTTTATTTGATTTCTAAGCTTCTACAGAATAAGAGATGCTCTGTAAATGTTTATTGAATAAATAGTTGAGAGAATGCCTAATGAGGAGGTGAGGATAACTAGTTCATGGCAGCGTAGTCCTCACCATTTATTACTATCATTTATGTTTATATTAATAATTTATAAGATACTTAAATATTCTGATAACTACCATTCATAAACTCCATTGTAAATACATAAAAGTTTTCTTAAAATGCTCATTTGAATTTCTTATTGGATTTTTAATAATAGAATTTAATACTTATAATGTGAGTAGGTAGTAGACCTCTTTTTCATGTGTTTTTTTTTTTCAGTGTGAACTTTCATAGTTGTTCTGTTTGGAAATATAATACATTTACCAACGTTATTGGCATAATTTAAATTTACTGTTTTTTTCCCTTCATCAACCATATTTAGACCCACTAGTGTGAGAATAACTGTTATGTAGTTTTTAAATGCTTTACACTAATTTTCTTAGGAATATATTATTTTGAAGATCAAATATGTATTCTTTTAACTTTCTTTATAACTTTAGGAAAACAGAATAAGCTTTGGTTTTTTGTTTTCCCTACCATGTCTCCTTTACCGAAACCTGATCATACTTTTGAAGAGCCATCAGACCTACAGTTTGCTGTTATAATGCTCCTGAAAATACCACACTTCTATAAGGCCACAGAACTGTACTCTCTCTACAATCAATGCTGACATGTGCAAGGAGTACAACTCTGCTATTGTCACAGTATTGCAACTTTCCCACATTTTGTGTTATTACCATTTCCTGCAGGAATTGAGATTCAGTGTCAGCATTTCTCAAATGACATAGTGGTGATGACTATTCTTGCTTTGTAGGCTGGGAAGAAAGTACTTCTTTGTCCATGTCTTCTCTGACAATTTGATATATTTAGGTTTATCTCATGAATATCATTTGGTGATATTTTTGACGTTTAGTAAAAATAGATGTTTTTTCAGCTGTACAGAGCTATAGTTTATAATAAAATTTATATTGCAGTGTTCAAGACAGAAATTATGATGAAGCTAGACTGTTCTCTGCGTGTAAGCCAATTTCATCATTTTTACTCTTCTCCTTATTCAACCTAGAGGGGAAGTTATATGTGCCGTTTGGGATTATCTCACCTTGCTATTTTTAGCTCCAGAAGTATCTCATCATTAGCATGATCAAAAACCACTTATTAAGCATCTTTTTTATGGTACTTTTATGAGTGAATCAGACTAATAGGGCCTCTAACCTTTAGATGCTTATGAATATTGGCAGGGAAATCAAGGTGATTTGGATAAATTCAAAGTCTTCAAGCACACCTACACCTTTTAAATAAGTTTTGACTTTAATATTATGGACAATCTGACTCAATGATAGGTGAAACTATGGAATGACAGTTTAAATCTTAACCCACAAGCTGAATTTGTGTTTTATTAATATGGAAAAATATTGTCAACAATATGTTATTTAATATTTATTTAATGCCTTGTTTTACAGAAGGCCATATACATCACTGTGTAAAACTTGTAAGACATGAGAGAGTGTCATGATATGTTGACTTAGAGGACTAATTCTATCTCCTACATTCTTAATGTCCTTTCTTAGGGATCAACTTAAAGGAAAGGAGAGGCTTATTCAGTGTTTATCGGAAAGTAAAAACCTATAAACCTAGTTTTATGAGTTAATGAGAAGAGCATAAGTCTAAATAATAAGATCTGTGAGGTTTGAAGAAATGCAAAAAGGGCCACTTTGACCAAAAGTTTGTCCTCTACCTGTCTGCTACTGTTTCTGAAATTCTGACAGTTGGTAAGACTCCGTAAGAGTCTTCTTTTAGGCTTGTACTGAAGTTTCATATAGGACTTGAAATTTGGACCAAATCTAATGTTTGGCTTTAACTTATGCTCAAATTTAAGAAGACTGATTTGCTGAATGGCTACTCAGTGTCATTTCTGGAAAATCTGAACTCGTATGGAATCACGTGGATTAACTTTGTCTACTCATTATAACAGTGACACTAACAATGACATTGGTATTAATCTGAATGTTCATTTATTACAGTTGACCCTTTAAAAATATAAGGCTGAGGAGTGCCAATCCCCATGCAGTCAAAAACTTCGACCCAACTTTTTGACTCCCCCAAAACTTAACTACAAATAGCCCACTGTTAACTGGAAGTCTTACTGATAACATGAACAGTTGATTAACACATAGTTTTTATGTTATATGTATTTTATATATATTATATATGTTATATCCTTATAATAAATTAGCCTAGAGAAGAGAAAATGTTTCTAAGAAAATCATAAGAAAGAGAAAATATTGACTATTAAGTGAAAGTAGATTATCATAAAGATCTTCACCCTCATCGTTTTCACATTGAGTAGGCTGCGGAAGAGGAGGAAGAGAAGGGGTTTGTCTTGCTGTCCTGGGTGACAGAGTTGGAAGAGGTGGAGGAGGTAGAATGGGAGACAGAAGAGGCGGGCACAATTGATATAACTCTTTTTAAAAATTTCAATAGGTTTTTGGGGAACAAGTGGTATTTGGTTACATTAATAAGTTATTTAGTGGTGATTTCTGAGATTTTGGTGCACCCATCACCCAGGCATTGTACAGTGTACCCAATGTGTAGTCTTTTATCCCTCACCCACTCCCACCCTTTCCCCTGAGTCTTCAAAGTCCATGTATCATTCTTATGCCTTACATCTTCATAGCTTAGCTCCCACTTATGAGTGAGGACATACAATGTTTGGTTTTCCATTCCTGAGTTACTTCACTTAGAATAATGGTTTCTAGTTCCAGCCAGGTTGCTGCAAATGCCGTTATTTCATCCCTTTTTATGGCTGAGTCGTGTGCAAGTATCTTTTTTGCATAATGACTTCTTTTCCTCTGGGTAGATACCTAGTCATGGGATTTCTGGATCAAATGGTGGTTCTACTTTTAGTTCTTTGAGGAATCCCCACACTGTTTTCCATAGTGGTTGTACTAGTTTACATTCCCACCAGCAGTGTAAAACTGTTCCCTTTTCACCACATCAATGCCTATTATTTTATTATCAATGCCAATTTTACCACATTAACTCCTTTTCACCATGCCAACATCTGTTATTTTTTGAATTATTGATTATAGCCATTCTTGCAGGAATAAGGTGGTATCGCGTTATGCTTCGCAGAACTAGAAAAAACAATCCTAAAATTCACATGGAACCAAAAAAAGAGCCTGCATACCCAAAGCAAGACTAAGCAAAAAGCAAATCTGGAGGCATCACATTACCTGACTTTAAACTATAAGGCCATAGTCACCAAAACAGCCTGGTACTGGTATTAATATAAAAATAGGCACATAGACCAATGAAACAGTATAGAGAACTTAGAAATAAGGTGAAATACAGCCAACTGATCTTCGACAAAGCAAACAAAAACATAAAGGTGGTCGAGGGAAAGACACCCTATTTAACAAATGGTGCTGGGATAATTGGCAAGCCACATGTAGGAGAATGAAACTGGATCCTCATCTCTCACCTTATAAAAAAATCAACTCAAGATGGGTGAAGGTCTTAAATCTAAGAACTGAAACCATAAAAGTTCTAGAAGATAACATCGGAAAAACCCTTCTAGACATTGGCTTAGGCAAAGACTTCATGACCAATAACCCAAAAGCATATGCAACAAAAACAGTAATAAATAGATGGGACTTAATTAAACTAAAATGCTTCTGCACAACAAAATAAACAATTAGCAGAGTAACAGACAACCCACAGATTTGGAGAGAATCTTTGCAATCTATACATCTGACAAAGAACTAATATCCAGAATCTACAAGGAACTCAAACAAATCGGCAGAAATAAAAACAAACAATCCCATCAAAAAGTAGGCTAAGGACATGAACAGACAATTCTCAAAAAAAGATACACACATGACCAACAAACATGAAAAAATGCTCAACATCACTAATGATCAGGGAAATGCAAATCAAAACCAATTGGTATAACTTTTATTGAAAAAAAATCCACGTATAAATGGACCTGCATAGTTCAAACCTGTGTTGTTCATGTGCCAACTGTATTTTTGAAAGAATTTAATTGTGGTAAAATACACATAAAATTTACCATCTGAACTATTTTTAAGCATACAGTTCAGTAATGTTAAGTGCATTTATATTGTTGTGCAACCAATCTCCAGAACTCTTTACATCTTGCAAAACTTAAACTCCATACTCATTAAACAACTATTCCCCATTCCACACCCCCACCCCCAGCTCCTGGCAACCACCATTTTGCTTAGTGTCTCTATGAATTTAACTACTCTTTGTAGATGAATGGAATCATATGGAATCATACAGTATTTATCTTTCTGTGACTAAATTATTTCCCATAGCATAGTCCTACAACTATGTCATAGTATGTATCAGAATTTTGTTCCTTTTTTCATGTGTGTGTATTTATGATGTACATAAGATATTTTGATACACGTGTGCAATGTGTAATAATAACACCAGGGTAAATGAGGTTTCCATCACCTCAAGCATTTATCCTGTCTTTATGTTATAGACAACTCAATTATACTGTTTATTTTAAAATGTACACATAAATTATTATTGACTATAGTCACTCTGTTATGCTGTCAAATACTAGATCTTATTCATTCTATCTAACTATATTTTTGTACCCATTAACCATCCTTACCTCCTTACAACATCCTCACCACCTTTCCCAGCCTCTAGTAACCATCATGCTGCTCTCTATCACTGTGAGTTCAATTGTTTTAATTTTTAGCTTCCACAAATAAGTAAGAGCTTGTGAAGTTTGTCTTTCTGTGCCTGGCTTATTTCACTTATCATAATGTCCTCCATTTCCATCCATGTAGTTGCAAATGACAGGATTTCATTCATTTTTATGGCTGAATAATACTCCATTGTATATATGTACCACATTATCTTTTTTTGGTGGGGAGTTTAAGTTCTATTTATTTATTTTTACTCTTATTTTAAGTTCAGGTGTACAAGTGCAGGTTTGTTACATAGGTAAACTTTTGTCATAGGGGTTTGTTGTGCAGATTATTTCATCACCCAGGTATTAAACCTAGCACTCATTAGTTGTTTTTCCTGATCCTCTTCCTCCTCCCACCCTCCACCCTCTGAAAGGCCCCTGTGTGTCATTTTCCTCTATGTGTGCATGTGTTTTCATCATTTAGCTTCCACTTATAAGTGAGTACATCTGGTATTCAGTTTTCTGTTCCTGTGTAGTTTGCTAAGGATAATGACCTTCAGCTCCATCCATATCCCTGCAAAGGACATGATCTCATTGCTTTTTATAGCTGCATAATATTCCATAGTATATATGTACCACATTTTCTTTATCCAGTCTATCACTGATGGACATTTAGGTTGATTCCATGTCTTTGCTATTGTAAATAGTACTGCAGTGAACATACGTGTGCATGTGTCTTTATAATAGAATGGTTTATATTCCTTTGGGCATATACCCAGTAATGGGATTGCTGGGACAAATGGTAGTTCTGTCTTTAGGTCTTTGAGGAATCATCACAGTCTTCCACGATGGCTGTACTAATTTACACTCCAATCACCAGTGTATAAGCATTCCTTTTCCTCCACAGTCTCACTAGCATCTATTATTTTTTGACTTTTTAATAGTAGCCATTCTGACTCGTGTTAGATGGTACTCCATTATGGTTTTGATTTGCATTTCTCTAATGATCAGTGATGTTGAACTTTTTAAATTATGATTGTTGTCTTGTATGTCTTCTTTTGCAGTGTCTGTTCATGTCCTTTGCCCACTTTTTTATGAGGTTTTTTTTTTTTTGTAAATTTGTTTAAGTTCTTTATAGATGATGAATGTTAGACCTTTGTTAGATGCATAGTTTGCGAAAATTTTCTCCCATTCTGTAGGCTATCTCTTTACTCAGTTGGCAAGTTTCTTTTGCCATGCAGCTCTTAAGTTTATTCAATTCCATTTGTCAATTTTTGCTTTTGTTGCAATTGCTTTTGGCATCTTCATCATGAAATCTTTGCCTGTGCCTATGTCCTGAATGACATTGCCTAGGATGTCTTCCAGGATTTTTATAGTTTTGGGTTTTACATTTAAGTATTTGATCCATCTTGAGTTAATTTTTGTATATGGTGTAAGGAAGGAGTCCAGTTTCTTCTGTATATGGCTAGCCAGTAATCTCAGCACCATTTATTAAATAGGGAATCCTTTCCTCATTGCTTGTTTTTGTCAGGTTTGTCAAAGATCAAATAGTTACAGGTGTGTGGTCTTATTTCTGGGTTCTTTATTCTGTTTCATTGTTCTATGTGTCTGTTCTTGTACCAGTGCTATGTTGTTCTGGTTACTCTAGCACTGTAGTATAGTTTGAAGTCAGGTAGTGTAATGTCTCCAGCTTTGTTCTTTTTGCTTAGGATTGCCTTGGTTATTCAGGCTCTTTTTTGGTTCAATATGAATTTTAACATTTTTTTTCTAGTTCTGTAAGAATGGCAGTGGTAGTTTAATGGGAATAGCATTGAATGTATAAATTGCTTTGGGCAGTATGGACATTTTAACAAAGCTGGTTCTTCGTATCCCTGAGCATTGAATTTTTTTTATTTGTTTGTGTCATCTCTGATTTCTTTGAGCGATGGTTTGTATTTCTCATTGTAGAGATCTTTCACCTCCCTAGTTAGTGTAGTTCTAGGTATTTTATTATTTATGTGGCAATTGTGAATGAGAGTTTGTTCATGATTTTGCTTTTAGTTTGACTGTTGGTATATAGGAATGCTAGTGATTTTTGCACACTGATTTTTTATCCTGAGACTTGCTGAAGTTGCTTATCAGCTTAAAAAGCTTTTGGGCTGAGATGATGGGATTTTCTAGGTATAGGATAATGTCCTCTGCAAATAAAGATAATTTGACTTCCTCTGTTTCTGTTTGAATGCCCTTTATTTCTTTCTCTTGCCTCACATTTACTTGTTTCATTCATCTGTTGATGAACATTTAGGTTGCTTCCAAATCTTGGCTATTATGAATAGTGCTGCATTAAACATAGGAGTGCCGATATCTCTTTGATATACTGATTTCCTTTTTTGGGGTATGTACTTAGCAGTGGGATTGCTGGATCACTTGTTAGCTCAATTTTTAGTTTTTTTGAGGAACTTCCAAACTGTTCTCCCTAGTGGTTATACTGACTTACATTCCCGCCAACAGTGTGTGAGGGTTCTCTTTTCTTTATAGCCTCACTAGCATTTGTTATTGCCTGTCTTTTGGATATGCCATTTTAACGGGCATGAGATGATATCTCATTGTAGTTTTAATTTGAATTTCTCTGATGATCATTAATATTGACTACCTTTTCATATACCTGTTTTCCATTTGTATGTCTTTTGGGAAATGTCTATTCAGATATTTTGCCCATTTTAAAATTAGATTATTAGATATTTTCCTATAAAGTTGCTTGCACGCCTTAGTTTTTTTTTCCTTCTTTAGGCTGAATAATATTCATTTTTGTGTACATGCCACATTTTATTCATTTGTCTGTGGATGGATGCTCAGTTGCTTCTACCTCTTGGCTATTGTGAATATGGCGTCTCTAAACATGACTGTAGAAATATCTCTTAGAAATTCTGCTTTCAATTTTGGGAGTATATACCCAGAAGTGGAATTGTTGTATCATATGTTGGTTCTATTTTCAGTGTCTTAAGAAATCAAC